>NC_000002.12:47463079-47766109 GCF_000001405.40 Homo sapiens
GTGAATTAAGAGAAATAATGAATGACTTGGAAAAGAAGATGCAGTCAACATTAATAAGTGCAGCCAGAGATCTTGGTAAGAATGGGTCATTGGAGGTTGGAATAATTCTTTTGTCTATACACTGTATAGACAAAATATTGATGCCAGAATTATTTTATAAGTTCCCTGTCCCCAAGATGATGACTTCACATCTCTGTCAAACAGAAATCGCCCAACAGGCCCTTGTATGATGTCATTTAAACAAGCCCTATTTTAAATGTCACCTCCACTGGTAACAGGATACTCCTAGGAGGATCACCAAGCCCAATTCTTCTAGGAGTAGTGCATTGATTAGGCTTTGGGGTTTCCAAGCAGTTCATTAATGTCACTTTTGGAAAAAGTCTGTCTTTCATACCAGCTTATTAATTCCCTATGGGTTCACACGGTTTTTTTTCCTGGATTTTCATCAAACATGTGTAAGGTACTCAGTACAAAGAAGTTTAGAAATCCAGAACAAAGCAGTGTATTTAAGTAGTAGTAAACTTCCAGATAATCTGATGCCCATATCTACATATATAAAAAATTTGCAAATAGTTCTGTAGAGAGTCCAAACATGGAGTAGATCCCTAATTAAGAGCCTTTGCATTAAAGTCCACCTTCCTCATTTCATAGCTAAGGATATTGAGGCTCAGAGAGTTTATGTGTCTGGAGTTAAAGTTATTTTGTGTTTCCTTAATTTTTGACTTACTAGAAAGTTAAAGTACCTACAGATTTCTGTGTTTCACTATATGTTAACTTGCTTGGCTGGAAGTTTTTCTGCTGATAATTGGTTTTATGAAGGAAGAATCCTGTTAAGAATGCATCATTGGACTGGGTGTGGTGGCTCACGCCTGTAGTGATCCTAGCAGTTTGAGAGACCGAGGTGGGCAGATTGCTTGAGTCCAGGAGTTTGACACTAACCTGGGCAACATGATGAAACCCTGTCTCTACAACAAATACAAAAATTGGCCATACATGGTGGCACGCACCTGTGGTCCCAGCTACTCAGGAGGCTGAGGTGAGAGGATCACTTGAGCCAGGGAGGTTGAGGCTATAATGAGCCATAATTGCACTACTGCACTCCAGCCTGGGTGACAGGGTGAGATCCTGTCTCAAAATAAGAAAAGAGAATGCATCATTGGCCAGGCACAGTGACTCATGCCTATAATCCCAATACTTTAGGAGGATCACTTCAGCCCAGGAGTTCAAGACTAGCCTGTGCCACATAGACCACATTTCTACCAAAAATCAAAAGGAAAAAACTTGCTGGGTGTGGTGATGCACACCTGTGGTCCCAGCTACTCGGGAGGCTGAGGTGAGAGGATTGCTTTAGCTTAGGTGGTTGAGGCTGCAGTGAGCCATGATAGCACCACTGCATTCCATCCAGCCTGAGGGACGGAGTGAGAGCGACACCTTGTCTTTAAAAAAAAAAACAGAGGAATGCATCATAGTATATATTAAATTATTGCCTATTTTTTTATCTATTTTATTGAGTGCTAATAAGAAAATTAATGGCAAAAACTTGTTTTTTACAGTATAAATTAAGTTTAATTTCATTTTAAAATTAAGTAAATTTGTTTTATTAAAAAGTATGTTGAAAGCAACATAAATAGCACTCAAATTGAGACAGAAACTGTAACTGTAGTATAAGAAGCATTAGGCTGGGAATTGGGAAACACGAGTTCTAGTTGCAGCTTGGAAACTTTTTCTGAAGCTCTTTACAAATTACTTAATTTCTCTGGTTTTCACCACATTGTTCTATAGCATTAACATGTTGGATTCATTGCTTTAATTCTTAGACCTACGTGTCATCAGAAATGCCATTACACTTTGAGGATTTGAGCCTTATTTTAAATAAAGTTGTGATCCTCATGGCAGCCTAGGTTTACATGTGTTAAATAAACAGTATTCTGTAAATACCATTGTCTTTCATGTTTAGTGATGTTGCTGTTGTTAACACTGCAGTGAAATGCATATATAAGCAAACTACATTACATACTCATGAACATGGTCCTTTGTTTTGAAACTTTGATCACTGATTGTTCGCAGTCTTTCATTGTGGAACTACTCTTTCACTTTGAATGTTTTGAGAGGTTCCTTTGTTCAGATCAGTCCGATTTCGTTTCTGGGTGGGTCTCTACTTTCCCTTTTCTCACTGGTCAAGCGAGGTCTGTCTAATTGTTTGCTACTACTAACATTTGATGGCCACGCTTCAGCAAGTACATTTGTAGATTCTCTCTCTCTGTCTCTCTTAATTTGTGGTCTAGAGATCATATTGGTTAATGAAATTATGAAGAGGGAATGTATTTATAAAAACTCAAATTCTTGATGCAGAAGGTCTAGCTGATTGTGAACCCAAAATATCCGAGACAGGTCACAACCAATTTAGAAACTTTATTTTGCCAAGGTTAAGGATGCATCCATGACATAGTCTCACAAGGTTCTAATGACACATGCGCAAGGTGGTTAGGGTACAGCTTGGTTTTATACATTTTAGGGAGACATGAGACATCAGTCAACATGTGTAAGATGTACATTGATTCTATCCAGAAAGGCAGGACAACTTGAAGCAAGGGGCTTTCAGGTAATAAGTAGATAAGAGACAAAAGGTTGCATACTTTTGAGTCCTTGATCAGCCTTTCACTGAATAAACAAGCTTAGTCTTGTTAGTGAATCTGCGTTTTTACATAAACAGTAGGTCAGAGGAAGCAATCAGAAATGCATTTGTGTCAGGTGAGCCGAGGGATGACTTTCTGTCCCTCACCTGTGAAGATAAGCTATCAGTTTCCATTGCTAGGGTGAAATTCAACAGAATTGTTTGAGAGTGAACATCTGGAGGCCCACAAGGACTTTCCTTGTGGAGGGGAAGTATGTAGTGAGGGAAGTATGTAGTTTTTAAATCTTTGTCGCTATCTTATTTAGAAATAAGATGGAAGGCAGGTTTGTCTGACATAGTTCCCAGCTTGACTTTTCCCTCGGCTTAGTGATTTTGCGGTTCCGAGATTTATTTTCCTTTCACATATCAGTCAGATCATTTGGTTTGTGAAGTTTCCTATGCTTAACAGAAAATATGTGCACTAGTTTTCCTAGAGTTTCATTGTCAGAGTCTCAAGTTTTTGTTTGGAAATTGTATTTGGTCACATTAATTATACTCTATGTTAGTTCCAAAGAAATACCTTTGGTTAAGAAAAGAATTCTCATGCATAACTCCTCGAGGGTGGGGTTACACCTTAATCCATCCTCAGGTGCTCATGGTAATTGGGGCAAATATGTTGCCCAGTGCTGGTGCTCTGCAGCCTTGGATGGGTTTACCCAGAAAGCAGCTTTCAAGTCAGAAACTAACATTCATAAGGGAGTTAAGGATTTTATAAATAGATATCCATAATTCATGTAGTTTTCAAGTAAGTAGTATTTGAATCTTTTCTGGTTAGATAATAATTGTGAGTATGTTGTCATATAATAACAGTATGTTTTTCACTATTTAAATAATTTTAGAATTACATTGAAAAATGGTAGTAGGTATTTATGGAATACTTTTTCTTTTCTTCTTGATTATCAAGGCTTGGACCCTGGCAAACAGATTAAACTGGATTCCAGTGCACAGTTTGGATATTACTTTCGTGTAACCTGTAAGGAAGAAAAAGTCCTTCGTAACAATAAAAACTTTAGTACTGTAGATATCCAGAAGAATGGTGTTAAATTTACCAACAGGTTTGCAAGTCGTTATTATATTTTTAACCCTTTATTAATTCCCTAAATGCTCTAACATGATGTGAATGTTCTATGATAAGTTTTACTAATGTAGTCATCAGGTAAGAGTCAAGCTTTCTTCCATAGAGCAGTCAGCTGTCGCAACACCATTTGTTAAATAGTCCGTCTGTTCTCCATTGACTGAAGTGGTACTTTGGGTCTATTTTAAAGACTCTACTTTTACCTCGTCTCACCATTCTTTTGTCTACACAAAATATATTTTATCGCTTATTCTGTGTTACCATATCTATTAGAGCTAGTTCCCCCTCATATCTCTGCTTTAGTTATTTTCACATGTTTCTTTTATCTTTTTTTTTTTTGGAGATGGAGTCTCGCTCTGTTGCCCAGGCTGGAGTGCAGTGGCATGATCTCGGCTCACTGCAAGCTCCGCCTTCCGGGTTCACGCCATTCTCCTGCCTCAGCCTCCCGAGTAGCTGGGACTACAGGCGCCCGCCACTGCGCCCAGCTAATTTTTTGTATTTTTAGTAGAGACGGGGTTTCACCGTGGTCTCGATCTCCTGACCTCGTGATCCGCCTGCCTCTGCCTCCCAAAGTACTGGGATTACAGGTGTGAGCCACCGCGCCCAGCCTTATCTTTTTTTTTTTTCCCCCTGAGACAGAGTCTTGCTGTGTCGCCCAGGCTGGAGTGCAGTGACGCGCAGTCTTGACTCACTGCAGCCTCCACCTCCCGGATTCAAGCGATTCTCATGCTTCAGCTTCCTGAGTAGCTAGGATTATAGGCATGCACCACCACGCCTAGTTCATTTTTGTATTTTTAGTAGAGATGGGTTTTCACCATGTTGGACAGGCTGGTCTCGGACTCCTGGCCTCAAGTGATCCACCTGCCTCAGCTTCCCAAAGTGCTGAGATTACAGGTGTGAGCCACCGTGCCTGACCCACATGTTTATTTTTTCTAAGAAAACTTTACTATCATTTATCAAGTTAAGAAAATTATTCTGATATTTCAATTGGGTGTTTAAATTAGTTGAGGGAAATATGAGGCCATTCACTAGATGATAGGTTTTTTTTGTTTTAATCATGTTTCATGTTGAAACAAAAAAGTTTTTTCCTGCCAGTTTTCTGGCTAATCTCAGGAAGTCCCTGAAACAAATTATTGATAAGTAAAAAAAATTATTTAAAAAATTTTAAATTATATTTAAAATCTTCTGTGACTTATGGTGGGGGGAGGCTAAAGCCTTTCTCCTTCTGTACTGTTCTGGAAACTATGGCCTGTTCTACTCCCTCCCCTCCTGAATTTTCCCAGAACTTTACAGGTAGCTTTTATATATATGATCCCCTGTCGTCTGTTTAACAAGTACTTTGAGTGTCTATTATATGCAGACATTCTAGGTGTTCAGACACCCTAGTAATTAGTTTGTTCCTCATAATTCTCAGTAAAGAAGACATGTATATTTCTCATTTTATAGGTGAAGAAGCTAAGACTTTACTTTTCCTCAGTTAGACAGCTAGTGCTGGTGGGTGCCTAAACTTAGATCTTCCATTGCCAAATCTAGGTGTGTTGTTTTTCCAGCACACTAGAATCCTCCTGGTTCAAGAAATGTATATATTTTAGCTTGGATAAGATACAACTTTTGGAGTGTTCTAATCATCTTCAAGTTTTTCGTGGATTAGTTATAACATATGAAAAAAGATAGGGCTGAATGGGCCACATGATGCCAAAAGTGAAAAAGTCACTCACTAGATTATGACCTGCAGAATCTGGTCCTTGCCTGCCTCTGCTTTTATATTTTGCAGCTTGTCCCTTCACACAGTGGTCTCACTTTTATAATGTCTTTCCCTCATGCATTTCTTTAATTCTTTTTATTTGCCTGTTCCATAGTAGTCTGTTTGTGCTGCTACTTGCCCCTGTACTGTTCTTGAGCTATACATATACATGTCTGCTGTGCCATTGAGTGATTCCATCAAGGCCACAATTATCATCTTGATGAACTGATTTTCTCCCACTGCTGATAATTACTTCTCTCTCCTTTCTTTCTCCTTTACATCACCTCTTTTTGTTCTTAATTTCATTCCCTCCTTGATGCCAGTGAGTATTTTTTTCTTATTTTATTCTCATCTTCCTTGAGTATTGTTTATTTCAACCTCTTTTTTTTTTTTTTTTTTTGGAGAAGGGTTTGGCTTTGTCGCTCAGGCTGGAGTGCAGTGGCACAATTTTGGCCCACTGCAACCTCCACCTCCTGGGCTCAAGCCATCCCACCTCAGCCACCCAAGTAGCTGGGACTACAGGTGTTGCCCACTGCTTTGTATTTTTAATAGACACAGGATTTCCCCATGTTGCTCAGGCTGGTCTCGAACTCCTGGGCTCAAGCAGTCCACCTGCCTTGCCCTCCCAAAGTTCTGGGATTACAGGATTACAGATGCTGTGCCCGGCCCAACCTCTAATTTTAATTTTCTCTTCAAATTGTTCAATAAGATTTAGTTTCAAGACATTTTCCTGGCCGGGCATGGTGGCTTACGCCTATAATTTCAACACTTTGGGAGGCCGAGGCAGGTGGATCACTTGAGGTCAAGAGTTCAAGACCAGCCTGGCCAGCGTGGTGAAACCCCATCTCTACTAAAAAATACAAAAATTAGCCGGGTGTGGTGGTACATGCCTGTAATCGTAGCTATTGTGGAGGCCGAGGCATGAGAATCGCTTGAGCCCGGGAAGCAGAGGTTGCAGTGAGTTGAGATGACACCACTGAAATCCAGCCCGGGCAACAGAGTCAGACTACGTCTCAAAAAAAACAAAACAAGCTGGGCGCCGTGGCTCACGCCTGTAATCCCAGCACTTTGGGAGGCCGAGGCCGGTGGATCACGAGGTCAGGAGATCGAGACCATCCTGGCTAACACGGTGGTGAAACCCTACCTCTAGTAAAAATATAAAACATTAGCCGGGCGTAGTGGTTGGTGCCTGTAGTCCCAGCTACTCAGGAGGCTGAGGCAGGAGAATGGTGTGAAGCCGGGAGGCAGAGGTTGCAGTGAGCCTAGATCGCGCCACTGCACTTTAGCCTGGGTGACAGAACAAGACTCCGTCTCAAAAAAAAAACCATTTTTCTTATTTTGAAAACTTTTGGTATTGAAAGATATTTATACTACAGTAATGAGAAATACTGTGTGTGTGTATATATGTTTGTGTTTTTTTTTTTGTTTTTTTCTTTCTCTCTCTCTCTTTTTTTTTTTTTTGACAGAGTTTTGCTCCTGTTGTCCAGGCTGGAGTGCAGTGGTGCTATCTCGACTCACCACAACCTCTGCCTCCCGGGTTCAAGTGATTCTCCTCCCTCAGCCTCCCGAATAGCTGGGATTACAGGAATGTGCCACCACACCTAACTTTGTATTTTTAGTAGAGACGGGTTTTCCCCATGTTGGTCAGGCTGGTCTTGAACTCCTGACCTCAGGTGATCCACCTGCCTCGGCCTCCCAAAGTGCTGGGATTACAGGCACCCTGCCTGTGTTTGTGTTTTAAAAGGGGTAATAGCTTCAGTCTTTTTTTTCTTTCTCTGAGACGGAGTTTTAGTTTTGTTGCCCAGGCTGGAATGCAATGGTGTGTTCTTGGCTCACCACAACCTCCATTTCCTGGGTTCAAGCGATTCTCCTGCCTCAGCCTCCTGAGAAGCTGGGATTACAAGCACGCGCCACCATGCTGGGCTAATTTTTGTATTTTTAGTAGAGACGGGGTTTCTCCATGTTGGTCAGGCTGGTCTCGAACTCCTGACCTCAGGCAATCCACCGACCTCAGGTGATCCACCCGCCTCAGCCTCCCAAAGTTCTGGGGTTACAGGCGTGAGCCACCACGCCCGGCTGTCTTCAATCTTAAATAAGGATTCCATTTAAATATTTTGTAAAAGGACACAGATCACAGTTTTACTCAGGGGAATATAATTGTTATAGCAGGAATTGTGCCATTGCGCTATTCCAAACAGTGTAAAAGAACATTAATAAATTGAATTCTAACTACATTTGTCCCTAAGGAGTTGTTCGTTTTCCACTTGTATTTCCATTTTAATTATCATTATTTGGATGTTTCATAGGATACTTTGGATATGTTTCACGTAGTACACATTGCTTCTAGTACACATTTTAATATTTTTAATAAAACTGTTATTTCGATTTGCAGCAAATTGACTTCTTTAAATGAAGAGTATACCAAAAATAAAACAGAATATGAAGAAGCCCAGGATGCCATTGTTAAAGAAATTGTCAATATTTCTTCAGGTAAACTTAATAGAACTAATAATGTTCTGAATGTCACCTGGCTTTTGGTAACAGAAGAAAAATCATGATATTTGAAGTGTGTTTTGTTATTTTCGCAAGCCATTACATTCTGACTATTTAATATGTTAGGTTTCCTATATAAAATAAGGCATGGTATGTTACAGTAGGACACATAACTGGAAGTTACTCTTGCACATAGAAACAAAAAATGGCAGAAAAGCACAAAACTTACTATAGTTGTAACAGGGAAAGGAAACACTAGGGCCTACAACGTACTAATGTCTTGGGTCATCTATGGGCTCATGAGGCTCTAGGTTATGGAAGTAAATACCACTGAAAAGCAAATATTAATTACACATGAGGCAAGCCTTTTTGAGTTCTGTATGTCATTTTGTAGATTTTGAGTTCATTCTAGTGGCACCATTTGAGATCATTTTCATGTAATTAAAGGAACACAGCAACCTGGCACTGTGTTATTGCCCTTAGAATGGAATGAATATATGTTTAGCACAAGGTAGGAAGTGATGCGTTAAGTTGGAAGGCTTTGCCGATCATGGTGTGTATGTTGACTAACCTTTATTGTGCCTTTAAAAAATATACTCAAGAACTACCTTAACCAAGTAATTAAAGTCAAGATTACCAGTTGTGGGACAAATGACATGTACTTCCTGGTGTGATATAGAAGGAAGGACACAGTATCACCTATATAGTATTCTTGACCAGAATATTTAACCTGATTTTAAACAAGAAGTAAAAATTCAAATAAATTTAGATTGTGGTGCATTCAAGGCCTGAACTTTAATAAATGTCCATGTCACGGCAGCAAAAAAGAAATCAACAGGTCTTAAAGAGACAGGGCAACCAAACGCAGTAGGCAGTAGTTGATTAGATCCCAATTTAGAGGTTGGAGTTGGGGAATAGCTATAGAGGACACTATTGGGGCGAATTGAGAAAGTTTAATATGAGACAATATGGTGTTAGTGTCAGATTTCTTGTGTGAAATGGTAGTGTTATGATTAGGAGAATGTCCTTGTTCTCAGGATATGCATGCTAAATTATTTAAGGACAAATATTTTTTTAAAAGGTTATGTGCATGAGTAATTCTATAAATTGTGTTGCTATTATGAATTGTCATGGTAAATCAAAAGGAAACATAAAACTCAAAAGGTTTTATTTTAATACACTTTATGTATTGAAATGAATGGAATTGATTTGTAAAGATTACATTTTTGCTTGTTGGTGTCAGATAACTGTGACGTAATAATCTTTTGCTGAATTATGTTTCTTAGGCTAGATTTCATTTTAAAGAACCCTGTAAATACCATTTATTTGAACTGTGGATCTTCCTTAAAAAATAATATTTATTAAGCACCTAGCAGGGTAAAGTTTTTAGATTTTAACATTTAAATTGAAGGTTTTATATTAGAAGTCAACCTGAATTTAAATGAAACTTCTTCTTGGTCTGATATTACATATTATGAGCTATTTTTATTTAAAAATGTAATGGCGGCCAGACATGGTGATTCACACCTGTAATCCCAGCACTTTGGGAGGCTGAGCTGGGAGGATTGCTTAAGCCCAGAAGTTTGAGACCAGCCTAGCCAACATAGGGGGACCCCAACTCTACAAAAAAATCCAAAAAATATTAGCCGGCTGTGGTGGTACATGCCTGTAGTCCCAGCTACTCAGGAGGCTGAGGCAGGAGAATCACTTGAACCCAGGAGGTCGAGGGTGTGGTGAGCCATAATTATGCTACTGTACTTCAGCCTGGGCGACAGAGCAAGACTCCCATCTCAAAAAGTGTAATGGATCACTTTAATAATTTTCTATCATACAATTAAGTCATAAAAGGTCATGCTATTAAGAGCCAGTTATGTGACATGCCAAGTATAGACTCTTAATTAAGATGCTTTGGTTTGCTTTTTATTTATTTATTTATTTTTCAGATGGGGTCTTACCATGTTGCCCAGGCTTTAGTGCAGTGATGCGATCATGACTCACTGCAGCCTCAACCTCCTAGGTTCAAGGGATTCTCCCCACTTAGCCTCCCAAGTAGCTTGGGACTACTACATGTAGTAGTGCCACCACACCTGGTTAATTTTTTTTTAATTATCTTTTGTGGAGATGAAGTCTCACTCTGTTGCCCAGGCCAGACTCAAGCAGTCTTCCTGCCTTGGCCTCCGAAAGTGTTGGGATTACAGGCGTGAGCCACCCTGCCCAGCCTAGTTTTCTTTTTTTTACTATAAACTTATTCTTGTCAGTATGCTAGCAATTTTACAAGTTTTAAAGTAGTTATAGCAAGTACTTCACTCATGTTTAATTCTTAAAGGCTTCTATTGCTATATAATAGGGTAGTCTGAATTCTTCAAAAGTGTACTGAGGCCAGGTGCAGTAGCTCACACCTATAATCCCAGCATTTTGGGAGGCCGAGGCGGGTGGATCACCTGAGGTCAGGAGTTCGAAACTGGCCTAACCAACATGTTGAAACCCTGTCTTTACTAAAAGTACAAAAATTAGCTGGGTATGGTGGCAGGTGCCTGTAATCCCAGCTACTCAGGAGGCTGAGGCAGGAGAATCGCTTGAACCCAGGAGGCGGAGGTTGCAGTGAGCCAAGATCACACCATTGCACTCCAGCCTGGGCGACAGAGCAAGACTCTGTCTCCAAAAAAAAAAAAAAAAAAAAAAAAAAAAAGTATACTGAAACAGAGGAAGATAATTAGGTCTGCTTGGCCATTGTTAAGTTGATTTTTATTTTCAAAACATTTGATCACTGTTGTGGGGAACAAGGGAATAAAAAATAAGTTAAATTTCCAGCCCCTAGATTAAACTAATAATTTTTGGTTTTCCTAGAATTAAATGCTTTTATCTTGAATGTTCTGTGAAGCTTTTGACATGATTGATAGCTGTATGATAGTCTGAATGACATGTGGGTCATGCACCAGCCCCTCCAACCTGTTAACATTTAGAATCTATTCAGAAAAATTTAAGCATTGTTAATTTCCTTTGTTTTTTGTCTAGCATGTGTCAGATTTTTTTAAATGTATTTATTAATAGCTTTTAATGTTAATACTCTAGAACAGTAGAATCTTGAAAATGTTTTAAGTGACAATTAGAGATTTAAATTTATGCTGACATCCTCTGCATGTGATACTGATGAGGAAAGAAAGCCAAACTGTCTTACGGTCAGTTCGTACAATATACCAGGCCTTGATGGTCACATTTCAACTTGCTACCTTTTTGCTTACATTTTTCTTATGGTGATTTTGAGGTGTCATTCTGGTTTCTCAGATACTTAAAATATAGGAAAAGGTGTGTCTTAAAATTGAGAGAATGTCTTGGATAAGCAGCTGTGTAGTTTTATATTTTGCTGATAAGGGAAGGTACTCTATTTTTGTTTTTTGTGTGTTTTTGTTTGTTTGTTTTTGAGACAGAATTGCCCAGGCTGGAGTGCTGTGGCGCAATCTCAGCTTACTGCAACTTCCACCTTCTGGGTTCATGCAATTCTGGTGCCTCAGCCTCCCAAGTATCTGGGTTTACAGACATGCACCACCATACCTGGCTAATTTTTGTATTTTTGGTAGAGATGGGGTTTCGCCGTGTTACCAGGCTGGTCTTGAATTCCTGGCCCCATGTGATCCCCCGGCCTCATGCGATCTGCCCGCCTCAGCCTCCCTAAGTGCTGGGATTATAGGCGTGAGCCACCCAACCCAGCCAGTACTCTGTTTTTGATAGCTATTCACAATGGGAAAGGATGTAGCAACACATTTTAACCCTATGTTGAGTTTTAGGTGGGTTCCTTTGAAATTTTGTTAAGGCTAACTTTTGTTAATTTTTTTAAAAAAGTGTAAATTAGGAAATGGGTTTTGAATTCCCAAATGGGGGGATTAAATGTATTTTTACGGCTTATATCTGTTTATTATTCAGTATTCCTGTGTACATTTTCTGTTTTTATTTTTATACAGGCTATGTAGAACCAATGCAGACACTCAATGATGTGTTAGCTCAGCTAGATGCTGTTGTCAGCTTTGCTCACGTGTCAAATGGAGCACCTGTTCCATATGTACGACCAGCCATTTTGGAGAAAGGACAAGGAAGAATTATATTAAAAGCATCCAGGCATGCTTGTGTTGAAGTTCAAGATGAAATTGCATTTATTCCTAATGACGTATACTTTGAAAAAGATAAACAGATGTTCCACATCATTACTGGTAAAAAACCTGGTTTTTGGGCTTTGTGGGGGTAACGTTTTGTTTTTTTTTTTTTTTTTTTAATCTTGGAGTAGAAATATATTTAAAATTGATGGAGAAAATTCCCAGTTCTTAACATTAGAAAGGGAATATATTATTCTTACCAGTTAGTAATCTATTCACATTTGGTTTAGAGGGAAGATTTAGAAGGTGAGATAAAAGCTTGTGAGAGAATAGTGTATTCATGTGAAACTTCTTCCATGGGTTCAGAGCATTTAGAAACAAACATCCCTTCACACTCAAAGCTTACCTTTGAGCCAGTCCTCCAATAGTGAGGTCTTTGAAGGTCAGGCCAAATTGGCTGTGGGAGGACCTCAGGTTAGGATAGGAATTATTTTAAGACATGGCACTATATTCATGTGAAACTCGCAAAAACTAGCCTTGCATATAGGCTCATGTATCATGTCTCAGCTGAGATGTTTGAGAGATCTTAACTAGATTCTAGAAAACAAAAAAGGAAGTAGTTTTGGGGCAAATATATTTGGGAAACAGTTTATTGTATTTCCTTTCCCCAAATGGATTTTCAAGTTCTTCATATAATCTAACCCCAACAAATAAATTGCCTGTTTTTCAAAAGAAAGATCATGTCTTCAGGTTTTTGTGTGGGGTTTAAATGATTCGAAAGATTTGACCATACTGATACATTCACTAGTAACCTTAGTTACTAATGAGTAATGGTTTTGAGTTAATCAGTTAGGCCTGAACTACTTTTCTGGAAGTTAGTAAATTATCTCACAGGCAGCCCTGTGAGCCATGGGAAAATGTGTATATGGTCTTTCTAGGCCACAGTCAAATTACAGGTATATTTGTCATGGCTTCTCTTGATGAAAGGCCCAGTATCGGTTTGTCTGAAGATATATAATAGCATTGCTTTTGGGGGTAATATGGGCAGTAACTCTGTCCACATCTTTGGGCAGGCTGTGGTTCTGCCTTTATATGCTATGTCAGTGTAAACCTACGCGATTAATCATCAGTGTACAGTTTAGGACTAACAATCCATTTATTAGTAGCAGAAAGAAGTTTAAAATCTTGCTTTCTGATATAATTTGTTTTGTAGGCCCCAATATGGGAGGTAAATCAACATATATTCGACAAACTGGGGTGATAGTACTCATGGCCCAAATTGGGTGTTTTGTGCCATGTGAGTCAGCAGAAGTGTCCATTGTGGACTGCATCTTAGCCCGAGTAGGGGCTGGTGACAGTCAATTGAAAGGAGTCTCCACGTTCATGGCTGAAATGTTGGAAACTGCTTCTATCCTCAGGTAAGTGCATCTCCTAGTCCCTTGAAGATAGAAATGTATGTCTCTGTCCTGTGAGAAGGAAAAGTATATTTGCAGATTCTCATGTAAAAACATCTGAGAATGTTTGTCTTAGTTTAATAGTTGTTTTCCTGTGGACTTTATATACTTTGTATTGTCTTAAAAGAGTGATTGATGGTAGCTACGGAAAACTTTGATTTTTAAAATTGTCTCTTTAAGTAGACAATTTATAAGCTACTGGTACGAGTTCACCTTATAAATCTCCACTACCATGTTTTTGCTTGGACTGTTCACACTTCCTGGAATGGTCCTTCTTGCCGTTTATCCAACTTCTTTCTAATTTTTAAGTCCCTAATGATGGGAATTCTATTTCTGTAGTGATTTTTCTGGTCATACGACCGTAAGGTCATGGGTGTTTTTCTCTGAATTCCTCTTGAGATGCCTGTAACTTGAACCACGTTTTTATTCTAGACATTACTGAAATGTTTTGTCTTTATTTCACTTTTTAGGAGCTTCCTTGAAGGTAGGGACTATACCTTCTATTTCTTGGTATCTTTTTCTTTCTTTTTTTAAAAGTTTTTTAGAGAGACAGGGTCTCACTCTTTTGCCCAGACTGGTCTCGAACTCCTGGGCTCAGGTGATCTTCCTGCCTTGGCTTCCCAGAGTGCTGGGATTACAGGCATGAACCACCGTGATCCTCCTTATTTCTTAGTATCTTCTAAAGAACATTAAATATAGTAGGTGCCTAGTAAATTATGTATTGATTTAACTTCTTTGAGGTTCTGTTGTTTGTGAAGAATTATAAAAGCAATACAAATGTTTGTATAGTAATTAAGCAACAGGTTAATATTCATGACTTAAAAGATTAAAGAAATAAGCAAAACATGTTAGCTGGCAACTCACAGAAAAAGAATTAAATTGCCAATGAGCACACGAGCACATGAAAAATTAGCAAAAGTTTCACCCCTTTACATATATTTGGTTAAAATTGAGAAAAGAATAGTAATAGATGGTATTGGTAGGACTGTGGCAGGCACACAATTTACATGACCACCAAAAGTGTATGCAGGTATCCATGTCACCACACCCTGGTCTCATCTTCATTCAGTTTTATTTATTTTTTTTAATCTCGGCCTATTTGATTGGCACGAAATGAATGATAGCTGCCTTATTTGGAATTCCTTTGATTACTACTAGTGTGCTTGATAATGTAAAACAATATTCAAAATCTGTTTTTCCTTTCATCCGTTGTTTGTTCATGTTCATGACCTTTTTTTTTTTTTCCTATTCTCCTCCCTCCCTCCCTCCCTCCCTCCCTTCCTTCCTTCCCTCCTTCCCTCCTTCCCTCCCTCCCTCCCACACAAAGGTGTGTGCTACCATACCTGGCTAGTTTTTAATTTTTTTTTTTTTTTTTTTTTTTAGAGGCAAGGTCTCACTATGTTGCTCAGGCTGGTCTGGGCTCAAGTGATCCTCCCACCTCCGCCTTCCAAAGTGCTGGGATTACAGACGTGAGCCATCATGCCTGGCCCTTGCCCATTTTTCTATTGAAGTTTTAGTGCTTTTTATTGACTTTGTTTATATATTAAGATAATCCATTATGTTTGTGGCATATCCTTCCCAATGTATTGTCTTAATTTTGTTTTTGTATGTGTATGTTACCACATTTTATGTGATGGGAAATTTCATGTAATTATGTGCTTCAGGTCTGCAACCAAAGATTCATTAATAATCATAGATGAATTGGGAAGAGGAACTTCTACCTACGATGGATTTGGGTTAGCATGGGCTATATCAGAATACATTGCAACAAAGATTGGTGCTTTTTGCATGTTTGCAACCCATTTTCATGAACTTACTGCCTTGGCCAATCAGATACCAACTGTTAATAATCTACATGTCACAGCACTCACCACTGAAGAGACCTTAACTATGCTTTATCAGGTGAAGAAAGGTATGTACTATTGGAGTACTCTAAATTCAGAACTTGGTAATGGGAAACTTACTACCCTTGAAATCATCAGTAATTGCCTTATTCTAAGTTAGTATAAATTATTGATGTTGTTATAGAACCCATTTACCCCTTAATTCACAGTCTGGGGGTAGGAACATGTACATCATATTTCTGTATCTCATAGTAGGACCACTCATTCTAAAGCATTCACAGAAAGAATTATCTGTACTCTTTTTGGGACAGAATCTCGTTCTGTTGCCCAGGCTGGAGTGCGATCTCGGCTCACTGCAACCTCCGCCTCCCGGGTTCAAGCGATTCTCCTGCCTCAGCTTCCCGAGTAGCTGGGATTACAGGCGCCTGCCACCACACCTGGCTAATTTTTATATTTTTAGTAGAGACGGGGTTTCACCATGCTGGCCAGGCTGGTCTCGAATTCCTGACCTCAGGCAATCCACCCGTCTCGGCCTCCCAAAGTGCTGGGATTACAGGTGTGAGCCACCACGCCCGGCCAGAATTATCTGTACTCTTGAACATCACCATGGAGGCATTTTCTGCTACCTCCCATGGCAGTATGTTTTCTTGTTGAATTAGGATAACAAACAATATGCTTTCAAGTTCCAAAGTTCTAGCTGTTATTGTTTAACAAAATCTTCATTATAATTAGCTTATTTTGTGTTTAAGAGTGTGTTATAGAAACAGGTTCATTTAAAGCTGGGGGTTCCAGAAATCTTGAAATAGTAGTTATCACATGCAGAGTGACTTATCTGTTGTTGTTTCATCCTTTCAGGAAAGTTTGTCATTCGTGGGCTTGGGATCTAGTCAGATCCCTGTATTGATGAGATTCACATGTTATAAGGCTTTCAAAGGTTTTAAAAATCATACTATAAGGATTGATTTCACTAGTCACCAGAATAACTTTTTCAGATAGCGCTCTGATTTTCCACGAACACGTTTTTCTGCATCAGTTGGTTGCACATGAGTGAGATAATCTTGGTTCTTTATCCTTTGTTATTTGTACTTCATTGGGAATCCTTTTGAGTTAGTATATTTGAGTCATTATTATTATTGCTGTAGAATTCAGGAACTTTTAGTAGATCTGGCAGCATAAAATTTTGCTTTTAAATCATTGTTTGTGTTTTGTATGCTATAGAAATGGGTTCAGAATATTTTTTAAAAGGCCAGATGAAGTGTGAAGATAGAAAAACTTCATCCTTCACTGTGAATGTTTAACAAACATTTGCTTCTACTTTATTTTTGTTTGCTTCCTTTAGTTGTGCAAAGTATTCAGTTCTAGAATGCATGAGATATATGACAAAGCCAAAAAATTCTTTATAGTTGATAAATAATTGTGGCAAAAACAGCTGTATAGTAACTTTGCAAGCATCATTTGATTAAATGCTTAAAAAGTCTTGACTCAGTTTTAACTATTTCCTGCAAATAATCAATATTTAATTAAAGCTACTCCAAATTAGTGACACTTTACGTGTCTGTCTTTCTCCCTCCCCTTCTCCCTTCTCCCTTCCCCCTTCTCCCATTCTCCCATTCTCCCTTCTCTCTTCTTCCTTTCCTCTTCCCTTCCCTTCCCCTTTCCCTTCCCCCTTCCCTCTTCTCTTCCCCTCCCCCTTCCCATCCCCCATCCCTTCCCTTCCCCCATCCCTTTCCTTTCCCCTTCCCTTCCCTCCTCTTCCTCCTTCCCTTCCCCCTTCCTCCTTCCCTTCCCCCTTCCTCCTTCCCTTTCCTCTTCCCTTTCCCCTTCCCTTCCCCCTTCCCTTCCCTCTTCCCTTCCCCTTCCCCTTTCCCCTCCCCCTCTCCTCCCCTCCCTTACCTTCCCATGAAATGAGAAAGCCTCAGAGATAGTGGCTTGATTAATTTTTCTTTAGATTAAGATATTTGTCTAAGCCTTTAAGGTTTATCTATTGAGCTTTTTTGTCTCCTATTTTTATTTTTCCTACTATGTTTGTCGAGGATAAAATACAGCACTGTGTGCCAAGTCATAATCACTTTTCATTTGAGACTTAATTAAAATGCCTTTATTTTAATGATATATTTGGCTAATGTATTTGAAGTAATCCGAAATTAAGTTTTCTAATGACAAGGTGAGAAGGATAAATTCCATTTACATAAATTGCTGTCTCTTCTCATGCTGTCCCCTCACGCTTCCCCAAATTTCTTATAGGTGTCTGTGATCAAAGTTTTGGGATTCATGTTGCAGAGCTTGCTAATTTCCCTAAGCATGTAATAGAGTGTGCTAAACAGAAAGCCCTGGAACTTGAGGAGTTTCAGTATATTGGAGAATCGCAAGGATATGATATCATGGAACCAGCAGCAAAGAAGTGCTATCTGGAAAGAGAGGTTTGTCAGTTTGTTTTCATAGTTTAACTTAGCTTCTCTATTATTACATAAACAGGACACTAAGATGAAGGTTTTTTGTTGTTGTTTGTTTTCCTCTGTGTTTCTAGTGCTTATTTTTTAATCAGTTTTTTTGATGGCAAAGAATCTATCTCTGTGTTATTTTGATTTCTGCAGTATATACATCTGCATGATCAATATTCGATTTCAAGTACCAAAGTAGGAGTAAAGGAATATTAACCTAGGTTTAAAATTAGTCATTTCACTAAAATTAGTTATTATGGACGATAGATGTCTAGGTATATCTTTGTTCATAAACGAATATATCAAGTTCAGTTATTAAATTACACATTAGGTAAGAAAAGGACAAAGAAATAAAAAAGCATGATTCATAATTCCTGCCCTCTATTTGTCTAGAATTTAGTTGGGAAGATAAGAATAACGAACGTGACACAGAGAATAAAGTGGCATATGACAAATATTTATTCAAGAAAGCTATATGTGGACGGGATGTTTCAGTTCTCATGGGAGAAGTGGATTTTATGGTGCCTTTGAGTAATGGGTCATATTTGGGCGTTCACACAGAAAGACCCAAGCATATGCCTAATTTTTTATTATTATTATTTTTTATTTATTTATTTATTTTTTAGACGGAGTCTCGCTCTGTCGCCCAGGCTGGAGAGCAGGGGCGCGCGATCTCGGCTCACTGCAAACTCTGCCTCCTGGGTTCACACCATTCTCCTGCCTCAGGCTCCCGAGCAGCTGGGACTACAGGCGCCTGCCACCACGCCCGGCTAAATTTTTTGTATTTTTTAGTAGAGATGGGGTTTCACCGTGTTAGCCAGGATGGTCTCGATCTCCTGACCTCATGATCTGCCTGCCTTGGCCTCCCAAAGTGCCGGGATTACAGGAGTGGGCCACTGTGCCCGGCCCTTTTTTTTTTTTTTTTTTTTAAATTAGAGGATTACTAGTTCTCTTCAATTATAAAAATAAAAGAATCTTATTTCACTGCCTGGTCCTGGAAACATGTACTGCAATATACATTGTGACAACTTTTTACCTGTCATGTTTTTAGCTTTTACCTGTGAATGTCTTATCATTGTTCTTATCTGAAGGATAGATAGTTGCTACAATAATAATAGATGGTGTGTATGGTTTTTGAGCCTAAAAAGTGTAGTTTTATCTGTTGTACCTATACAAGCAGGAGAAATATAACTTGTTAATAATTTTAGGTATGGCAGGCTGCCATCCTAAATATGAAGTGGTCTTTGTATTTGCACTTTAATGTGTTGAAATCATAGCTTTCAGTGATCCAGGATTAGGCAGACTCTTTTATGCAATCTCTTGTTTCCAGTTAGAATAGAAGTCGTGTACTTTTGATAACATTAATTATAATATATTTTGAGCCCTGTGAGGTTGGTAACATTATTCCCATTTTATGAATGAGGAATGTGTGTTAAGGAGTTTGCCCAAGAGTCACATAGCAAGTCATAGTCATGCTCTCTGAAGCAGCAATAACTTGGCAATAAAATAAAAATGAAGCATCTTCTGTATGTGTTAACTTTTCAGTGACTGTTTATGCCTTCCAGTATTCTTTGTAAACCTTGAATTCTTTTTTTCACAGATGATTAAAGTTTATCAATTGTAAAGGTGGAGGAATTTGGGAACTAGACAGTGCACACATAAATAATAAATATGTTCTTCAAATATTGGGTGGGCTAATGTGGGAGGAGTTTGAGACCAGCCTGGGCAACATAGTGAGACCCTCGTCTCTAAAAATATGAAAAATAAAAAAAAAATTTTTTAAATGTGTGATATGTTTAGATGGAAATGAAACAATTTGTCACTGTCTAACATGACTTTTAGAAAAGATATTTTAATTACTAATGGGACATTCACATGTGTTTCAGCAAGGTGAAAAAATTATTCAGGAGTTCCTGTCCAAGGTGAAACAAATGCCCTTTACTGAAATGTCAGAAGAAAACATCACAATAAAGTTAAAACAGCTAAAAGCTGAAGTAATAGCAAAGAATAATAGCTTTGTAAATGAAATCATTTCACGAATAAAAGTTACTACGTGAAAAATCCCAGTAATGGAATGAAGGTAATATTGATAAGCTATTGTCTGTAATAGTTTTATATTGTTTTATATTAACCCTTTTTCCATAGTGTTAACTGTCAGTGCCCATGGGCTATCAACTTAATAAGATATTTAGTAATATTTTACTTTGAGGACATTTTCAAAGATTTTTATTTTGAAAAATGAGAGCTGTAACTGAGGACTGTTTGCAATTGACATAGGCAATAATAAGTGATGTGCTGAATTTTATAAATAAAATCATGTAGTTTGTGGAATTTGAGATGCATTGTAGTTCTTCGCAGTGTGACTTCAAATATTTTGGAAGAAACAAATAGCTCAGAGACCTCGTAAAATATCTTAAACTGGAGGGCTCCATGGAGATCATTGCGAGTGACTCCCCCAGAATGTCCATCTGTTGACAGGAGCCAGGCTGGCTGCATACGAATTAGCTAAGGAGCTTATTATATATCCAGAGTCCTACCGTGAGCCTCCATCCCGTCTGCCATTCTCCCATCCCTGGTCTATGATAAGACTTAGAAATCTGGATTTTAACAAAACGTTTCAGATTGAGAACCTTGATTTAGTCTACTTCTCCTATTTTACAATAAAGAGATGAAGCGGTTAAGAATTAGCTAATCCTACGCAAAGTGAGGGAAAAAGGACAGTCTTTTTAATAAATGCGGCGGGCTGGTGGGGTATCCATATAGGAAGAAATGACATTGGACCCCTACTCCATGTCATATATAAAAACCTCCACTTTGGGAGGCGAAGCAGGCAATCACTTGAACTCAGGAGATCAAGACCAGCCTGGACAACATGACGAAACCCCATCTCTACAAAAATAAATGCAAAAATTAGCCGGGCATAGTGGTGCTTGCCTGTAGTCCCAGCTACTCAGGAGGCTGAGGTGGGAGGATCACGTGATCTGGGAGAGGTTGAGGTTACAGTGAGCTGCACTCCATCCTGGGTAATACAGTGATAACTGTGTCTCAAACAAAACAAAACAAATCACCTTCAGTGATTTTTAGACCAAATGTACAAGGTAATACTCTCAAGGTTTTAATGTTTTATAGTTCTGCAGAAGATAACATAGGAAAATATTTTTATGTCCTTGGCTTTGGGAAGAATTTAAGTCACAGAAAAACACCATCCATAAAGTTTGACTTATTTAGCTATTTGAAATTAACAACTTCTATTAAAAGGCACCACAAGTGAAAAGACATGAATCGTAATGGAAGAACATACTGGTACGTTATAAAATATCAAAGAGTTGGGCATGGTGTCCCATGCTTGTAGTCCCAGCTACTCAGGAGGCTGAGGCAGGAGGATCACTTGAGCCCAGCAGTTCAAGTCTCAGCAGTTCAAGTCCAGCCTGGGCAATATAGCAAGACTGCATTTCTTTTCTTCTTCTTTTTTAATACCTGGAATAAAGAACTCCTATAAAATCACTAAGAAAAGGGGTCACTTAAGAATCTCATTAACAAAAAGAATTTGAATATTTTTCCAAGGAAGATATGCAAATGGACTGTAAGCACATGAAAAGATGCAGATCAGGGAAATGCAAGTCAAAACCACAATGAGCTACAACTTCACACTGATTACGATAGTTAAAATCAAAAAGTCAGATGGTAAGTACTGGCAAGGAAGTGGAGAAATTGAAACTGTCATGCGCTCTTGGTGCGAATGTAAAATGGTGCAGCTGCTTTGGAAAACAGTCTGGCAGTTCCTCAGACAATTCCACTCCAACGTATATCCAAGTGGAATCACAACATATGTCCCCACAAACTTGTACATAAATGTTTATAGCAGGATTATTCATAATAGCCAAAAGGTGGAAACAACCCGAATGTCCATCAGCAGATGAATGCATAAATGAAACGTGGTCTATCCATACAATGGAGTATATTATTGAGCCATTAAAGGAATGAAGTACTGGTACATGGTGCAGCTTAGATGAACCTTGGAAACATTGTGCTAAATGAAAGAAGCTGGTTACAAGAGTCAACACGTATGATTTCATTCATGTGAAAGTTCAGAATAGAGACAGCAGTAGAGACAAAGTAGCAGTTCAGGGTTGGTGCCAGGGAATAGGGGGTAGGTGGGGTGAAAGCTAAAGGATACGGTGTTTCTTTGTGAGATGGAAATTCTAAAATAGGTGATGTTTATACATGTCTGTGAATATACTAAAAACCATTGAATTGTACACATTAAATGGATGAATTGTATAGGAATTATATTTTAATAAAGCTATTTAAAAAAATCCAGACACTTCACCCAAGAGGAAATCTAAGTGGTCCATAAACATGAAAAGGTCTTTAATCACCAGTCAGAAAAATGAAAATGAAAACCATGCCAGGCCACCTCCCACCACCATAGTGACAAGCATTTCAAGTGTGGCAGTTCCAGCTGTTGTTGAGGATGTGGAATAACACTGGTAGGGGTGTTAAGATTATCTG
Source organism: Homo sapiens (assembly GCF_000001405.40). Taxonomy (NCBI): domain Eukaryota; kingdom Metazoa; phylum Chordata; class Mammalia; order Primates; family Hominidae; genus Homo; species Homo sapiens. The sequence goes on from NC_000002.12 coordinate 47,485,405, forward strand.
GTGAAATTGAAAAGACGCATACGACCCAGCAATTCTGCTCTTAAGTGCATACTCTGGAGATGCTTTTGCCCATTGTGCTGCGAGATGTATACAAGAATGTTCCTAATACCTCCACACTGGAAACAACTCATCAGTGAAAATGAACTACAGCTACACAAAATGACATAGATGGAATCTTAAAACGTTTAGTAAAAGAAATGATACAAAAGGATACAGTTTTTTTTTCATTTATGTGAAGTTTAAGAATAGGTGGTATTGTTTAGGGATGCAGTCTTTGGGATGGCAACTGTAAAGAAAAAGTGATTGTGTTAATCAGAGTGATTGTCTTTAGGGAAATGGAGTGCTGATGGGGAGGGGGCACATTAGGGCTTCTGGAGGGCCACAGTTCTGGTTTTTAACCTGAGTGGTGGTTTTGCACGTGCTTGCTTTATAGTTAGCTGCAATTTTTTTTTTTAATGCAGTTAAAGTTTGGTATGAGAACAAATGTATGACCGATGAGTCCTTTCAGTTTACCAAGTTCTTTTTCGTCATCGTTAATTTAGAGTGGGTTACATCAGTTTTTCTTTTCTGGCTGCCAAAGGCTTAGGAAAAAGGCAAACTGACAGAGGAAGATTTTAAATGTAGAAATATTTATTGGTTTACAAATCCTTTTAATCACTTATACATGAAAAGCTTTCATATAATTCAAAAAGCAAATTTTAAATTCCAATGAAATAGTTCATCCCGTGGTTGTGAAAGAGTGTTTTTAGATTGCTGCACAGAAGCATGTTTAACGTGGAAATCAGCTCATGGTTTTAGTTGTTAGGGCTACAAGAAATTGGGGGAGACTTCATTCCAAGAAAACATGTAGTCTGTCAGGCTGTTTTCATTCCTCTAAAAGAGACAGTTTTCTAAGATGTTTTTGAAAATGAGAAAATACGTAATAGATCTGCTTAAGAAGTTTCAAACTTAATCTGTGCTTATTACATGAATATGCTAATGTAAAACCAGGCCTTCAGTTAGTGTTTCCTTCCTTTTAGAATGGTGTATGTAAAGCAAAATATAAACTAATTTCTGACCTGTCAAAGGTTTTTTCTTAAAATTTAAATTTATAATGTGGTTTGGTTTTTCTTTCCCACTCAAACATGAATTTGGGTAATACCAGAATAAAGCTGGATATATAAATTTTATCCAAAATTTAGAACTCTGTTGTTAAGAAATCTGTTGACCACATAACCATGTTTCTGAGAAAATACATGATTTTTTGCATCTTTAAAAAAAATTAGCACTAAGAAGCTAAGATGAAGTTGTTTTTGTAATTTGATTTTTTTTTCCTTAAAATACTGTTTTGGAGTTAAAAGTTGTAGCAAAACTGGTATAAGAAAGATGTTTTAAGATATATTTAAGTCTTGTCTCATACTCTATTGACTAAGCTAGCCCGGTGACTAGGGTAGATGTATTTAAAGAATAACTTTTCCCCCTTAAAATCTCAATATTCCACATCCTGTTAGACTTCTTGAGTATTAAATACATCTTCTATCCTTGGTCTTTCTGCATTTAGCTTTTTTGGGAAGTATGTTTTTACCCAAGCATATGGTATGAGCTGCTGATTCAGTATTGAGTGGCTCTTTAAGCTTGTTAGTTACATTCTGCTGATTAAAATGGTGTACAGAATAGTCAGGAAAAACCAGTCCCTGGTCTGAAATAAACAATGTTAATTAGCTTATGGGGAAGAACAAATGAGTAAGGAGAATTTTCATATACAAAGGAAATCTCTGATTGTCTTTCTGGACTCAGTGTGTTTGGGTTAAGGAGATAGGGTGCGGCTGGAGAAAATGATGAAAATGTTCAGAATGTTACATGTATTTTTACACTGAAACTGGAAGTGGAAGCCCAGTGTGATAGTTTTCTGCCCGATGTTGGCCTGTCTTCACACCCACACCACTTATCTTGATTGATAGAGCTACTACTTCCTCTTATACTGCTTCAGAAGTTAACCTCTGTGGTGCAGTGCTAGGATATCACAGAGGAAATAATCCCTTGTAGACAGTGTCTTGTTGCTGGGAGTTATCAGTGCCTCCTGTTCTCTCTAAGGAGGGCAATGGGAAGCCCTTTCCTTGCATTTGCTACAGCCGTTTCCTTGACCTCCCTGGAAGAACAGTATTTCATGGTGTCAGACAACATTCAGAACATGCTCAAATTAAATGTATGTCAGTATGCATTTGCTTTGGTGTGTGGTTTGTCCAAACCAAAGTGCCCATACATGTCTCTGGTCCAGCCATGTGGGAAATTCAGCAGTGGGGTGAACCATATGGAAATGGCAGGTGTTGGGCAGCCTTGACTGGACTGCCCTGGTCTTACTTCTGGATTTGGTGAGTAGAAGATCACACTGTTGCTTGCTGCCCTGGGTTCACCTCAAAGAGGGAAAGAAGAATTAGCAACTTAAATGGTTAAATTTAGAAACAAGAAAAAGTTCTGTCAGTGGGCAGTTTCTTACGTCTAACAAAAAAAACAACAGCAGTGAATTCTTTTGTGTTCAGAATTAACCAGTAAACACAACCTTAGCAATTAACCTATCACTATCACGATTGTTTATTTCCTGGAATTTTGTTGACAGAATTAGTCCAATAAATGTTATGAATAATAATTTTATGAATAGAGATAGGTTAATGCCAAATTAAGTATAATTGAATCTGAGACATTAATGCAACTGTTTTAAATTCAACCACTGACCTGCAATTTTTATATGCCTTGTCCATCCAGCAAGATACATTTTGTCCATTTTTTTCATGTTTAAAATTTAATATTTATTGTCAATTCCAGTGTGTTTCATTGCTAAACATCAGGCTCAGCCAAAGCAATCACGAAAATGACTCCACGTTGAATCTTTAACATCACAATGTGGATTAACAATTTGGCAACATTTGGCTGGGCGCGGTAGCTCACCTATAATCCCAGCACTTTGGGAGGCCGAGGCAGGTGGATCACGAGGTCAGGAGATCGAGACCATCCTGGCTAACACGGTGAAAACCCGTCTCTACTAAAAATACAAAAAGCCATGCATGGTGGCGGGTGCCTGTAGTCCCAGCTACTTGGGTGGCTGAGGCAGGAGAATGGCATGAACCTGGGAGGTGGAGCTTGCAGTGAGCTGAGATCGCGCCACTCCAGCCTGGGCAACAACAACAACAACAAAATTGGCAACATTAAATACTTTGTCAGTATCTGAAAAGTGCAAAGTACTGTGCTTGGCTCCCCAAAGGCTCCTCTTAATCCTGAAAGGCAGGTGCTTTTATTATCTTTTATCTTATTATCTACATTTTCCAGATGAGGAAACGTAGGTACAGAGGTTTAGTAACTTGCCCAGGTCACATAGCCAGTAAGTGGCAGAGCTGGGATTTGAACCCCAGTACCCTATCTCCAGCGAATCTGAGATGTACATGTGATAAATTTAATCTTTCTCAATAAATTATTAAGTGTCAAAGCAAGTGGTATGGGCAATGCACCAGGATTAAGAAAAACAGTGTGTGGTAAAGATGTAAAATATTTCTAATTCTGTTGTGGGCTGTGGCACTCCCGTGGAAGGCTTGCCACAGACACAGCCAGAGGCATCCACGTGGGCCCCTGCTGCACACCTGGTTTGCTGCTACCAAGGCTGCTCTCCCGAGGCTTGTTCACACAAAGGAAAGTGAGCAGCTAGGAAGCTGCATATTTGAAAGTTGACTAGTCACCAAATGCTGGCATCCAACCAAGTGATTGCATTGTACCCTGTTTGGATGAAAGATTGTGTTTAAATGAAAAGAGAGATGATGAGCCAGAAGTGTGGCAAATGAGTTAAAATAAATTGTCAGCAGTGTTTGAAGCAGGTTGCTGAGGGCTGGTGTCCTGAAATCCGGTCACTTGGAGGATGTATATGTTCCATCAGGGGCCGGAAATGTTTTATCCAAGCTTTAGGGAATAACCCTGGAGATTCTCTTCGTTACTCTACTGTTAAGTACGTGCTTACGGAGTAAACTTCGCATGACTAAGGTTTACAGGCCTGAATGTGCAACTGAGTTCAAGTAAGCAGCAATGTGGTGTATTAGGAAGACTGCTTGACTTGGGTTCTAATCCTTGCTTCACCACCTAGCTGTGTGACTTTAAACATCACTGTTTTTCCTCCTGCCTTCCTTCTGTAACTTAAGGGGGTTGGATTATTAGAGTTCTCAAATGCCATACCTTCAAGGCCAGGTGCAGGATGCAGAGAATAGTGGGTTAAAGTGAACACCTCAATGTAAAATCATTCAAAAATTTAAAAACATCACGGACCAAACAAATATGTCTTTAAATCTGAATTTGGTTAAAGGTCACAAGTTTATGCCCTTTGGAGTACTCTCTGACATTTTCATGATGATATGAAAGGATTTTTCCATACATACTCAAAAGGCGCTCACGCCTCTGTTGCAGTCAGTCTGGCCACTTCCAAATAGCCACCCCATGTTGGTCTCCACTTCTTCCCTCCCTCTTTAAGTGCTATGTTAATAATCTAGCTTATAATTCTCTAATCAGCAGTAGAGCACTTTGCTACTTTATTTTTTATTGTTAGGGGTGATCTTAGCAGCCCAAGTATGCTAAGTCTTAGAAATATTCATCAGTGATGTTTTTCCCTGAAGCTCGTTTGGTGACTGCTAAACTAGAACCAGAATTGGAGAAAAACGACCCTGTGAATTCCAAGCCAACAAAGCCGGGGAAGAGGCATTGAGCAACCTGTGGTTGCCTGAGAAACAAAAGGCAAGGTGGTTGGATGAAAGCAACACTTCCAAGCCTTTTCCAGCTTAACGAACATAAGTCTAGGTTTTGGGGAGAGCCTATCTTAGTGAGAGTGAACAAATAAAGTAGGCTGTATCTTTCAGAATTGGGTATGACTCAAATAACTTTTTTTTTTTTTTTTTTTTTTTTTTTTTTTGAGACAGTCTCACTCTGTTGCCTAGGCTGGAGTGCAGTGGCATGATCTCAGCTCACTGCAACCTCCACCTCCTGGGTTCAAGTGATTCTCCGGCCTCAGCCTCCCGACTAACTGGGATTATAGGCGCCCACCAGCACGCCCAGCTAATTTTTGTAGTTTTAGTAGAGACAGAGCTTTACCATGTTGGCCAGGCTGGTCTGGAACTCCTGACCTCAGGTGATCCACCCCCCTGGGCCTCCCAAAGTGCTGGGATTACAGGCGTGAGTCACTGTGCCTGGCCTCAAATAACTTTCAAGATTGAATAATAGTAGCTTGAAGCAAGTCTAGAGACGAGCCAGCTGGAGGACAGGGCCAGCAGGAAGGAGGTATGCAAGGAAAAACCTGCAATGAATGGACCTACTGTGTTTGAGGGTACTGAGAGGAGTTTGGGGTTGAATTAATACCTACAAAGCATCCACAAAGCAATTGGGAAGAAAGGGTAGGGGGACTATTAGGCCTAGTCATATCAAACTTTTTTTTTTTTAAAAAAGAGTAAATGTCATGATAGTATACTGCCCACCTCAATTGTAAAATTTTATTTTATTTCGTTTTTAGATGGAGTCTTGCACTGTCGCCCGGGCTGGAGTGCAATGGTGCGATCTCGGCTCACTGCAACCTCCGCCTCCTGGGTTCAAGCAATTCTGCTGCCTCAGCCTCCCAAGTAGCTGGCATTGCAGGCACCCGCCACCACGCCTAGCTAGTTTTTTTGTGTTTTTTGTTTTTTTTTTTTTTTTTTTTTTTTGAGACGGAGTCTCGCTCTGTCGCCCAGGCTGGAGTGCAGTGGCGGGATCTCGGCTCACTGCAAGCTCCGCCTCCCGGGTTCACGCCATTCTCCTGCCTCAGCCTCCCAAGTAGCTGGCACTACAGGCGCCCGCCACTACGCCCGGCTAATTTTTTGTATTTTTAGTAGAGACGGGGTTTCACCGTTTTAGCCGGGATGGTCTCGATCTCCTGACCTCGTGATCTGCCCGCCTCGGCCTCCCAAAGTGCTGGGATTACAGGCGTGAGCTACTACACCCAGCCAATTGTAAATTTTATTCATTTAAACACCAACAAGTGATTTAAGAACAATAATAAAATAACTGTAGCTGGTATGATGGCTCATGCCTGTAATTCCAGCTACTCAGGAGGCTGAGGTGAGAATTGATGAGGCCAGGAGTTCAAGACCAGCCTAGGCAACATAGTGAGACCCCCCCCCACCCCCGTCTCTAAAAAAATAATTAAAAAAAAAATAACTGGGCATGGTGGTAGTCCCAGCTACTTGGGAGGCTGAGGTGGGGAGGTTTGCTTGAGCCCAAGAGTTAAGGCTACAGTGAGCTGTGATCACTGCACTCCAGCCTGGGTGACAGAGCAAGACCCTGTTTCTAAAAAATAAAAATTATATTGGGATGATGGAAAGGTATAAATCTGCTCTTTCTGTAAGATGATGTCTAAAATTGGAAAATAAATAGTGGTATAAGCATGTTATTTAAAAATTTAGAGGTAAGTGATAGAGGATTGTGAAAGTGGCTACCTCTGGGACAGTGAACAGGGCAGCATTGAGAAGGGAGCTGCCATTTTTCATCATAAGCCTCATGATGATCCTATTTGATTTTTTTTAAAGATTTGTGTTCATAAAAATGAATATTGAAAGTGAATGCAGGAAAAAAACTGTCTAAAAGTATATTTAAACAGTGACATTCACTTTGCACATTGACACCTTAAGATAAATCCAATGCAATGTCATACTCTTACCCCAAATAAGTTGCATTGTAATGTAAGGTCATTCTCTTGGGGAGAATCTAAACTGACAGAAAAATCTGTCTTAAGGAGTACCTATGATCACAAAGTACTTCAAGCACCCTTTAAATTGTGATTAAAGATAATTTGTTGTTTAGAAATATATATACCTAGGTCTGGGGAGGAATAGAAGGGAAATGGAGAGTGACTGTTAAGGTTTCTTTGAGGGATGATGAAAACGTTCTAAAATTAAGTTGTGATAATTGCAAAACTATAAATATATTAGAAACCACTGAATTGCACATTTAAGTGGGCAAACTATTACGGCATATCAATTATATCCCAGTAAAGCTGTTTAAAAAATAGTAGCATAAATAAGATGTAATAATAGCCAACATTTGTTGGGAGCCAATAGCCTGAGTGACCAGCTCAGCATTCTTGATAACCACCCCCTTCTCCCTATCTCCTTTACTCAATAAATATGAAGGGCTCTAGAAGCTCAGGGCCCTTGTTCCCTAGAAGCAAGGAGCCCCCGACCCCTTCTTCCAAACACACTCTTTTGTCTTTGTCTTTATTCCCATGTTCATCCTCCTTTGTTCAGTCCAGCATGGTCTGTGGCAAACATTCAACAATCTCTAAGGTAGATAATATTATCCCATTTTATAAATGAAACGGGCCTAGAGGAGCTAAATGACTTTCTTAAGACCATCAGACATGAATAGATTAGAAATTATTTTTCTTTCATGTAAAAGAAGTCTGGAGGTAGGCTGTCTAGGGCTAGTAAGGTGGCTCCACGATTATGCAGCAGAGACCCTGGAACCTTTGAGTTGGTTTCTCCACTGTACATGGCTTCTCTCAAGGTCACCTCATGGCCCAAGATGACTGCCAGGGCTTCAACCAATGCATCCACATTTTAGGCAGCAAGAACGATGAGAGTGCAAAGATGCTTATCCCACCTTTAAAGAAACAAAAGTACACAGCTTCCACTTGCATCTTCCATGGGAGAACTGAGTCACACATCTATGCTGTTGGAGCCTAGGAAATGGAGTCTTCACTCCCAAAACTCATTTTGAAAAGCATTCGCGTTTTGTGAATGGCAAGGAGTTTCCGGTTTGGTGCTTGGTAAATGCTTTGAGATGATGATGTCTCTTCTGCCCACCATCTTCACAGCCTCACCTAGTCTTTCATATTTATTTCCGCTCAAAGCTTCATTTGGCCTCTGGTCTTCCTTCTCTTTCTCTCACAGCTTTTTTGGACTCTATCCTGTAATCGCTTTTCCACTGAATCCAACTAAACACTCAGTACCTTGTCTGTCTCGTTCATCGTGCTAGGCACAGTGCTAGGCTCTCAGGAAACATGCATGGAGTGTAGGTTCCTTGGGGGATGTGAATTATCAACACCCTTGAGCATGGCTGGAACGAATCGCCCCTCCCGAGGACAGACAGGTAGAGCCAGAGTGCAGGGCAGTCTCCCAGCTCGCTGGAGGCAGAGCTGGCCTGGAGCCTGGCCTCCTGACCCTCAGGTGCCTCCTCTCACCCTGAGCTTCCCAAACACCGATTTCCAGGCAAAGCCTCATCACACAACGATATTAAGTAAAGTAAAATAGGAACGGATAATAAATTTTTATGTATGCAGAAATTGTTTCTCTCCTCCCCTCCTCTTGGGGTTGATTAACTTAGCTGGAAGTAATGAACCTGAACTGATTTTTTGAGCACCAGATCTAAGTGGTAATTACTGAGTTGGTACCTTGTTTATAGACTTTCAGAAGACCGTAATACTTACTAAGAGAATCCTTTTCTCCTCTACTCCCACCAGTTTCTCCCTTGGCATGAGAACCGACAAACCAGAACATAAATGAGCTGGAGGAGAGAGCCCTTTCTTTTTTTTCTAGGAGTTGTGTCATATTTCTAAAGGGCAGCACTGTAAGTACTCTGCTCCCTTCAGGGAAGAAATTGTGCTTCCAGGACCCCTCACTGAGAGCAACGCCAGGGAAAGAATGGCCGGCTCAGGACTTCCATCGCGGTCATTGGCCAAACTCCTTCCTTCTGAGAATCTTACTGACAGAGGCCCCAGGGTCATCTCATGGGGCTTTCTGAGGCCAGTACTGCTTTCTTCTGACTTTCCTCAGTAGACATCTATGGCTCTTTTAATGACATTCTCTCTCCAACCTGCTTGGACTCCATCCACATCTTTCTTTGGGTTCCTCCTTCTATGAAGGAGACTCCTGTTTGTCCTCAACTGGCCTCTCCTGGGGTTCAAAGGCAGCCCTTCCTTCGAGTCTCTCGTGGGTTCGTGAGCACTCTACCTGCTTGTTTTTGGGTACTTGGTAAGCCCGGCATCACAATCTCCCCTGGAGCTAGTCCCATGGTGACACCTGCCCAGATTCTGTGGTCACCAGAGGTTTCAGGTGATGGTTCAGAGAGGGCACCGTTTCCCGGGAGGCTTGGGGACTTGGCAATTCATGGGCTTTATATTCTCTTGTATATCCCACCTGGGCCCTGGAAGCCCAGTAGCTAAGTGAGGAGAGGCACAACCTCCTGGCCTGAAGCTGAGTTGCTTCTATTCCACCTACAGGTTTTCCTCTCCCTGTTCCCTCTCCTGGAGCTTCCAGATCTCTGCCACCCTGTCCCCCTATTCACCCCAGTGATACAGGCAGCCCGAGGGCTGAGTTCTGTGACAGCACCCTCACCACTTCAAATATGCTGACATCGGTTCTTCAGGCCTGGGCCACTCACTGAGCAATTTGATCTTCCATTTATGCCTCTGCCCAGCTGCGTCCTGATCGGTGGCTCTGGCCTGCTCTCTTCTTGTCCTGGCTTCAGCCCTTGCGCCTGCCTCTGGCCAGCCGAGCTTCAACAGCCAGAGCACCAGCTCCTGCACAGGTCGAGGCTCAAGCCGTGGCAGGGCCCCTTCCCCAAGCAGTCTTCATCTCATGTAGCTGTGACAGTCCTTGGATGATCCGAGCTGGGAGGGGCTTCAAACAACTGTATCAAGTTCAAACCCTTGATTTAAATGTGAGGAAACCACCGACCCAAGGCCACACAGGTAGTGTGAGGTGGCCATTGCCAGGAAAGGAGGGATGGGCAGTTGTGTGCCCCATCCTGAGTGTCTCTGGCAGCTGGACTGGATGACCACCACTAAGCCTTCCACAAACTCAAATCTGCTTTGACAGTGAGGAGATACCTGATGTCTTGTTTGTTCCCCAGTCCCTCCCTGTCTTTGCTGGTTGCTGCTGCTACCAATCACATGGCCCGTTGTCCTGCCCACAGAAGTGGACCAATGACCCAAGCCATGTCATCAGCTTTAGATTCTGGGAACGAGAAGCTCTCCTTCCTCCATGATTATTGAGCTTGTATGCTGCTATAGCCGTCTGTGGGCATACCCCACCTCTACCTCTTCTCATCTTTGTGTACCCTACCCAGCCATCCCGGGGAGCCTATCAGCAGTGGGAAAGAATGAGATCAACATAGACGAACTATTCCATGTTGATGGGGAAAGGGGCATGGTGGAGCAAAAGTGAGCTGAGCACATTATTGGAGTCCTTGGGCTACGTCAGGGAGTCTCTAGGTCACCAAGCCAACCAGTTCCTTTTTGGCTTAAGCTGCTCTCTTATTCTCCTACACCAACTGGGTATCCAACAATGCAACCCAATCCTGACAATAACTATCCGGACGGCATAGGTTAAGGGCTTGGTCCCACAAGACTGTCCCCACTTCAGACATCAGCTGCAAAGAAGGTGCCCAGGCTACCCACATTTCTGCCCAACTGACTATAAATTTGGGGGTTCCCACCAGCCCTCTTCATGTTTGATAATTTGCTAGAACAACTCACCAAACTCAGGAAAGCACTTTACTTACTATTATTGGTTTATTATAAAGGCTAAAACTCAGGAACAGCCAAATGGAAGAGTTGCATAGGGCAAGGTATGGGGATGGGAGTAGGGGTGGCTCAGAACTACCATGTCTTCTTGGGATGCATTACCCTCCCAGCACCTTGACATGCTCAGCAACCTGTAAGCTCCCTGAAACTTTGCTTGGGAATTTTTTTTTTTTTTTTTTAGATTCCATTAAGTAGGCATGATTGATGAAATCACTGGCCATTAGTGATTGAACTCACACTCCAGACTAGGTGTGGTGGCTCCCATGTGTAATCCCAGAACTTTGGGAGGCTAAGGCAGGAGGATTGCTTGAGGTCAGGAGTTTGAGACCAGGCTAGCCAACATAGCAAGACCCGATCTTGACAAAAAAGAAAAAAAATTAACCAGTCATGGTGATGCAAACCTGTGGTCTCAGCTACCTGGGAGGCGGAGGTGGGAGGAGCCAAGGAGGTTGTTCTCTCTTGAGATTGGAGGGTGGGGCTGAAAATTCCAACCCTCTACACACAGGGTTAGTTCTGGCTACCAAACCCTGTCTTGAAGCTATCTAGGGTCACCTCATTAGCATAAACTCAAGTATAGTTGAAAGGGGCTCATTATAAGTAAGAAAATACACTTCCATCATTCAGGAAATTCTCAGGGTTTTAGGAGCTCTGTGCTAGGAAATGGAGACAAACACCAAACAAATTTTATATACCAGAAATGCTATAAGTGCAGTTTCTGTTGCCTGTGACCAAAGGGTCCCTGGATGGTTCAGGCACTGATGGAGCCAGAATGAAAACCCATGACAACCAACTCCTAATGGGCCTCATGTTCTGTGAACTACTCAGATTCCAAATGCATCAAAGACACCACTATTGAAGGCAAGTCTGATTGTTTTGTGGGCTCTTGCAGACCATAAATGTAGCCTTGCACGCGTGGGTTTGATCGAAGTGAGGTTCTATCAGTAACATGTGACTATGCCTCTTTCATAGGTTGTTGCTTCAAAGAGAAAAATAACCACTTCTGTGCTGTTCTATGTGTACGGCATCCAGCATGGGTGCTCAAGTAGAATGAAATAAATTCACCCAAGGGTCCCTACTCTGCCTCTGCACCTCAGACCTTTAACCTCATTTGTAGAAGGAGGGTGACAATCGAATCGATGTAATTTACCTATCTACTAATAATCAGAACTCTTTTGCTTTCAGGTGAGAGAAATGCAACCCATACCACCTTCTACCCTAAGAACCATCTGAGGTTAGGGGTGCTGATCCCAGGCCCAGCTGGGTTCTAAAACTGGAGGGGGGCATGCGGCCTCATCCTCCCTCGCTTCCTCTCTCATCCTGAGTGTCATCTTTGTCTTTCGGTTCCTTCATGTGGCAGGGGACGTGGCCACTGAAAGCAATAGGGTCAGATCCTTACAGTATCTTCTTTTTCTTTTCTTTTTTTTTTTTGAGATGGAGTCTCACACTGTCACCTGGGCTGGAGTGCAGTGGCACGATCTCGGCTCACTGCAACCTCCGCCTCCTGAGTTCACGTGATTCTCCTGCCTCAGCCTCCCGAGTAGCTGGGATTACAGGCACACACCACCATGCCCGGCTAATTTTTTTTTTTTTTGGGGGGACAGAGTCTTGCTCTGTAGCCTCGGCTAGAGTGCAGTGGTGCGATCTTGGCTCACTGCAACTTCTGCCTCCCGGGTTCAAATAATTCTCCTGCCTCAGCCTCCTGAGTAGCTGGGATTACAGGCGCCTGCCACCATGCCTGGCTAATTTTTGTACTTTTAGTAGAGACGGGGTTTCGCCATGTTGGCCAGGATGGTCTCAAACTCCTGACCTCAGGTGATCTGCCCGCCTTGGCCTTTCAAAGTGCTGGGATTACAGGCATGAGCCACTGCGCCTGGCCCTTACAGTATTTTCTCAGAGGGAAAGAAGGCCTCTGTCTTCAGGGGCCACCTTAGATCCCAGAAGGATTCTGACACCTGGACCAGAGGCAGAGACCGCCAGGGCAACTCTACCCGAACCAAGAGGAAGTGGGGACAGATACTCTCCTTTGACCAAAACTTTAATGAGGCTCGTCTGAGACCTTCCTGACCAGGCCCAGCCTATGTCCTTGCAGAATTCAGTTTGAGCAAGAATCCTGCCGAGTCAGGGCAGGGAAACGCCCCCAGCCTTGGTATCTGACCACTGTCTACATCTTATCAGCCTGATCTGCCTTCAGCAAGAGTCCTATTGGGTTGGTCTAACAGGATTCCCCTCTCCCCGATGTTTTCTCTCAGTTATTTTCCATTCACTGACCTCCACCCTGCTTCATGGCTGCAAGTCCCCACTTGCCCATGCTGTAGTCAGAATCGAGTGCAATCTCTCCCCACAACTGCAAGACCACACTGCAGTGCAGCTTGTTCCTCTGACCATGGCTCCCCTTGTGTAGTCTGCCTTACTATCCATAACAAGTGTCATGAATAATTTTTTCTTTAACAATACCCCCCTCCAGGCTGGGCACGGTGGCTCACACCTGTAATCCCAGAACTTTGGGAGACTGAGGCAGGAAGATCACTTGAGCCCAGGAGCTCAAGAACAGCCCAGGCAACATAGTGAAACCCTCTACAAAAAATGCAAAAATTAATGGGGTGTGGTGGTGTGTACCTGTAGTCCCAGCTACTCGGGAGGCTGAGGTAGGAGGATCACCTGAGCCCAGAAATTTGAGGCTGCAGTGAGCTGTGATCATGCCACTGAACTCCAGCCTGGGTGACAAGAGTGAGACCCTGTCCCAAAACAAACAAAAACAATAAAATAAAATATCCCCCTCCAAAAAAGTGAAGGGTTGACAGTCTGAGGAAAACAGCTTGTGTCTGCACATATATATTTTTTTTTAGGTAGAGTCTCACTCTGTTGCCCAGGCTGGAGGGCAATGGCATGATCTTGGCTCACTGCAACCTTTGCCTCCTGGTTCAAGTGATTCTCCTGCCTCAGCTTCCCAAGTAGCTGGAACTACGGGGTACATGCCACCACACCTGGCTAATTTTTGTATTTTTAGTAGAGATGGGATTTCACCATGTTGGCTAGGCTGGTCTTGAACTCCTGATCTCAAGTGATCCACCCATCTCAGCCTCCCAAAGTGCTGGGGTTACAGGTATGAGCCACCACACTCAGCCATCTGCACATTTCTTTATAGGAGACTTGTGAGGATTCTAGGAGAGAAGGCATGAGGAAAGCTGAGTACAGTGTCCAGCTCCCAGCAAATCCTCAACCAATGTCAGTTGCTGCCACAATGATGACGGCAGTGGTGATGAGGAGGGGAGGTGGGATGGGGAGTTGGGAGTTAATGTGCCCTGTGCTTTGATGAGGGCGGCCAGCGTGTAGCCCAGTGGAACTGCACTCCAGCCTGCAAGCTGCTACATGCCAGGGTGTGTGTGGTTTGTCTGCTCAGAGGGGTGCCTTGTTCTACTTCATGCTAAGGCACTGCAGGAGCTCTCAATGGTCCTGGGAAAAAGAGGATCTCCTTGTACTAAGGTATGAAGAGCTAAGTTCCTTTGCTCATCAAAGGCCAGAAGTGGGGAAATGATTTTAATGTCTTGTAAGAGATTGCCGAATTGGAGCACAATTTGCAACTGATGGTGTAGTGAAATGAGAAAGGTTTTGGAAAATCATTTCCAAGGCCCCAGAAGCTGCTGAGCCTGGATGGCTTTCTAAGTGGGAACTGAAACTGGCCCAGTTGTCCTATAGAACTGATGTTTACTGTTTTTTTGTTTTTATTTTTGTTTTTTTTTTTTTGATAGACTGTAGAAATGGAGCCTCCTGCTCTGAAAGGTTGAAACTTACATTTGTCTTATCTGAGTTCCTTCCTCAGGAAACTGACCCTCAGGCCTGGCAGATGTTATTAGGAACTGAAACTTACCAGATCACCACATCAGGGCAATGAGACACCAGACCCCTCACGCATCATGATTGCCTAAGCAACCATCTGTTGTTTGACCAACTCGTTTTCCTTACCTCTCCCTAATTCCTGTTTTCCCACATGTAGTTACAATTCTTCCCTGCCACATGAACTCCTAAATTCAGCTGGTCCAGCTGATCAATTTGAGACTGATCTCCCATCTCCTTGGCTGCAGCACCCAAATAAAGCCTTCTTCCCTAGCAATGTTCCTTGTCTCAGAGATCAGCTTTCTGTGCGGTGAGCAGCAGGACCTAGACTGAAGCCCTGGTGTTTCGGCAACAGAATCAGCCGCAGGCATCAGAGGCAGTGGGCACCTAACAATATTCTGTTGTTTTGAGCTTGGGGATCCAGGCAGATCCTTTGCCTCCTGAACTCGGCTGAGGGAGGCTCTGCTGAGTGAGGACGGCAAACATCTCTCAGAAGGGAACTAAAATCTATTGCACACTTGGTTTGTGGTCTACACTCTGCATGGATGATCTAATTTCATCTGTACACAACCGGTAATGCTCACAGACAAGAACAAGGAGGCTCAGAAAAGGAAAGTTATTCACTCAAGGACACTGAGTCGATGGAAGGAAGGAGGACTGGCTTCCACTGTGCCTCCTCACCTCCTGGGAGTGGCTCACAGAACAGTCACGATCACTGTCACTCTGGCACTCAGACAAGCTGGTTGTGTAGGCAAGGTGTGTGAAGTCCTCACAGCCAAGTAAGATAATACACAGAGATGTATATATGTATGTATTTATTTATTTATTTTGAGACAGTCTCCTCTGTCATCCAGGCTGGAGTGCAGTGGTGCAGTCATGGCTCACTGCAGCCTCGACCTCCCAGGCCCGAGCAATCCTCCCGCGTCAGCCGGCCAAGTAGCTCGGACTACAGGCACACGCCACCACATCCAGCTAATTTTTTATTTTTCATTTTTAACTTTTTTTTCAGAGATGGAGTCTTGCTCTGTCACCAGGCTAGAGTGCAGTGGTGTGATCTCAGCTCACTGCAACCTCCACCTCCCGGGTTCAAGCAGTTCTCCTGCCTCAGCCTCCCAAGTAGCTGGGACTACAGGCGTGCACCTCCTTGCCTGGCTAATTTTTGTATTTTTAGTAGAGATGGGGTTTCACCGTGTTAGCCAGGCTGGTCTCAAACTCCTGACCTCAGGCAATCCACCTGCCTCAACCTCCCAAAGTGCTGGAATTACAGGCATAAGCCACTGCGCCCGGCCTATTTTTCTATTTTTATTTCTTTTGAGATGGAGTCTTGCTCTGTTGCCCAGGCTGGAGTGCAGTGGCACGATCTCGACTCACTGCCACCTCTGCCTCCTGTGTTCGTGTGATTCTCCTGCCTCAGCCTCCTGAATAGCTGGGCCTACAGGCATGTGCCACCATGCCTGTCTAATTTTTGTATTTTTCGTAGAGACGGGGTTTTGCCATGTTGGCCAGGCTGGTCTCAAACTCCTGGACTCAAGTGATCCTCCTACCTTGACCTCCCAAAGTGCAGGGAGTACAGGTGTGAGCCACTGTGCCCTGCCTACACAGAGATTTAGAAAGCTAAAAGGACTCACCCAAACTCACACACTTGAGAAGTGGCAGAGTTGGGTCTTCTGTCTCTAAATCTACCACACCAAACAACTCAACTGGCAGCATTTTCTCAGCAACATCTTTGCAGGAACCTTGTGGTCAATTCCTCCTGCAGGGGTGAGTGGCAGCCTGCAGAGAGTTCTGTGAGTCAAGTGTTTCAACATATGGATGGATTGTTGTTTTTTACTGTGGCAACAAAAGGTGTGAGATTTTTGTCTTTCATCAGCTACAAACTACACTGTTGGTCAGGCACTTTTACTGGGAGATGTTTTTCCCCCGATTCTTCCTGGGGTGACTTGAAATGTGGGCAGGATCCAGGAGGTGGAGAGAGAGGGGTCTTTGAAGGGGTGGAGGTGGGCTGCTGACACTGAAGAGCTCTCAGCTGATTGACTCACCTGCACATGACTGTGTAGGGAATGTCTGGCCCAAGGAGGCTTCCTGTAATGTATCTATCATCTCTTCATTTAGCTCATTTTTTGGGTTTCAGAATCCCTCGTGGAAGGTCCATTTAAAATCTTGGAAGAAACCTGGGCTCTGCAGATTGTCCTCAGTGGAGCAACTAAGAGCTGAATACAGTAAAATGAAAGGCAAGACAAAGTCATTTCCTGGGTTAGGATAATTAGAATTTGAGTCACCTTCCTGTGTAAAAGGAAACAAACATTCTGATGGTCTTCATCAGGGAAAGAGAAATGTTTTATCAAATAAAGTGTAATCCTGGCAGTTGGCTTCAACTGAGGCTTGAAGAGAGGCCCGGGGTGTTTAATCTCCTGACATTTTCCCTGTACCTCTTTTATGACACTTTTCACTTTTTGCCAAGTTATTTATACCATAGCCTTTATAGTTAATTTTTGCTTCTAGATTATATATTTCCACTTCTGTGGACAACTTGCAGCAGTTTGTGCATAGTATGTATTCAAAAAATGAAAAAATATAAATACATGGATGAATTACTGAATGGATGGATAGGTGAGTGAATGGATGGATGAGTGGATGGATGGGTGGATGAGTGGATGGATGGATAAATGGATGGATGGGTGGATGGATGTATGGATGGATGGATGGATGGATGGATGGATGGATGGATGGATGGATAAATGGATGGATGGATGGATGGATGAGTGGATGGATGGATGGATGAGTGGATGGATGGATGGATGGATGGATGGATGGATGGATGGATAAATGGATGGATGGATGGATGGATGAGTGGATGGGTGGATGGATGGACGGATGAGTGGATGGATGGACGGATGGATGGATGGGCCCTGGTCATGTTCACATAAGAAAGGTTGAACTTGTGGGAGAGGAGGCAAAAAGAGGAAGTGATAGTCACTGAATGTGTGTGCTAGACAGTATGTCTGGCACTTTATAATCATTTTAGTTAATCCTCACAACAATGCAATAAGGTAGATTGCTTGTTTCCCCATTTCAAGATGTTGAAACTGATTCTCAGAGAGGTTAAAGAATTTGCTTAATGGGACCCTCATCTAGATCAGTCTGAATAGAAAGAACTACCAGACTCTTAAAGTCAGCCTAGCACCAAGTAGACACTAAAACATTGATTTTTGTGATGTTGTTTCCCAGAAACATTGAGTCAGAAAGCATGTGGATGCAGATTAAAGTGGAACAGGCTCGGCCATGACTGAGCATCTGCAGGAGGAGCTGAGGAAAGAGCTGGCCTCCTCAAGGCCTGGGTGACTCAACTGTCAGCCTCCAAAGCCCATTCCCCTCCTTCATTGGAGAGGAGTTTGAGGACAGTTGTGGTTGAACCCCCAGCAAAACTATTCCAAAACGCCGTGTGCTGGGGCAGGTGGGGCCTAGGCCAAGGCCATTTGGCCCTGCCTGCTGTGGCCCTTCTCCCCTCCCATGTCTTCCAGCCTTGCCTCCCCCACAGGCTGCAGATGACACCCTTCGCAGTGCTTATTCTGGAGTGTAAGAGCTGAGAGCAGGAGCTACCTGGGGGTTGAGGGGTGGGCAGGCTTTAGAGAAGGGGAGAGAAGAGGCCTCACTGTGGGAGCTGGGGGCTCCCAGGAGCCACATTTGCCAGGCTTGGCTTCAAGCTGACATCACTATCAGAGAAGACAGGTCTGGGGAATGAGAGGGCCCAGGAGTTCAGGAGCCCAAACTGTCATTCAGTTTTGGAAGCCGAATCCCCAGCACAATTGTCCACCTTGCTGGCAGCATCCTGGTTCCCAAAGCCTGTCAGCCCGGGGCTGCGGGCCTCTCTCTCACAAAGCCTTGTCTAGGTGACTTGGGAGGTGAGGCCCCTGTTGGTCAGCCCCGTTCCTGATGGAACAAGCCACCCTAACCGCTCTGTCCTCTCAGGTCAGGCTTCTGACAAGCCACAATGTGGGTGAGCCTTTGTGCACTGCCTGCCCACCTCTCACCAGGAGCCCTCTCTCCCCATGGCCTCAAGGTACCAGTGAGGCTTTTTTCTGTCTCAGCCTGGCCATAAGCAGCCCTCTGCAAGAGTTCCGTTACCAGTCATTTGCATTGTAGTATAAGTGGAAACCACAGAATCGCCTTCCTCCCCAGTTATTTATACTTCAAGTCATATTGTAGAGAGAAAATTTCTGTCAGCAAAAATCTCAGGAATCCTCCTCATTTCTATTTGTATGGCTTTCAATCGTTGACATGATTTTTTCACATATGTCATCTTCTGGGGATGGATTCGTATAACCCTGCTTCACTTGCTTCCCTGTGGGAGGCTCACTTGCTTCTCGACAGGCTCTGGAAGAACTAGGCAGTCTGGTACATGGTTGTGCAAGAACCCTTGAGGGGGCCTTGGAGTGTGTGCTTGGGCCCTGGAACTCATGCCTAGGATGGAGGGCTGAGATTGCCCCTTCCCATCCACCAGGGAGTTGACAAGGGGGAGAAGAAACTTCTTGTGAGCTTGCGATGACTTGTGGCACTTGCATCAGACCTTGGAGTTCCCTGGGGAGAGGCACTCTTGGGTATGACACTGTATAGTGCCACCTGATTGCCATTTGACCCAGTTTGGCCCTGGATCCTTGAGCAAGAGGGCTGGAAAGAAAGACAGGCCCACTTTTTGGGACACTATTAGGGTCTGTAGCATTGGTGGGGAGAGAATTCCCCCAACCCCCAAAAGAGCTGAAAATGAGACACGCGTGGAGGGGTGAAAGTGGAGTGTGGTCAACAGTGTGGTTACAGAGATGTGTGTCGGGGCCACTCCCACTCACCAGGGAGACTCATGAAGCAGAAGGGATGGGGCACAATGTGGCTTCCATAGGCACACCAAGCCACCTGGAGAGCGCATCAGCCCTTTGGGTACCCCCAAGCGGAAGGAGGTTGGGTCTTTGGGTCTGGGAACTTTGGTGCTTGTTCTGGTGGGAAGGGCAGGGAGTCAAGACCAGCTGTGTCTTCCACTGCTCTTCTTGTCCACTTTGGTTACTGGCCTCTGTTGGCATGAACTGGGGAGGCAGAGGCTACCTACAGACGAGGAACTGTGTGGAGTGCGAGTGTATGCAGTAAAGGGTTAGCTTAGCTGACTTGAGGTACTCACACCCATATTCCGAAGAAAAGACTGGCCCTCAGCCTGAGCCTCCGAAATAATCTCTAAGCCCTTAGAATACCCTGCTTTGTATTCAAAGAGTATCTTTGAATGCTGAACTTAGAACCACTCTAGAAAATGTATGCTAACAATGCGATTTATGATGAACACTTGTCTTTGTTCCCCTGGGGCCCTGGGCCACATTGTATCAGTTTGAGCCCTAGAGGGACAGAGAATGAGAAACTAAGATCAGTCATGCAGGTGCTCCAGGCCTATGTGACCAACCACCAATAAAAACCCTGAACATCAAGGCTCAAGTGAGCAATACAGCTGGTCCCAACTTACAGTGGTTCAACTTGTGAGTTTTGCACTCTACAATGGGTTTATTGGGACATAACCCAGTGGAGGAGGATCTGTACTTCATTCACATGTGTTGTCACATCATTACTGGGAGAATTAAGCACTGTCCACGTGAATCCACTGGGAGAGGATAACTGGAAGCTTGCACCTGGCTTCTCCTGGATTCTGCTCTGTACGCCTTTTTCCCTTGTTAATTTTAATCTGTATTCTTTCACTGTAGTAATCTACAACTATAAGCAGAATAGCTTTTCTGAGTTCTGTGAGTCTTTCTAGTGAATCATTGAATCCAAGGTGGTCTTGGGGACCTCTAACAAAAGATGTCTGGACCTGAACTTCCTGTTGTTTCAAAGATCCTATAGCAGGCTGTCTTACCAACTTTCAGCATCAAGAAGCTGGTGGAGAGTGGGTTAGTTTAAAAATGAAACTGGGGAGAGAGATGAAGCCGGGGGAAGATGCCGTGAAATCTCACCTTATAGGCAGCCTCTGATTCACCTGAGGGTTTTTCCTTGAATACTTTCTGGGTACAAGTATTTGAGACAGGTGATGTGCTGGTCACTTTATTCTCAGCTGCTTGTGGCCTAGCCCTAACATGGGCACTGGAAACAATGGGGGTAGGGGTTGATGATGGAGAAATGGGGAGTAAAGGGATTTAAAACTTTGAAAAACTGAGCTGTTTCCATGATTTGTCTCTTTTGATTCTCACAAAACCTTTATGAAATATGTGCTGACATTTTAAGCTCTCACTTATAGTGAGAAAAGCAATCTTCAGCAAGGTGATGACTTGTCCAAGGGAAGACATGGTCGCCCTTGTTCCTTGGGAGATTTTGTGCTCCCAGGGGAAAGCATAAGCCCTCAGGAGCCATGATGAGAACAGCTGTAGAACAGCAAGTGAACAGGTGTGTATCAGTCAGGATAGGCAAGGCTAAGCTGCAGTAATAAATAATCCCCGGATCTCAGTGGCGGAACATTGAGGAGGTTTATTTCTTCTTTATACAAATATGCTGTGGATCAGGATGACTCTCCAGGCAACTGTCTGTGGGACTGTCCAGGTGGGCTTGGATCACCTGGTGTTGGGCCTTGAAGTCGGTAATGGAGAGGACATGTTAGAAGAGAAGGAACTTACAAGCAGTGGGAGTGCAGCGCCCTTTTGTGGATAGGGGTCAAGGCAATGCTTTCCAAGGCTATGACTTGGTGTGGTCGAAAAAGTCAAGCAGTCTTCACTTTTTGCTGTGGTCCCAGCAAATCTGCTTCCAATCCAGGCTTCTCCCATATAAAAAGCCTCCTTTGTGTACAGTGAGTGAACTAGAACAGGGAGGAGATGCCAGTGGAGCTTGGCTTGCTCCTTCTGTGGCCAGCTGGCTTGTTTTACCACTGCCTTTGGGGTACAGTGGCAGCTGTGGCAAATCTCTCTGGAGTTTCTCTAGCGGGAGCGAAGCACCTAAAGCACATGGGTGCAGGAGCAGCCAGGCCTGCACCCATAGACATGGTACAGAGAGGAGCAGGGAAGCCCGCTGCCTGCAGACTTCAGGAGGAGAGAGGTAGGGGTGGTGCAGGGGAGAGGGCCTTAATGCCTTCAGGGAAAGGAGTCAAAGAGGAATACCCAGGAGACAACTAGACTTTAGAATTCTTGGGGCCAGAAACTTGATTCCACCTCTAGTGCTTTCTTTTAGATTTCTTTCTCTCTTTACTTTCTTTCTTTCTTTCTCTTTCTTTCTCTCTCTCTCTCTCTCTCCCTCCCTCCCTCCCTCCCTCCCTCTCTCTCTCTCTCTCTCTCTCTCTCTCTCCCTCCCTCTCTCTCCCTCTCTCTCTCTCTCTCCTTTCTCTCTCTCTCTTCTTAAGACTGGGTCTCGCAGTTGGGCACAGTGGCTCATACCTGTAATCCCAGCACTTTAGGAGGCTGAGGTGGGTACATCACATGAGGCCAGGAGTTCAAGACCAGGCTGGGCAACACTGTGAAACCCATCTCTACTAAAAACACAAAAATTTGCCAGGCATGGTGGCAGATGCCTGTAATCCCAGCTACTCAGGAGGCTGAGGCAGGAGAATCGCTTGAACCTGGCAGGTGGAAGTTGCAGTGAGCCGAGATTGCACTACTGCACTCTAGCCTGGGTAACAGAACAAGACTCTATCTCAAAAAAAAAATAAATAAATAAAATAAAAGGGATACCGGGTCTTGCTCTGTGTCCTAGGCTGGAGTACCATGGTGTGATCATGGCTCACTGCAGCCTCCACCTCCCGGGTTCAAGCAATTCTCCTGTCTCAGCCTCCCAAGTGAGTACCTGGGACCACAGGCATGTGCCACCATGCCTGGCTAATTTTTAAATTTTTTGTAGAGATGAGGTCTTGATACGTTGTCCAGGCTGGTCTTGAACTCCTGGGCCCAAGCAGTCCTCCCACTTTGGCCTCCTGAAGTGCTGGGGGTACAGGCGTGAGCCTCCACCTGGCCAGCCTCCAGTGCTTTTGCATCCTTCCTGTTAACTTGTGTAGGAATAAAACATTGTCACAATAAGATTTTTTTCCTTTTTATTGTTTTGATTTTTTAGCCAATGAGAAGGAAAATTCCTTATTAGGGAGGGCGAGGGTGAGGATATGTGGGGTGGGGAGAAGCGAACGTTCCAAGTTTCGAAAACAGCGACTCTCTCTTGGACTCTCTAGCCAGTAGAAACCTCCCTCCCACTCTCTTGCCCCAAGATCTGGTGCTTAGAAGAGAATCAAGGGAAGTTGGAACCCAGAAGACGGAGACAGATTGAGGGACTGCTGTGAAATGTTGGGGTGTTTGGTGAATAATATTAGAAGTTGGGCTGGCAGAGACCCTGTCACATAAACATTAAATCAACACTGGAGACTGAGCATTTGTTAGAAATGTAAGCGGGAATGGCAGAAAACTTGTTTTTAAGGGAAAGCATGTTACGGCTTATGTTCAGCCTCCATCCTCTGAAGGCAAAAGTTAGCAAAGTTGATGTATGGCGTTGCTTTTTCTGGGAACTTTATCTCGTTTGGTGGGGTTCCCATCTCTGTCTCCCAGGAGCCAAGACTTTCCCCTCCCTCTGCTCCAGCAGAAGCCAGTCTCAGGCAAGGCTCCCTGTACCTCATTTACACTTTGGTGTGAATATGTTATTGTAACCTCTCTCCTGGAGGTGTCTGCATTCCAAGACTGAACTTTTCTGTGAAAGTTACTGTCACTGTGAAAGGCAGTTCAGCCCCCAGGGATTGAAAAAGGAAATCATTTTGGGTAAGGGGACAGTTAGTCCAGATTTTTTCAGTTGCAAGTAAACCTAACTCAGCCAGTAGGCAAAGGGGGAAATTGCTGGTTTGAACTGGTGGGAAGAAAGCTGAGGAAACTCCTACACTTGGGGGAAGAACTGCAGGTGCCTGGCTGCAGGGAACGCAGCGGGGGCTCAGGACCAGGCAGATGCCCTGCCTCTGCTTCCCTTGGCACAGTGGCCTCCTTCTCCCTTCAAGTAGGCAGATGCTGCCTGTGGCAGAGGACAGCAGCTGATTGGCAGCCCAGCAGGGAGGATGTGGTAGACAGGCACTGAGCATCTCTTCTACCCTCCTTCTAGAGGGCTATCCTGTACTGTTGAGGCTAAAAGACTGAAAACCACATTTCCCAGCCTCTCTTGCAGCTACCAATCTGGATGAGAGTTAGATTCTACACATTAGATGCACTTTAGCAAGATTTTCAAAAGCAGATTGGAGAAGGAGCCCATGCTTCTGCTGGTTTTTTTTGCTGGCAAGTGAGGGGTTCTGTTTTTCCTGGAGTGACTTTATCATGGTGGCATCTGAAAAAGGCTATTTCTTGATCAGAGAGACAGCAACCCTCTCAGTGACCTAGTTCTGTGGGTGTGTCTCTCCTGAGAGTTAATCCCAGAGCTCAAACTAGAGCTCAACCCTAGAGTCTCTTCAGGCTTCCCAGGGGTGGGGGTGCATTTAACAGTCCAAGTTAAAGAGAAAATAAAGGCCATTAAAGACCAAACATTGAGCACTGAGTGAAAAAGTTTTATTGCCAAACAGGAAACCTGATTCAGGCCAGGGTCTTGGAAGGTTGTTCAGGATGAGATGGGGGAGGTGAAATGGGGTAGGTCTTTGAAAACCAACAGATTGCAAATTCTCTGTCCCATAGCAGGAAACCACAGTCTCTGATGTCAGCTGGCTGCCAACACGTCAGTTGTATCAGCATTAGCTGGCTGGAGGTGGCCTGCTGTGTGCAGATGGTACCTGGTGCAGGATTGTGGTGTCCAGGTGTCTCTCCTTAGCACATAAGACCCTGTCCGAGGACTGTGGCATGACGTGCTGGAGTCACGATTCTGTCACCCAGTCAGGTCATCAGTGTCAGAGAGCTAGGTGGCCAGGTTGGAGTTGATTGCCAATGATAGGTCTTTTTCTGCTTAAATCAGCTGGACTGGATTCTATTGCATTAACTTGACCCTGACTCATGCCGCCAGGCCTAATTTATAAACCAAGACAAGAAAGGGCTACTCCACCCCCTCCAATTTGTGTAAGGCCAGGGGACTTCCCCCCCACTCCCCAACCTGAGGCATGCACCCTCCCTTAGATCAATGGCTGTTTCTCTGAGAATGCGGAACCGTGATTAATCCAGCCTTGATGGGGAGGCAGCAGGAACTGTAGGCATTCTCACTTCACACCCATCCCAATCCCCTCCCCCTTGCTGTCCTCTTGTACAGAGGACTGAAAGCACAACACTCTCTCCCTCCCTCCCTTATAGGTGGTGACGATCATGTGACTCTCTTCTGGTCAATGAGATGCAGCAGAAAGTCCTAGGGAGGTCTAGGAAAAGTCCTGTTGGGAGAGAGCATTTTTTACCTTCTCCCTGCTACTTCTTGCTACTAGTAACATGGATGTGAGCCTTGGAGGGGTAGCTACCATCTGGCACCTGGGGTGGCAAGCCAACATGGAAAGGATGGCAGAGCGGGAAGGAGGAGCCAGCCTTACCGATGGCATCACTGTCACTGCGCTAGCCCCAGACCACCTGCTCCAGAGTTCTGGTTATGGTAATGAAATAAACCTTGATTTTTATTCCTTAAAACTACCCTTCAATGGGTTTTCTGTTCATTACAGTTGAATGCTTTCATAACTGATACAGGAGGGACCCTGTGATTGGCAGTTCCACTAGACTGCATGGAGATGGGTGGAGTTATCTAAAAGAACAGAGATAGTGTCCCTAGAAGAAGGGGACAGGAAAGCATCCTGGGTACACAAAAGTCAAGGCTCCAGGATCTGCCCTGGGGGCTATCTCAACACCCCTACACTCTCACCGCACGTATTTGGTCAGCTATGAATATGACCAACTCTCGTCGTTTATCTCTATTCAGTGGAACACAGCAGCACTGTGACCTGCCCACGAGAAGAAGGATTTTTAGAACTTATCTTAGGGCAATTTTAGGTAGAGGAGCAGACAAGATGGTGTACAGGAGAAACAGGTCTATTAACCCTGGTATTAATATTAACTGGCTGCCCAGAATAAATGAAGAATAGCTTATTCTTTGCCAGGTTGAAGATAGAAAAGGAATGAAGGGCCGGAGAAGTACAGCTGGGTGAAGCACAGAGCAGCCTAGTGCTTGGCATGGGACTCAGATCTGAAGCAGCCTCTCCGGGACTTCTCTGAGCCTGCCCCTGGTGGTATGACTGTGATATCCCTGCTTCTATAGTTGGCAACCAACATGTCCTAGCTCCTAGACCATAGAGGGCCAGATTCATGTCTCATTGACTGTGTAATCTCTGTGTGGCCCAGTACAGAGCATGCACACCGTAGGTTCTCACATATGTTTGTTGAGTGAATGAATACAATACCAAACGAATGGACAGGACAGAGCTGTGGGCTAGCAGGAAGGATATCTGGCTTTTGCTTGAATTAGCTAGTGAATTGCTGTGTGGCCTCCTTACTGAGCCTCATTTCCCTCTGTCTGCAGAGTCAAGCAAATCTTCCATTTTTTGTTCCCCTGCTGCCAGAGCATGGCAGAGTAAATGTGTGAGTTGAAGGGAGCAACCTCATGAGGTTTTGCTTTGTGTCTTAATTACAGCCATTTGTGGAATTAGGCTTTTAATATAAATATTTGTGTGCCTGCGCCTGCATATATGTATTTGGACCAATGCTCTCATGTGTGCAAATACATGTATTCTAAAGAAATCTGTCCAGAACCCCAGCATCTGTGGTGTCTGTGGTGGGAGGGGCTTCCATATTACAGAGAGATGCCCACAGTGCATGACGTTACCCGCACAGGTGTGACATCACAGGGTAACCAAATGCTTTTGCCCTGGGGGTGGGAGAGGGATGGGTGCACGGTGAACAGCAGGTGGGGGTCTTTCCATAGGGGATGAGGAAGACAAGGCCACTTGGAGGCAGAGGAGACCACAGTGGGGCATGATGGTTGGGGAAGGCCTTTTACTTCTGCCCCTTAAGGATGCCCTGGAATTCAGGCTTTCGGATCCCAGAGCTCTCATTAGAGCAGCCCTGCGTTGTAGACTTTTCTGCAGTGACAGAAATGTTCTATATCTGTGCTATCCAATATGGTAGCCACAAGTTACATGTGGCTATTGAACACTTGAAATGGGGTTAGTGCAATTGACGAGCTGAAAATGTAGTTTAAATTCACTTACATTTAAATAGCTGTGTGTGGCTTGTGGCTGCCTATTGGACTGTGCAGTTCTGGAGAATGGTACTTTACTTGTCCTTGGGGAAGCAGAAACAAATGAAAACGAGGATCTGGAGCTCATGAAGTTTCTCATGGGGTGGGGTATGTGTGTTGAAGCTGCACCTTCAGCAGGAACCTGGCCAGTCCTTAGTGGAGGACATTTCTTTCCATCCTGCATCCAGATGGCTGGTCCTGCTCCTCCCAGTCCATGGAGAAAAAAGAATTGAACAAACTGTCTAAGCTGGGTCAGGTACTCTGCAGATGTTTGCTGAGTATCGTTCTTGATGGAAATCCCCGTGGAACTCCTACATTTTCTCCTCTCTTCTCCTTCCTTTCAGAACCTCAGAGTGACAGAGCCAAAAGACCAGTGCCTCATTTTGCTGACATGGAAAAGGAAACTTCGTGGGGGAAAGAGATCTGCTTGCAGTCGGCCAGAGAGACAGAACCAGGGCAGTGGTGAGCTCTCATGACCTGGTGTCTGTTGCCTTCTGGTTAAGTTTTTCATTTGTAATTCTACAAACATCCCTTCTGTAAACATTTCCCTCAAAATGGAGCAGGAAGCTCTCAAAAATGGACCAGAAAGGGGTCAGGAATATAACTTTCTCTGCCCAGATTCCAGGACTTACAGTGAGAAAGCGCCTTCTGGGAACTTCACAATGGCTAAAGTGTGCTAATGGGATGATGTGCCCTTGTACACCCACTGCCTCTGAACTCTGCTCTGCATTGCTGAGCAAACTACATTTCCCAGAACTCCTTGTTGGATTCCTTCCAAACAGGTTTACCACTGGGAGAGCCTGTTGGTTGGGGAGGGCAGGAAGAGGGAGGAAAGAGGAAGGGACTCACTTCCTGTTTCCAGCTGAAGTCTAAATCAATCCACTATCAACAGGTAGCTATCATACTACCCTCATTGTCACCCCTCAGAGGTCCCACTGCAGCTGCATAATGTCCCCTCAGTGGCCTGAACATGAGATGAACAACACTCTTCTTGGGAGTACCAGCCTTGCTTGGTTCATGGCCACTTTTCCTGATTATCTTGCAGCTATATTAGGTCATGTGACAAAGTTCTGGCCAGTGGCAAGGGAACACAAGTGATAGGTACAGATAGAAGTGTCTGATACTACATAGATTATGCTTGCACTCACTCTTAAGAGAGAGACATGAACTTTTACCAACGGAAGCCAGTATTATTTTGAACCTCTGTTAGAGTGGCTTGAATCTGTATCCTAACTTGTATCCCTAATGTGTGACCCATGAAAATTAGCCAGGCAGCACCAGTTCCAAAGAAGCTCACACTCCCCTGCGGCTGCTTCTGCCAAGGTCACTGATATTTCCCTTTGCTAAATCTTGTGGGTGTTTTCTTCAGTCCTTGTCTTAATCACTCAGTGGCACTTGGCACTTATTCCTTCTTGAAACCCTTGTTTCCCTTGGCTTTGTGGCATCCTGTGCTCTTGGTTTTCTCCCATATCTCTGACCCTCTTTCCTTAGTCTTTTTTCTTCTTCCTCCTGTCCCTTAAATGCTGGTTGTGATCCTCTTTTTATCTCATTCTACACACTCACAGCCTGAGTAATTCACACCATCTTGATGCTGAGAACTTCCAAAATGTTGGTCTAGCCTGGGTCATTGTTATGAGCTCTAGACTCACAAGGCCAATTGCTTGGTGGGAACCCCTCCCCCATGGTTATCTCATGGGTCCCTGAAGTCCAACTTCTCCTTCATTGAACTCATCACCTCTTCTGTTCCTCCTCCTGGGTTCCCAGGCTCAGTGGTGGCACCACTGTCTACCTGGCTGCTTAGCCTGAGACCTGGCTCCGTCCCAATTCCTCTCTCTCAGTCTTATCATCCCCATCCAGGCAAATCATTGATTCTGTGGACCTACTCTTTCGGGTGTCCCTCAAATCTCTCCACGTCTCTGTGTTCTCACTAGCACTACCTTGGTCCACCCTGCCATCTGCTTTCCTCCTCCACTCCTGCATTCTGAGTCATTTTCGGCAGCACACGCATCCTTAAAACCCCTCCACTGGCTTGCCAGTGTCCTCAGGATTAGGCGAAAAGTCTTTGCTTTGTTTTACAAGGCCCTTCGCTATCTGGCCCCCTCATTACCTCCCTTGCTCTGCATGCTCCAGTCCTGCAGAACTACACACAGTTCCCCCAACAAGGCCCTGCTCTGTTCTTCCCACACACTGCTCCTCTGCCTGGGCCACTCTTCCTGCTCCTTGTCAGCAGGCTTGCTGCTCTCAGGCTCAGCATGGACAGCTGCTTCTGAGAGCCTTCTCTGCCTACCCAGGCTGGGTGGCTGCCTCTCTTTGGTGTGCCCATGGCAGCCCAGAATGCCTGGTGGACAGGGAGCCCTCAGCAGGCCGTACTGCAGCGCCCTGCCCCCGTCAGCCTCCAGGAGCCTGGAGTCCAGGGACATCAAGGGCGGTCCTGTCTTTCTCACCCTTGTCTCTCCAGCCCCTAACACAGGGGATGCCTGACCCCAAACTAGACGAGTTACTTGACCTCTCTGACCCAAGACAAAATGGGAGGAAAGTGCCAAATTTCCAAGATTGGCCAGGGGATTAAATAAGATAAATATGCAAGTCTCTTATCTGGGGGTCTGGCTTGGTAAATATAAAGTTCTTTTTTCTTTTCTTCCTTTTTCTTTTTTTTTTTTCTTTCTTTTTGAGACAGGGTCTTACTCTGTCACCAAGGCTGGAGTGCAGTGGCATGATCATGGCTCAATGAAACATCGACTTCCTGGGCTCAGGCGATCCTCCCACCTCAGCCCCCTGAGTCTCTTGGACTCCAGGCGTGCACCACCATGACTGGCTAATTTTTTGTATTTTTAGTAAAGACAGGGTTTCGACATGTTGCCTAGGCTGGTCTCGAACTCCTAGGCTAAAGTGATCCACTTGTCTCAGCCTCCCAAAGTGCTGGGATTATAGACATGAGCCACCATGCCCAGCTAAAAGTTCCTTTTTAAAATCTGCTTGTTAGATACACTCATAGAAAGGTAACTGGCCACAGAAGGGAGAGGAATGGCAGTCCATCCAGGGATCACTGGAGTGTCATATGAAATGTTATAGGAATCACAGGCCTTAGAACTTGAAAGGAACCCAAGGATCATCTAGGCTACTTTATGCAGGTAAAACAGCCACCTGTGCCCATCACATAGCTGGGGCACAGCTGGAGACCCCAACAGAGAGGAGAGCTGATGGGTGACGAGAAATCAGGCCTCTCCGCCACGGCAGCCTAGCTAATGGGTCTTGGCTGGAAGCTAACAGGAAGGCCTCTTTCCAGAAACACTGTAAGCCAGTGTTTCTCAGATTGCTGGGTGTAATTCATAGGCAGATCATGAAATCAGTTTAATAGCTTTGACCAGCATTAACCTATTTATGCCTAGCGTTCCCTTATTGGAACACTAAGTCTGTGAGAGTTATTTACATCCTACTGCTTAAGGTCATCGCCAAAATCTGATTTTTTACACAAAAAATTTGCAACCTCCAGCATAAATGGGTTAAAACAAGACAAAACAAAACAATACCAGAATGGAAAATAGTGCATGATCTGTACAGTATAGTTGTAGAAAACTTCTTGTTTTATCATTTGATGTCATGAAAGTCCCTGCTGTAGATAAAAGATGGAGCTTGTGCTTCTGAGTGGTCATGCTCAACAGGGTGGGGAGCCCAGGGGAGTGGGGAGTGATCGTATAGACAGAGGTGGGTGGGGCCAGTGTGAGCCTGATGGTCAATTACTTCTCATTTCTAGGGAAAATTGAAGGAAAAGAAGGAGGGGGA
Organism: Homo sapiens; assembly: GCF_000001405.40. Lineage (NCBI taxonomy): Eukaryota > Metazoa > Chordata > Mammalia > Primates > Hominidae > Homo > Homo sapiens. Next base: position 47,515,742 of record NC_000002.12, read on the forward strand.
TGTGGAGGGGAGAGAAGGCCTCAGTAGAGTTTGCACTATTATTAGGGCAAGTAAGCTGCTTCTGAAAAGAAGGGGTTTGCAAAGCCAACCCAGGCAAAAGCAATCTGCTGGAAGAACTTCATCCCCAGCTGACACTGTGGGAAGGACCCCATGCAGAAGCAATAGGGCAGCCTGGTCCCATATCCTCATGAAATGCCTCTTATAATTGTGACATCTTGCAATTGTGGAGGACTTTACACTTTTCGGAGTTCCTAGCCCCTCACTTATTTCTCGTAAGACCGCTGGGAGGTGGGGGGATGGTATCATCATCCCACTTTAGAGATGAGGAAACAGGATCAGAGTGAGCTAAATGACTGCCAGATCCAAAACTAGAATTCAGACCTCCTAGTTTCTAAGTGGACGCTCTTTCTACACCACCATAATGTGAGTGTTCTGTGTTTACAGGGTGTATTCAAGTCCATGACTGCCCATTAGAATCCCCCCAAAAAATTCCAGGACTGGCCTGAGTTGCTCCTTAGACCAATGAAATCAGACTCCTGGGAGTACGGCCCGGGCCTCGGGATCCTTTAAAGCTCCATTTGGAGAGCCTCGGGCACAGCCAGGTTGGATCCATCTCCCAGTCCCCCAGCCTTGGCTCAGCCTGGCCAAGCTGCCCAGGAGGTCCCTTGGTGCCCTGGGCTCTGTTTCACTGTTGTTTTGTAGAGCAACTTCCCAGTGATGCTGCCACTGGGCCCCATCCTAACAGTGAAGTCCCCCGGGCCCTCCTGAGAGGAGGTGTGAACTGGAAGATGGGGAGGCAGGCGGCTCTGACAGACAGAAAGCAAACAGCTCAGAGGGGTGGCAGGCTGCATTTTATTCATCGTTAATTTAAACACCCTTCAAGTCCTCTCTTGGAATGCTGCTCAGAAAAATAGATGTATTGTTTGAGAAACCCTGCAGGCTTGTCCCGCATGCTCTAGCCCCCTCCTGAGAGAACAGATAGCATAAAAAATGATTTGTAAAGCAAGGGGGAGCTTCCTTAGGGAAGAAGGGGAAGGGGAAGAGGGTTTGGGGCCAGGTCCGAGTGCAGAAATCCTCAATGCATGAGACTAGCGTGGAAGGTGTAGCAATTGTGCTCTGGGGTGCCTGAAAGTGCCAGAGCTGCTTCAGGGGCAAGAGTCCAGGCCCCAAGTCCATGCTGATGAGCCCACCCTGGGGGTCAGGAATGGCCTCAGCAGGCCCTCCCTCCCTCCCTCTCCACCCTACAAAGTGAGGAGCCTTGAGTCACCACCAGCACATTATACAACAATACAAGAACCCTGCAACAGATAAAGCCCCAGCGCCTCTTCTGGACTCAGATGCCCTAGGCTGGCTGTCTGGCTGTGCTTTCCAGACAGTGTGTATGTGGAATTGTGCTTTTTGTTTTTTAAGAATGTAAAAAGTTACAGTAAGATCGAACCACAGGGCCCGTCGCTCCTATGGTCTCTGCCTGACTGGGCTGCCGTCTGCCTCAGTTCCCCAGAAGCTTCTCCTTTGGCCATGAGGGCTCAGTCATCCCTCACCCCAGAGTCCACAGGAAGAGGGGGTCTGCTGGGAGGCCTGTCTGAAGGACGGAGGATCCTGGGTCAATTTAGCAGCTATTTTCCAGGGTTTGGCTTGGGTTTGGATGCTGGCTTCTGTGTGAAACCTGAATACATGCAAATTGTACATAAAACTCCCCCAAGGCAGAGAGGGATTTTCCAGGCCCTGGTACATCTCTAGAGAGTTAAAAATGGGAAATCTTTCTTCTTAAAGTGGCCCAGACTGAGACTTTTCCTTGGGGAAAAGGGTTAGTAGCTCTTTGTAAGGCTGGTGTGTATGTGTGTGTGTATATATATATACATATATGCATGATGCTGTGCAAATGCCCAGGGCTGTCTGGCATTTTCCACAAAATGAGAGCCTGAGATTGCCTAAGCCTTCTGATGCCTTCTCCAGGCCTGGAGGCACTGCTTCATTCAGAGGACACAAAGGCCTGACCACCTGGCTTTAGCAAGCTAGGACACCCAGGGTGGCTTCTTTACCTTTCTCCTCAGCTCTGAGAAGGCTGCTAGCCAAGACTCTGGATTCTCTGTGGCCACAGTCATATGGTGAGGGCCTCTTGGAGTTCATTCAAACTTTAAGGGAGCCCCACAGCACCGGCATGATGGGTAAGTCCAGGCCTAAGGTTAGGAAGCAAATCCTGGAGCATGAGGAAATTGTAGGCTACAGTGAGCTACCAGTGGTGTGCAAACTGGAGACCCCCAAGACAGTGAGAGAGGCCACAGCATCTGAGGGAATGGAGCTCTTTCTTGGCCTGAGGTTCAGAAGAACCTGCACCAAAGAAAGGCATCCCTATCAATGTCACTGTTCCTGAAATGATGGGAGAACCACATCCCTGCTTCAGGGAAGCAGTCCCTGTCGTCTGGGGCGCTGAGCCCTTTGGCCTGAGATGAAGGATGATGGTGTGATGTATCATGGCAGTGTGACTGAGACTGGATTGGGGGATGGGGACAGGGGAACATAGGCAAAAATACACATGTGCCACTGGATCCTGAGCTGCCATTGTACCTTGGAGGACTGGCGTTTCTCTGGGAAGTTGGGAGGTGGGAAGAGGAAGGGTCTCATTTTCCTGCCCCTTGAAACCATGCTTACCATTCCTTTAGAAGATTGCTCAAGCTGCCTCCAATTGCCTCTTTCCAAAACCAAAGCATAGGAAAACAAGTAAAAACAGCTGAGGCTGCAGCATAAGCAACTTAGGATAGAGTCTAGGAAGCACCGCCAACAGAGAAGACTGCCAAGAAACATTTTGAGTTTTTCTTCTCTGGAGGTGGGTCCTGGTTCCTCCCATGGAGACCACGATTCTGTGTAGTCCTGCACGCTGGGCGGGGGATTGCCTGGAGGTTTCTTTAGACCTGTCTAGCTCACACAGTCTTGATGCCTGGGTTTTAGGCTGCTGTACTGTTGCTGGGGCTCACTTCCTGTGGGTAGGCTGTTATTTTGCCCGCAGATCAAGTCCTCACTGTCTAGATGCCTCTATCATGGGGATCTCTTCTTCCCTCTCTGGATGGCTCTGATCCCCAAGTTATTTCCTGTTGCCTAGGTAACACCTCTAATTGGATGCCTTTTAATCGTTCCCTTTTTTAAAGGGATAAATGTGGATTTTATTTCCAGGTCCTGTCAGAGGGCCCTGCCCTAGAGAACACGTGCGCCCCTGCGTGGGCAATCCCTTCACTGTGACCGCAACCATGGGTTGGATGGGGGGCACTCACTGGGCTGGCCTGACAGTCACAGTGAATCCTGAAAGCATGGTTTTCACAGGAACCCACCTTCAGGATTTAGCAAGACTGACGTCTCTCCTGGCCAGCGCTGCTTCACTGGCTTCACCCCAGATTAGGGCCTGTGTTTAAAAACCAATCCCAACTCAAATCAGAAATTACCCAAAATAGCTGGAGAGTCACTGAGATCTCAGGTAAGCTTTCCCTTCCTGCCATGAACTAGAAGGGGAAAGAAGAGTTTGACATTCAAGTTTGACTCTAATGCTGGGTGCGTGAGCGCATGCGTGCATGTTTGTGTGTGTGTGTGTTCCACGCACATTTGCCAGGGAGAGAGATTTCACAGCATGGCTCCAGCTGGAGGCGGTGAGGCGGTGCTTTTCTAAGACTTCCTATCAGAAGCTGTGCATACTGGTGGGTCACGCCGTGCCTGTATAAACTCTGGCACCTGTCCTTGCCCTCATCATATATGAGAAAAATGGGCAGAGAGAGTGTTCGTTTACACCCCCAGACCACTATCCTTTCAATGAAGCCTGGGTATCTGGCCTTCCTCCAGGTCAGGGACCCCCTATGCTGCAGAAGGCAAGTCTGGGAGAATCTGTCCCTCAGCCCGAGAGCAAAACTGTAATCCTAACATTACTTCCATCCACCAGTTTCACCAGCTACCTCCCTCCTGCCTTCCTCTGCCTCCAATAGGCTGTGCATGGAGAAGACAAATCCTCTTGATAAACAATATTTAGAAAGGGATTCTATCTTTCCTGACCCCAAACACATCATGGCCTCTGGAGCCAAATACCCTGACATTTGCAAGATGGCTTCTTTTGGGTTCCTGGTGCTGCAGGCCCTGGTTCCCAAGGACGCAGCTGGCAGAGGTGCCTCCTTCAGAGGAGGAGGAGGAGAAGCTGGAGGGCTGCGCCCGGCAACCCCATGATCTCTTAAAGGGGGAAAAGTTGAACTGATCAACAGTAGTTAAGAAAAAAAAAATCCACACCAACAAATAAATATCTTGTCTGAGAAGACTCAGATATTCCTGGTTAATATTGAAAAGCACTGCTGTGGATGAGCTTGTGAAAGAAAGGACGGTTGGGGGATTCAAGATCTGCCGATCCGAGCCTGGAGATCAGCCAGCTAAAAGCCCAGCAGGGCTCCTGCAGCCTCACCGCTCCCCTCCTCACAGGTGCCCTGGACCGCCCACCATTAGAAGTAGCTGCCCTGTGCTCTGTGCTAAATGGACTAACTCTGAGCTGAGAAAGGCCAGCTAAGCCCCTCACCACTGCAATTTCCAAATCTGGGGGAAATGCCACAGTCCGCAAGTTGGTGCTATGTTTCATCTCATTGCATAATACTACACCATTCTCTGTGTGTAGTGGCTGTTCTATATATATACATCGGGAGGCAACATATGGCTGTCCCAACCCCCACCTGTCAAAACTGTGACTATATCACTTCTGACGACCAGAAGGAAGCTGCTAGGCTGGGCCAGGATTCTAAATGCTGAGGAGGTAATTCAGAGCCACGAAAAGTTGCACCATATGCTTTGGGGTTGCCGGCTGCTTCTGTGCATGGGGACGGGGTTTAGTGCCAGTCTGCAAAACCCTCCTCGCTGCGGTATGCCCTGGGTGTGGGCCTGGGGGGCCACGTTTTCTCTCCCTGAAGGAGAATCTGCTGGGGGCCACGGTTCTCCAAGAGGGGACTCACAAGGAACACAGGCGTCCCCAAAACCTGCCCTTGATAACATCAGGCCTGGCCAAATAGTATTTCTTTAAAAAAATTTTTTTTGTTTCATTTTATTGGATAAAGATTAAGAAAGCGCCAGCAGTGACTGAGAGAAGCAAACCACGCCCGGCGGCCCCGCGGCCTGGAGAGGGTCCCCGGCGCGGGCGGACGGGCGGTCTACCTGGAGGCGCTGGTCTCGGCCAGCCGGTTGTTCATGATGCCCAGCGCGCCCACGCCGCCCGAGAAGCCGTTCTGGCGCGTGTTGACGCACACGCTGCGCGGGTAGCCGTTGGCCGTCTCCGACAGCTGCTTCTGCAGCAGCGCCAGCGACACCTTGTTGGAGGCCGTGAGGTCGCGCATGGAGATGAGCTCGCCCGAGAGGCGGCGGCCCTCGGCGTCGCTGTCGCGGGCCGCGGGGTCGGCACCGAGCGCGGCCAGGCGGCGGCGCAGCCGGGAGCCTGGGGTGATGGCATTGCGCCGGGCCAGGGGCGCGCCAGGAGCCGGGCAGCAGCGCGCGCAGCAGCGGCAGCTCAGCTTGCGCAGCATCCAGTTGAGCACCTGCTTGATGAGGATGGAGATGACGTTGAAGAGCGAGTAAATGCAGCACACGCCGAGCAGGATGAAGAGGAAGTTGCCCAGGCGGTAGAGCCCCTGGTTCCGGTAGGCGGCGTGCTGGCTGCTCACCAGGTCCCCGAAGCCGATGGTGCTGAAGGTGACGAAGCAGAAGTAGAGCGAGTCCACGTAGTCCCAGCCCTCCACGCTGGTGTACATGGCCGAGGCGCAGCAGGACAGCAGCACGGCGAACAGGCCCAGGATGAGCAGCACGTGGTACACCGAGGGCTTCCAGCCCGCCAGGCTGTCGGCCTCCGAGAGCGCGGAGCCGCGGCGGAAGGTGGCGGGCAGCAGGCCGCTGCGGCGCAGCTGGCGCTCCCGGCAGGCGCGCATGATGAAGGCCAGCAGCGAGATGATGCGCTCCAGGAAGAGGTTGAAGAACAGGATGGTCCCAGCGCAGCCGAACAGCCCGTAGGCGATGAGGAAGGCCTTCCCGCCCACCGTCGCGGGGGTGGTCATGCCGAAACCTGTGGAGACAGGGCAGGGTCAGCGCGGTCCTGGCCGCGCAGGTGGTCCTCACTGGGCGAGGGTGGGGGGTGTGGGGGCGGGGGCATGCAGGTGCTTGCGCGGCTCCTATCTCGAGTGGCACCACTCAGGTGGAGGAAGAACAGCACTTAGTCATTTATCTCCCTTGGTGGCACTTAATAGGTTTCCTGATCTTGGCAGCCCCTAAACTGATGGAGGAGACATGGCCCTTCATCTTGGGGACCTATAAACCCAAGTGGTTGGGACAGGTAGTCACTAGGAAGGACCCATCATGACACAAAAAATAGAAACCACTGCTGCACAGGTGCAAACCACTGAGCTACCCACAAAGCCAACAAGGGACACCTGCTCTCCCACTCCTCCAAATTTTTTTTTAAAAACTGTCATCTTTATTTTAGTTCATAAATACATTAATATACTAGTCTAGGTGAGTTTTGTTGGGTGAATTACAAATATTTACATTAGAAATCAAAACCAACATAGATCTCTTCAAAGATATCTAGCTTCTTATGTGCTTGTGCACTTTTTATACCAGTCTTGTTACTTGGAAACTCCACTGCCTACTTGAGAATGGTGAAAAAAGCCAAGTAATCTTAGTGCTGTGACTAATTTTCACTTTACAGGCACTTCGAAAAGGCCTTTGGTCAAACGATCATATTTTCTTTTTTGGGGGGATAGGTTCTTTGTCACCCAGGCTGGATGCAGTGGTACAATCATAGCTCACTGCAGCTTTAAACTCCTGGGCTCAAGTGATCCTTCCACCTCAGCCTCCCAAGTGATAGGACTGCAGGTGTATGCCACCATGTCCAGTGAATTCTTTGTTATTTTTTCTAATGGCAGAGAAAGGACCATATTTTCTTAGTCTGCCAACATTTCATGCCTCTGGAATTGGGCCTAAGGCCAAGTGGGTAGTCCGTCACTTCCCTAGTTCTTACAGTGTGAATATGGGGTGACAAGAAAATGTGCATTTCAAATCAATTCCCAGATGACTCCAAAGTCTTACATACTAGAATAGCAGACTTTTCTGTTCAAAGGGCAGTTTTTAAAGAGTTGTCATATGTGCCCAATTTTTTTTCCCAAGTGTGCCATAGATTTTCGGTCCCTCCCTGTTATTAAAAAAAAAATCAGTTTACCAACTCTGCCTACTAACTAAAGGACCCCAAAATTAAGTGTCAGTGCTCAAAAGTCAACTGCAGCTCCTCTTCTTTCCTCAAGTTATTTGGAATTGTGAGTGAATCCGAGCCGAACAACTGTTGACTACGAGTTTTTCTCCAAAAGCCTGGTTTTTAAATGTAACCTGTAGTACACCTGGGCAGACAGCCTTGTTAGGGAAGCATTCCATAGGGCTTTGCCTTAATTGGGATTGTTCACTCTGGGACCAGGTAGAGTGTAACCAGGTAGCTAGAGTTAATGGTCTCTGAAAAGAGCTTTGTGAGGCTGACAAAAGGATTGCTTGAGAGTAGTCCACCCACACCCTTCAGAGACTGAGCATGGCTCTGCCATTGGGTGCCGGCTCCTTCTCAACCAAGGATCACCATCAGTCATCCTTGCTCACACTTGTGGCCAAAGAAAGGCTCTGGCCCAGCTGGGTCCTGTGCTGCTGGTATATCAAATTGCTTTGTTCTGGGAGGTCTATACAACTGCGTATTGCTTCAGGCCCTTATCGTTGTTAACTTACCACTTGTTCAAAGCACAGGCTTTAAGGGTGTCTTTATCAATTGATTTCTGCAGAAGGTGTGGCTGCCTGCCAGTGTGCTCGCCCATGCCATCCAGGGCAGTGCAGAGTGGCAGCTCTGCCTCTCAACTGAGCTCCCTGCCCAGTGCTGGCTGTGGTCTGTGGGACCCGTGGTTGCCTGACTCTGGTTATGGGAGGGGGTTTCATCTCTTGGTGGAAAGATTCACTTACTGCTTGGAGTCTGAGCTGAAAAAATGGATCATTTGAGCAGCACCATGATACTGTTCAGCAAGTCTGGCAGCGATCAGGGGCATCCCTGTTTAATTTGTGCCCTATGGCAGAAGGGCTACCTGTGCTCTGCCAGTGGGGTGGGGCCAGCCCTGGGAAAGTGGAGAAGAGTTTGTCCTATGTGGCTTACTAGTTTCCTAAACAGACTATAGAAAATATTTCTTGTAATACTTTCAGAGTACATTCCTTAAGCCTATGTGCTAACAATCATTTTCTAGACTGTCTGAAGGAAATGCCCAGTTGCCCGAGTGTGGTGTTGATCTTACGCTTAATGACTCAGGTGAGGGGAAAATCTTATGATGTTACCCATGTTGAGGAAGATGGATTATGTCCCTAGATTTACAGAAAGTGAAAAAAACCAAAATAGCTGTGTAACCAAGAACTTGATAGAGGGATTTTGCTACATTTTAAAGCCACACTCAAGTTCTTGAGTTTATAAAGAAATCAGCTCTGAATTTACATGGCTATAAGTGGAGTGGGAGTATATGTGTATATTTATAAAACGTTTTAGACCAGTAACCTAAATGTCTAACAACACAACTAAATGATTGTCTATTCATAAAAAGGAAAACTATACAGCAATTAAAAAGCATGAACCATAGCTACTTGAAACAACATGGATAAATCTCACAAAAAGAATGTGGAACAAAATAAGCTGGACACAAAATAATACATTCTGCATTATTCCATTAACATAAAATTCAAAATCAGGCCAAACTACAGCCTTTTTTAGGGATGCATGCATGGTTGGTAAAATTATAAGGGAAAGCAAGGAAGTAATTTTGATAAAAGTCAGAATTGGGATTTCCTCTAGAGCATGGCAGGGGGTAGTAGCTGAGAGGGGACATAGGGGACCTCTGGGGTGCTAGAAATGTTTTTGTTGACCTGGGTGGTAGTTACATGTGTGTTAGCTGTGTAATAATCTGTTAAATTGTATGTTTTGTGAGTTTTTTTGTACTCATAGTGAGAAAAAAATTTTAAACTTCTAGACTGTTAGAACTCTCAGATACCCAATTCTGACGTACCCATCACTGTATAGGTGAGGGAGTAGGGGCTGAGGGGCTGTGACCTGCATGTTGGGGACAGACTCCCACCTCTTTGTCCTGGCTTCAAGCCTGGTGCATAGATCGGTATACAGAACACTGCATCTACTCACTGAGGGAACACAAAGTCTCTTATAGAAGGATAACTCTGTTAAATTCCTAAGGTAATTGAAAATCCTGGGCCTGGAAAACCAATACTTTGTCTAACTAAGAAAATACTGAATTGGATTTTTCAGCTAAAGCCTCAAAGCTGAGAACAGTATGTGTACATTTCTCCCCATTCTAAAGAGAAGTTCCAGACACATCCATGCTGGACTTAATAAAACAGCAAAACAGGTCTGGGGCTAGCAACCCCCCACACCCCCACCTCCAGGCTGTACGGAAAGGCTGGGGATTGATGGGATCTTCCATCAGTTGGGAAGTTGTTATGGGTAGTTGTTGTGGCAGTGGAGAGTGCTGTGGATTCTTTCACTCACCCCCAGGCCAGGGGATGGTTGGAGCAGGGAAGGTCAAGAGGACTTATGGAGTGTCAGCAAGAGCCCGGCAGCTCACTTCCTAGCTGGCTGGGCACAGCCGCTCACAGGCCTACCCAGAGTGGAGCATGGTGAGGGTTCTGGGAGAACCCGGCAGTGTCCCCTGGAGTCCAGAGCTGTGCTGGAGAGTTCTCTGGGTGGGAGGCTGACTGGGGCAGCCCCCACAGGCAGGGGAGGAAGAGGGCAGTCCCAGGGGCCATCTGTACTTCAAGGGCTTGCTTCATCAGGAGATGTGAGGGTGACATGGGTCACCAGAGGGTGACAAGTGGATACTGAAAGGAAGAGATCTGAAGAGACTGCTCAAGAGGGCTGCCTGCTGGAGCAAGGGGGCCCTAGGAAGAAGAGGCTGAGGGGCAGAGGGCTGGGGACAGCATGAGAGGGAGTCACAGGAGGAGGGATGGAGAGGGCAGTGCCCACTCAGGGAATGGGGCAGGGAGTGGTCCCTGTGCAGGGCTCCCAAGGACCCATAAATAGATGCCGTGAAAGCACATATGCCTGTTCTAACAGGGAGCCTTGCAGCCCCACCAGCAAAAGTTAAGAAGGAATGATAGTGGCTCCAGTGATGTAAGATCACCCCCATGCCCCATCCACTGCGGGTCCCCTGAGCCATGTGTCAGCCCAGAGCTAGAGGGGGAGGCTAAATAAGCTCTGATTAGAAGTGAATTTGAAGATTTGATTAAACAACTGAGAACGAGTCTCAATCTTAAAACTGGTACTTAATTAACAACAACAACAACAACAAAAGAGGCCGGGCGTGATGGCTCATGCCTGTAATCCCAGCACTTTGGGAGGCCAAGGTGGGCAGGTCACTTGAGGTCAGGAGTTCAAGACCAGCCTGACCAATATGCAAAAACCCCGTCTCTCCTAAAAATACAAAAAAAAAAAAAAAATTAGCCAGGTGTGGCGGCGGGTGCCTGTAGTCCCAGCTACTCGGGAGGCTGAGGCAGGAGAATGCCGTGAACCCAGGAGGCGGAGCTTGCAGTGAGCCGAGATTGCGCCACTGCACTCCAGCCTGGGCAACAGAGTGAGACTCCCTCAGAAAAAAAAAAAAAAAGAGAAAGAAAGAAAAGAAACAAAGAAACTGGCTGAGCCTGGTGGCTCACGCCTGTAATCCCCAGCACTTTGGGAGGCCAAGGTGGGTGCATCACTTGAGGCCAGGAGTTCAAGACCAGCCTGGGCAACTTGGCGAAACTCCGTTTATACTAAAAATACAAAAATTAGCCGGGCATAGTGGAGTGCACTTGTAATCCCAGCTACTTGGGAGGCTAAGCCAGGAGAATCGCTTGAATCCGGGAGGCAGAGGTTGCAGTGAGCCAAGATCGCGCCACTGCCTTCCAGCCTGGGCGACAGAGCGAAACTCCGTCTCAAAAACAAACAAAAACCCCAAAACACAAAAAGACATAAAAACTATTTGGATAACTCTAGCATTTACCCAAGATGTTAAGGAATCTAAAAGGGAGTTCTTAAAGACAATAGATGAGACAAAGCCATTTCCAGTGTCGGCCCATTTAATAAACTGGTTCCACCTGGATTTTCTCTTCATTGTGGTGAAAGCCACCACCTAACAATGCTGGCCCTGCCTGCATCATCGCATGTCATCATGACAACCTATGGGGGAGAACAGCTCCATTCAACAGATGCAGAAACTGCAGGTTAAAGGGTGAAAAGCAGTTGCGAAGTCCCCACAGCTTGGAAATGGTGGAGCCGAGACTGAAACCCAGGTGTGCTAGCATCTAAAGTTCATGCTCTTTCCACCACATTAGACTGTATTCTGAGGGCACCAAGGAAGCTCCATTTTTCTTAAGAAACCAAATTGCAGTCCTCCAGGACCACAGCCAGGGGAGCATCTTCGTGGGAGAGTGGCTGCTGCTCAGAGTTGTGACTCCCATCCTTAAGAGTCCTCTGTCCTCTCTGGCCTCCTTTCTACTGATCATTGCTGTCCCCTTCACAGGGGAGAGGGGCCATGGCCTATCCCCTAAAGAGTCTGCCAAGGTAGACTCATAACCTCCCCGTGGCACAGCTCAGACAAGCTGGGCTATTTACATAAGACTTGACCCAGGGCTTGAGGACAGCGCGAGGAATGAGGTGCAGAGGAGACTGCTGCTTCTGGGTGACAGTCTGCCTGGCTGACCACAGCTGGGGTACTCATTGGCCTCTTGAGGCCCCCCACAGGCCTGCCCTGCCTGACCTACTCTTGTGAGGCCAAGGCCATCTCCTCCACTCTCTGGGGGCCTCTTCTGACTCCTCCAAACTCTTCCATGTCTGGACTCCTGGCTTCTGCCCAAGGCCATCTATTGGAGTTTGGGTTTCCAGTTGAGGATCTGCCTTTTTCCTGGATGACCAAACCTAGAATGTGACCGGCCTCATGCTCCCTCCTCACAAGGGTGTGGCTTTATCCGAGGGCCTCAGCAAGGCAACCAACACCAGACATGAAGCTGGTAAGACCAACATCCACCTATTCATTCCTTCAGCAAACATTTACTGTGGACAGCATCAGGTTGGCAGTATCATGCAAGGCTCAGAAATATGGTGGAAAACCAGACAGATGCAGTTCCTGTCCTCAGTCTCTAGGCTGCCTTCCTAGAGGCCCCTCACTGGGTTTCTTAGCAGTTTTGTACAGATCCTACCCCCTTTGCTGCCAGCAGGCTCACCTCTGGGACAGGGCGCATATAGTCTGGGCCAGAACTTGTCCTGGGGTCTTCTTACGGCCCTGGTTCAGCTTGCATTCAGCATAACAACTTAGCTAGGGAGTGCTGCAGGCCCCAAATGATGCTAAATACTAGACTAGCTGTGTAACACCATCTGCCCAGAATGAAGGGACAGGTGAGGCAGAAGGGTCTCCGACAGCGCACAGGGCAACCAGTGAAAGCGTCCTTACTGTCCTGTTCCTGAGGTCTCTCTGTGCCTGCTTTACTGCCCTTCGCTTTCCTACAGAGCACACTCAGCTCATCCTGGGAGACAAGGTGGGGGTGGAGGATGGTCCATCCTTCTTCCGCATCAAGGTCAGTAGGTTCAGAGCTCTGGGGGGGTGCTGAGACCCTGGGACAGGCTTCCTGCTGAGGGCACTGGGGCCTATGCTTGTGCCACTGCCTAGCCAGTTGCCTCCCAGAGTAGAGAAGCAGTCTCCCAAGCTCTTGCAATTTGTGGGGAGCCAAGCTGCTCTGGAGAGGGGCCTCAAAGCTTCAGCCAGAGAAAAGGCAAACCCAGCCACCCTGAGAATCTCCTCCTCCCCCTCAATCACACCCTGCAGAGGCGTGATCTGTCCCTGGGTTCGCACCAAGCCTGCTATTTTGTTTATGCCACAATTGATCTGCCATCCCAGTTTGCAAAGAGCAGACACTTGGGGGCTTTATTATGCCACTTTGACAAAAGCTGTGAAGCTCGTTCCCACAGCCTGTCTGGTGCCGCCTTCGCAAATGGGGCCCTGGTGATGGGGCCTTCGGAGTTCAGCTCAGAGAGCATGGAAGTGAGATGGAGAGGCCAGCACTGATCTGTATCGTGCAGCCCTGGGCGGCAGCCTCGGTTGGGCCCTTGACACACTCCTCCCATCCAGGCCCCCAGCCACCCTGTGAGGGAGGCACTATTACGCCCAAAAATGCAGGCAAGGAAATGGGCTGAGGGAGGGGAAGCATTCACTGAAGTTAGTTTGTACGTGGCTGAGCTGGCCCTGAAGCCCATGCCCTTTCCACTTGCCAGACAGATGGGAAGTCTTGACTCATTACCCGCTGGAGACTTTTCCTGCTGGGCTCTGCACTGTCAACTGTGAGAGAGGGAAATAAAACGTACTGTACAGTCCAATCTGGGATACTTCTGAGAGTGAAAGTGGCTCTACTAGTAATTACCCCAGGACAGCATGTATAAACCAGGGCTGTTCCAAGCAACTGGGACACATGATTAAAATGCAGATTCCATGGCAGGTCCCGCTCAGAGGTTTATTTAGTGGGTCAGAAAATGGGCCCAGGAATTTCATTTTAACAAATGTCTCCAGATAAATCTGATGTAAATGGAATATTCCTTTAAGAATGCCATTCCTTTAAGAAATAATGTTAATAAGGTATTCCAGATGACCCTATTGGTTGGAATCTGTCCAACTACAAATATTTTGATTTAAATTTCCATTGACCTAAAATTTTTGTGGTGGGCACTGCAGCTCTCTCCTTACCAATCATTCTCCCAGCCTGTACTATATTGAGTAGCAGCCAGGCTACTTGGAGAACAGACTGAACTCCAGGAATGGGCTCTATTAGTCTAGGCCAATCAGGATAATCCAGTTCCTTACCATGACTGGCTCAAGAATGGGTAGACCTAAGTCAATCAGTGCAGAGCATTTTCATGACTACAGAGAAACCATGGGAAGGCTGAGGCGTGGACTCAGTGGGCAGGGATGGAAAAAGACTCAGAAATACTGGGCATGGCCCATGGCTCATTAGGGTTGCCAGGTAAAATACAGAACACCCAGTTAAATATGACTTGGGTAAACAAGAAATCATTTTTTAAGTATAAGTATGTCCCAAATATTGCATAGGACATACTTATACTAAAATATAGTTGATTATCTGAAATTCAAATTTCACTGGGCATGCTGTCTTTTTATTTCCTAAACCTGGCAACCCTACTCATGACTCCACTTGTCAGCTTGGTACACTCCTCTGAGAAGCTTCTCCCAATATTCCCATCTCATTTGATCCTTCCTGACTGGCCAGTGTTGGGATTAAGAGCCTCACTTTAATCAAGGAACCCAAGGCTCACACAAGGCTGAGCCCTGCCCAGCCAGGCCAGCGGCCAGGCCTCCCCATGTCCCTCTCTCTCCTAACAGGGAGGAGTGGGAGATGGGGGAGGGCTGTGGGATGGAGGGCGGGGCTGCCAACAGCCTGCTCCGTGGCTGGAACTGCGACATCGCCTCTCTGGGAGTAGGAGTGGGCTTCTGGCCAGACTCAGTGGGGGAGGACTGGACACTTGAGAGGGCACTGGGCCAAAGACTTCCCTGGGACATGTGCCCCAGCCCTGGTACCTCAGGGCTGCACATGTCAGCCATCTCCATGTCACACCCCCGGGGAGGACAACCGACCACCGTGGACAAGCCCTGAACCTTTTGGGAAAGCTGGTGCTAAAAGAATAGCTGGAGAAGTCACTACTGAGGACTGAAAATGCGGAGGGTATAATAACTGCTGTTGTGTATCGAGCCTCACTATTTCCACGCACCGTGCCAAGTGCTGCACGCGTATCAATTCATTTAATCCTCACAACAACTGCATGAGGCTCCATGTTTTCACTGATTCCAAGTCACAGCTTTTTTCCTCTCATGTTAACATCTCTAAAATCGTGCATCTTACAGTCAATGGCCTGATAGTTTATTTGGCAGTATTTTAAATTCCTAATGGTACGTACCATGATGGTGTGTTCATAACCAATAGTGTCTTAGATTTGATGAACTATAGTGGGGATGATTATTGTCCCCAGTTGTGAGATTAGTAAACTGAGTTGCATTTAACAGATAAAGACATTGAAGTTCAGTAACTTGCCCAAGATCACAAAGCAAGCACATGGCAGAGATTTGAAACTAGAGGAAGGAGCTTGCAATGTGATAAAGCAGCAAATGTACAAGAGTTTGGAAGAAGGAGAGGTAGGTTGCTTTTGGCAAGAGCAGCAATTCTCAATTCTGGCTGCACAATAGAATCACCTGGGGAACTGAAAATAATCCCCAATCCCCGGGTGCATCCAGACCAGTTTAGGTCAACATCAGAACTGAGGCCTTCCTGGTGGAATGATTAGGAAAGACATATGGAAGAAGAGATATTTGTGTTCAGTCTTAACAACTGGGTGGGGCCGGGCACGGTGGCTCACACCTGTAATCCCAGCACTTTAGGAGGCTGAGGCGGTTGGATCGCTTGAGCCCAGGAGTTCAAGACCAGCCTGGGCAACATAGTGGGACCCCATTTCTACAAAAAATTTGAAAATCAGCTGGGCGTGGTGGCGTGTGCCTGTGGTCCTAGCTACTCAGGAGGCTGAAGTGAGAGGATGGCTTGAGCCCTGGAGGTCAAGGCTGCAGTGAGCCATGACTGCACCCTTGCACTCCAGCCTGGGTGACAGAGCAAGACCCTGTTTAAAAAAAAAAAAAAGATTAGGTGGGATTTCAAGAGATTGACAGGGAGCAGAGGCCTAGGCTTGGGAAAGGCATCCCCTGCTGGGACAGTGCAGTGCCCAGGGCCACTGGGCAGGGTGAGGGGGTTCAGCCTGCTGGTGAAGCCTGGCCCATAGGAAACGTCCAGTGACTCTGGCTGATGGAGCAGGGGAATCTGTGGAAGAAGGCAAGGGACAATGCTGGTGAGGCAGGAGAAGAGGGAATTGGGGTAACCAAAGGTTAAGGCGTAAAAACAGTGGGTGCAGCCAGTTCTAGGCAAGATTAGGCAGCACATAGGCCACATCCTCACTCCTGTGATAAGACAGAAGTTTCCACTTCAGCCTCTGATTGATTGTGGGCCAAGCTGTCACTTCAGCCTCTGATTGGTCACAGGCCAGTCCTTCATGGGGTGTAACTAACCCTAGGCCTCTAAAGGGCACCTAGGGGTGCTAGCAAATTCTTTTAGCTTTATAAAAACCCTGGGGAGAGGCAGAGGTTGCAGTGAGCTGAGATCATGTCACTGCACTCCAGCCTGGGTGACAAAGCGCGACTCCGTCTCAAAAAAAACCCCCAAAAACAAAAAACAATATTCATTCATTCAACAAACATTTATTTGCACACGGTGTAGCAGGCTGTCATAGGCATTAGGGATACAGCTTTAAACAAAACAGACAACATTGACTATCCTGGAGCACACATTCTAGTAACAATAAGCAAACAAACAAATTTGTAAATAGCATAAAAAAAAAAAACCCTGGGGAGCACTGCAGTAGAGAGGCTCTTGGGCCACCTGCTTGAGTCTGCTCCCACTTTGTGGAATGTACTTTTGCCTCAATAAATCTGTGCTTTTATTACTGCTTTTTTCTTTTTCTTTTTTTAAAGTTTATTCTTTGAGACAGGATCTTGCTCTGTCACCCAGGCTGGAGTGCAGTGGTATGATCTTAGTTCACTGCAACCTCTGCCCCCTGGGCTCAAGTGATCCTCCTGCCTCAGCCTCCAGAGTAGCTGGGACTACAGGCACCCACCACCACACCTGGCAACCGTTCTTTTGTTGCTTTGTCTTTCATTGCTTTATTCTTTTGTTGCTTTGTAAGGGTTTTTCTATTCTTTGTTTAACGTGCCAAGAACCTGGACAACTCACAGTCAAGGCGTTCCATCTGGTAACATTGGGAGCACCTCCTAGCCACCTGGGACTCAGGTTGACCCTACAGGAGCTTTGTGAAGTGAGCATTGCCTGGCACTTTTAGGTGCCAGCATCCAAGCCTAGCACCTGGCATTGTGCCCTGCTCTGTAGAAACTTCTAGGATCTGGTAAGCCTCATGTTCAGAAGACAAACTCAGCAAGTCTTAACTCCTGCAGGCTTGGGAAGGGCCTCCCTCGGAGAGCTGAGAGCAGAACTAGGAACAGGGACGGTGGTTTCAGGCTCTGGCGCCTCCACCTGCTAAGGAGGTGACATGGACACATTCCTTACCTTCTCGGACCCTCGCTTCTCCCTCTAAAAATGGCCCAATGCCCTACTTATTTATTTATTTTTTATTTTTTTGAGACAGGCTCACTCTGTCGCCCAGGCTGGAGTGCAGTGGTGTGATCTTGGCTCACTGCAACCTCCACCTCCCAGGTTCAAGCCATTCTCCTGCCACAGCCTCCCAAGTAGCTGGGACTACAGGTGCGTGCCACCACATCTGGCTAATTTTTGTATTTTTAGTAGAGACGGGGTTTTACCATGTTGGCCAGGCTGGTCTCCAACTCCTGACCTCAGGTGATCTGCCCACCTTGGCCTCCCAAAGTGCTGGGATTACATGAGTGCGCCACTGTGCCCGGCCCACTGCCCTACCTCTGAATGTCACTGTGAAGATTAAATGAGGATGTAGTTCCCACATGCATCCCACAGTGCCCGGGACATAGTAAGCTCCCCAAAAGCACCAAGCTTAGCTGGGAAGCACGATGGGTGAGGCATGGACCTTATTTCACAGCAAAGTGGCTCAGGTGAGGCAGGCAAGGAATGGGCAAATCACGACATGACATATGGATTTCCATGGCAGGGAAATGCCCCCGTAGGCACAGTCAAGCCTGGCTCTACCATTGGCTCGCCGTTCTCCTACCTCGCTGGGCCTCCATCTCCCCACCTCTGGCTCACTTCCTGCTTTGGCCCCTACGCTGGGTAGGAGGCCCGGCTAGAGGTTAGGCACCATCTTTTCCAGTCCCCAAAGTGAGAGTGTGTGTGTGTGGGAGAGATATTTTTAAATGGGGCTGTTGTGGAAAAGCTGAGACCGTGGGCTGCTCTATTTGTTGGCGCTTGCTGGTTTGTCTGATTTGCAGAGCTGGATGGACTGCTCCCTGAGGACAGAAGCTCTTGGTTTTCTTCCCTCCGAAGCCAGGCGTGGGGTGGGAGCATCCAGTGCACCCCTCTTGCATTGGGTGCGCAGTGATCCGGACAGAGAGGCTCCAGTCAGCCAGGCACAGAGAAAATGGCCCTCTGCCCCTGTTCTGCTTGTTTTTGTCTTGTTCTCTGGGGGCCTTTGAGGTGACTTTCTTCATTTGATGACAACAAGATGGGAGGCGGGGACAGCTGAGGTGGCAGGAGTAGGGGAGCTAGGGACAGAGGATGAACCCCACAGGCTCAGGCCAGTGACTTCTAACATTAGAGAGGTTTTGGTTAACTGGGAGCAAATGCAAGTGACTTCTTTGAATCGACTTTGTACCTCGGCACAGCCTTCCTTGCTAGCAGGGCTGACTTCAACCACCCCCCACTCTGTGCTTTATCTCTGGGATTAAGGTTTTCTCTCCTCACCAGAAATCATTCAGCAAAATGAGTTATTAAAAGCCGGTTAACCACTCCTGCCTCCGGGTAGCTCCCGTTTAACAACCTCTCCTGGGGAGCAGCTGTCAAGCTCGGCCCTGAGCTGGCGGGAAGATGACTCATTTACATACAGCCCGTCTCCAGGCCCCCCCCACCGCCACCCCAAGATCTGTCCCTGTCTCCCTGATGACTAATCCTTTCCAGGGATGAGATCACTGCCCCTTCTAACCCCCCCCCCCGCCCCCACACACAGAAAGAGCAGAGCCCTCATCTCAGCCCAGAATTTTGGGAGAAGACTAAATCCAAGACCAAGGGAGGCCTTTGATGGGACAAAGACGTGACTGATGAACCCGGAGTGAGGAGCAATGAGATGAAGAAAGCTCTGCCCACCTACCCCGTCCCTCACTCCTCCCTCCCACCTCAGGGCGCTCATGTGGGGCTTGTGTGGGGAACAGCTCCAGGGTCATACCACCTCTCAGAAGGGAGACAGACCAGCCAGGCGTGAGGTGACAGACCAGCGGGCAGCTCAGAGCAGCAAGACAATGTCAATTCAATCACTTTACCTCAATTCCTCTATCACACAGGAGGAGATTTTAAAAGGAAGTCTCTGGTGGTTTGTAAAGCAACAAATCCTGCTCTCAAGTGGATAGTTCCAAGCCCTCTCAATGAATTCAGTTTTATACACCTGGAGAAGCACAGCCTCGTCCTTTCCATGGAGCTACAAGCCACATCTGGGGGCGCTCAGTGCCCAGGCTGAGGGGGCACGCAGAGCCCTCGGGGACGACTCAATGCACAGAGGCCACTCCTTAAGGGCCCGGCTCCCTCAAACTGAGGTGTCCCCATGCTTGGTCTTCCCACAGAAGCCAGCCTGGTTGGCTGCTTCAAAGGAGGAATAAAGATGAGGAGCCATGATGCAAACAAACCCACACCTTTCAGCTGCAGCCAGGGAGGTGCTCTAGAGGCCCACGGAGAGCTGTGTGTCTGCTCTGCTAGCCCGACCTGCACCTGCCCTATGGGCTGGTAAAGGGGCTGCCCACAGCACCTCAGCACATGGGTCTCTCTCTCTTTTCATCCAGCCCAAAATGTCAAAGCACAAGGGTCTCTGTCAGGGCCTGGCTGTGGTCACTGGACTGCGGCTGAGGGGTAAGGTGCACCCCTCCTCTAATGGGGGCGCACCCCTCCTCTAATGGGGGTGGGGCTGGAGCTAATGGCACATTCCACTCTCAGCTGCCACACACAGATGGGGAGGTTGATGGCCCGCACACAGGAAGTGAGGGATGGTGGGGACTGAATTTATGGAGCCCCTATCCCAGACCAAGCACTCTGCTGGTACTTTCACAGGTGTAATCCCCAGAGCAGCTCCTGGGGGAGGTGTCATTATGCCGGTGAGGAAACCAAGGCTCAGAGAAGTAAGGCAGCACAGGTCCCAGCCCCACTCCACCTCTTGAGGCCTGACTCAGCCTTAGGTTCAGAGAATGCAACTGTGATTTTTCCCTGAGATGAGCATTCAATCATACTGCGCCAGGGTACTTGCTGTGGCCAAAACGCCTGCCCTGGATCTGTGGCATGACTTTGTGTCAGACCCTGTGCGATAGAAGGAGATGGAAGCTGAGGTTCAGAGACGTTAATGACCTTGAAGGTCAGGGTCACAGAAAATGGCACAACCGGGATTGCAACTCAGTTCTGCCCAATTTCAAATCTACCTTCCTGCCACCTCCTTGCCTTGCCTATTGTCCCCCTCCCTTCATATGACCTGGGACCCAGACTCCCTGGTTTTCTGGAAATATTCTCTCTCCTTTTGGCTCATTCTGTGCACTGTCCCAGTTGGTGGTATTGAGGCACAGCTCTGCCCAGATCACTCTCCAGCTCAGCTGCCCTGAGCTCCCCAGCCCCACCTTTCAAGGTCAGGAATGACTTATTTCCTTTTCTCTTCGCCTGTCTGAATCCTCGCCATCATCTGACAGCACTTTCAGCTCACCAGGCATTTAACTGTGTGCTGTCTTGTGACAGCCCCTGTCCTGACCATTGTCCCAGAGATTTAACCCTTTGTGTTTTTCTATGTTAGCTTGCCAGTGAGGACATGGCCCATGTCTTGGACTTCTTGCCACCCTCCAGAATGCAGGTCCTCAGGGAGCAGCTGCTAAATTCCCAACAGAACTGACAGTTTGTCCAGTGATCACCAGCAGACACTGTACCAGAAACATTGTCTCCATCTTAGTTTCAGTTAACTCAACATGTTTTTGAGACCTGCTGTGTGCCAGACATGAGGGCAGGGGAAGGAAGACTATGGTGAATAAGATTGCCCACAGACCTCCAGGAACACACCTGTAGTCAAAACACAATTGAGCTTACTGGCTCACTGCAATGAGGAAGCTTGGCCACCATGGATTCTGGGGCATCTCAGTCAGAGGGTATCAAAGAGGGCTAATTCTAGGAGTTGGGCTTGAGTTCTTGAGTTAGGTGATTTATGGAGGACTTAAGGAAGCAGGCTTCGCTCTGGATGGGATGCTGCCAAAGAGCGGAAGTACTTCTATGACTGGGCATCTTAATTCTTAGCTGGAAGATGGGAACGACATAGCGAGGCCAAGCTGTGATTGGCCAAGAAGCAGCAGTTGCTCATACTAACCAGATGAGGGATGTTTGGTCTTTTTAGTGGTTTGGACGATGTTCTTGTTTTGGTCTGTGTTTGGACATGATTATGGGGTGAATGGTCTTGTTTTTCTCTCACTCCATCTTGGTCATAAGGCGGCCTTGCCTGATCAGGGGTTCTGTGAAATGCTTATGCTCCATGGCAGATCCTCCCAGCCCCACTGTGAGTGCCAGGCCAGCTCTCGGCGCTCAGGGGCTGCCTTCATCTTTCTCAAAATGCTGCTGTGCTTTGCAGCCCATAATAGCATTTTACTGGATGCCATTCATTATTTTTTGTAAATGAAATTCTTTCCAAGTGTTCCAATTTACTTGGCTATATATGTGCATGTGTGCACACACGCGTACTTAATTCCGTACATGGAGCACACTGCTCAGTTGTGAAAATGGGTGATTTTCTTTCTTTTTTTTTTTTGAGATGGCATCTTGCTCTGTCGCCCAGGCTGGAGTGCACTGGCGCGATCTCAGCTCTCTGCAACCTCCGCCTCCCGGGTTCAAGTGATTCTCCTGCCTCAGCCTCCTGAGTAGCTGGGATTACAGGCGCCCACCACGACGCCCAGCTAATTTTTATATTTTTAATAGAGACAGGGTTTCATCATGTTGGCCAGGATGGTCTCAATCTCTTGACCTCGTGATCCGCCCGCCTCGGTCTCCCAAAGTGCTGGGATTACAGGCGTGAGCCACCGCGCCCAGCTGTGATTTTCATTTTAAGTTTCTTCTATTTGCTTTTATAAATATTTCACATTTTCTGTGGTGCAAATAGGATAGTTGCTACTTTTGAAACCGTAAGTTCACTCCCAACAAGCACTGTTAAGTTTATAAATAAAAATGAATAAGATATGATCCCTGTCCTCATACATAATGACCACAATGCCCTATGAAAATGACAGTAAGGGAGATGTCAGGGGATTCCGGGAAGCAAGAGAAGCGGTTTGGGAGGGTGCCCCAGAGCAGGTGCCATTGGAACTGAGTAGTGAAGATGCCTTAGCCAGGAGATGGAGGCAGTTGGGCACAAGGTCTGCAAGGTCCAGGTTGGCATTCAAGGGTTCAGGTGTCATGTGGATAAGACTTTCCAGGGAGCACGTGTGGTATGAGAATGAAGGCCCCTGAGGAACTTCAGTATCTAAAGGGCAGAAGAGGAGTCTATGAAGGAGACCACATTCATTCAACAAACATTTATTGAGGGCCTACTGTGGCCAGGAACTGTGCTAGGCCCTTGGGATTCAACAGTGATCTAAAAGACAAAGTCCCCTACCCTCAAGAAGCTTACATTTCAGTATGGGAGATGGAATAATAAACTACAAACAATTACGTGGCCTGTGAGAAAGTGGCAAGTACTACAAAAAATAAAAAATAGAGCAGGCTAAGAGGGTGAGGAGTGTGCGGGCAGGGAGGAGGCAGGTCATGGTTTTAAGTGGGGTGGGTCCAGGGAGGCCTCGTTAAGGAACGGATGTTTGATAAAGGACTAGGGTAAGAGTGTTTCAGGCTAGTCAACAGCACGAGCAAAGGCCCTGAGGCAGAGGGGCTGGAAACAGAGAAGAAAAGAGTGAAAAAGGACTGGGCATGGTGGCTCATGTCTGTAATCCCAGCACTTTGGGAGGCTGAGACAGGTGGATCACTTGAGGTCAGGAGTTTGAGACCAGCCTGGCCAACATGGTGAAACCCCGTCTCTACTAAAAATACAAAAATTAGCCAGGCATGGTGGTGCATGCCTGTAATCCCAGTTACTTGGAAGGCTGAGGCAGGAGAATCATTTGAACCCAGGAGGCAGAGGCTGCAGTGAGCCTAGACTGCACCACTGCACTCTAGCCTGGGTGACAGAGAAAACAATGGACAAAGAGATTAGCCAGCAAATCCCTCCTGCACACTTTCAGGGCAAAGTTTAGGTGATATAAATGTCCCTGAAATGAGAAAAACCATGACTTTCATTTGATTTTAATGTGAGGGAGAAACATAAACTAGTAGTTTTACAAAAAGAAAAAGAAATATAATATTCAAGTAGATTTCAAGCAACAGCAGATATGCTGAATTTATTTGATAACTGTCTTCTTTTTCTCTGTCAGCAGAGTCTCATGCAATTTTAAAAGGAAATTCGATGAAACGAACACCCATCAACATCTTTAATAGCTGCAAGCAATGTGGAGCAAATTTTTTGTCTTATTTAATGTGGTCATCACCATAACCCAGTAAAGACAATATCATCATTGCTCCCATTTTGTAGACAGGGAAACTGAATCCAGGATAAATAATGTAGCTTGCATGACACCAATCTTCCTCAAGTCTGAGCCAGAATTTATATCTCCCATTTCTCAACCTCATCTCTCAAGCCTATAATCTTTCAGTTATAAGAAGGGAAACACTTGAGGGTGTATCAGTTTGTGTTTTGTTCATAGTGTTTATATGCTCTCAATCAAGGACTGTTTATTAAAAAATTTTAGGAGGTGGTAGTCAAAAAGTGTCTCTGGCTGCAGTACTGGGGACAGACTGCAGGGGTGAGTTCAGCGAGTCTAGTTCAGAGGCTGTGGATCAAACAGGTGGGGTGGCCCAGACCAGGAGAGTAGCCAAAAGGGGACTAAGGAAGGGAGGCCAAAGGGAGGCCACAAACGCAGGAGAGGATGAAGGTGCTGAAGCTAGAGGCCATTCAGGAAGGAAGGAATGACGGGGCAAGGGGTCAGAAATTTCTAGAAGAATCTAGTAAGATGGAAACCTAACAGTCCTACTGGGATTTGGCAACTGGGAGGAAGCTGGCTCTGTGCAGGAAAGAAGGGGGCACCGCTGTGCGGACGCCAGACTGCGAAGGGCTGCAGAAGGAGCCGAAAGGGGAAGAAACGGACGCAGGTAGGGGTGGCTGCTGTTAAAGCCGCTTCCCGGGGAGGCCAAGGACATCCACAGCTGAAGTGCTCAGGACCATCCACAGCTGAAGTGCTCAGACACTGCGTTTTCTTTATCTCAGAGAGGCTGTGTGACTTGCCCACGTATGAGTACAGTGGCTAAATCACAAGCCCTGGAGTCAAGGGTTTAGGTTGATCCAGCCCCCACTACTCACTGGTGGCTGTCAGCAAGCTACTCGCTGTGCCTCAGTTTCCCCATCTATCAAGTAGACAGCACTGCCTTACAGATGGTTGTGGGGATCAGAGGGGAGGGGACAGCTGGCGGATTTAGCAGAGTACGTGGCACAGAGGAAACACTAAATATGCTTCTTCAGCTCCTTATCAAGGTTAGGCCTCCACAAAGGGTGGAGCAGGGAAGAGAAGGCCTCACCGGGCAGACCTATCTTGGAGAAGATACAAGCAATGGTGCTGAAGTTTCACAACAGTGTCAACCCCCTCCCTCATGTGTGTACTCACAGCTACTCACTTTCCTACTCTGTGCCAGCCATGAGGTGTAGTCACTGTGCCAGGGGGCTGAGTGTCCGGCCTGGGACGTGAGAGGGCATGGGCTCACCTGCTCAGGGTTTGAATGAGACCCCGGTAACCGCAGCAGTAAAGACCCCTCAAATGCCATCTCTAAATTAAAATGGGTGATCAGAAAATAGCAGGTGAACGATAGTGCCCTCACTGCCCACAGAAGTGCCTTCAGTCAGATTTAGCGCTCCATCTTCTGCCTTTCTGAAGGGACAGTGGAAGCATCCATTTGAAGACTCTTCCTGTGTCTTCTGCAAAACCAAAGAAAAGCCATCACTGCCGATGTCTCTCTTTAAAGATCTGTTAGGCTAGGCACGGTGGCTTATGCCTGTCATGCCAGCACTTTGGGAGGCCAAGGCAGGGGGATTGCTTGAGGCCAGGAGTTTGGGACCAGCCTGGGCAACATGGTGAGACTCCATCCCTAGAAACAATTAAAAACAAACAAACAAACAAACAAACAAAAGCAAGCTGGGCATGGTGGCTCACACCTGTAGTTCCAGCTACTCAGGAGGCTGAGGCAGGATTGTTTGAGCCCAGGAGGTCAAGGCTGGAGTGAGCTGTGATTCTACCACTGCACTCCAGCCTGGGCAACAGAGTGAGACCCTGTCTCTACATAAATCAGTAAGATCCATCTGTGCAATTCCTTCCTCCTAGAATTCAGAATCTGAGGTGCTGGTTTCCTGAGGACACTTGTGACTTGCTGCCTTTTATTGAACTCTGAGTGCCCTATTGCCCAGTTTGAGTGTTCCAATGGGAAGTGCAGAGCCACCGTGGCCATTCATTGCTGTAGAGCTGCGCCCCAGTACCTGATACATCCCTCACCCTTTTCCAATTGATTTTTAGCTTCCTTCATCCCTCCCTCTTTCCCTTGTCCTCTTCGTGTCCACAGGAAGCCTGTTGGGAGCCTGCTATGGCAAGTGCTGTGCTAGGACACGGTCCTGCACTCTTAGAGTTTGTGGTTCAGTTATTCCAGTTTCAGCACTTACATTCATTCAAATGCTTTGTGGAAGCAAGCTGGCTTTTAGTCACCAGCAATAGCAATTTCTGAAAATCACCAAGCCACACCAAATATATGAAATATCTTTCTCTAAGGTGGTCTTTAAAATTTGGGCTGACTCTCCTCCCTCTAGGAATGTTCTGATGAGTTTCAGTCTGAAGGCAGGGAGATGGTCTCGGTGACCTCCTGGGCCCCTGTTCTGCACTGAACTGTATGCCCATACATTCATAGGTTGAGATCGTAACACTCCAGTACCTCAGAATGTTACTGCATTGGTAGAAAGGCTTTTTAAAAAAGGGAATCAAGGTAAAACGAGGCCATTAGGGTGAGCCCTAATCCAATATGGCTGGTGTCCTCACAGGAAGAGTGTATTAAGATACAGACATACACAAGGAAAACCACGTGAAGATATGGAGAAGGTGGTTGTCTGCAAGCCAAGGAGAGAGTCCTCAGGAGAAACCAACCCTGCCAGCCCCTTGATCTTAGACTTCTGGCCTCCAGAATTGTGAGAAAATACATTTCCATTGTTTAAGTCCCCCAGTCCGTGGTACTTTGTTATGGCAGCCGGAAGGAGACTGGGGCCGCCTGTTTGCTTGGCTGCAGAAGCCCCACGTGGCTGCACCCTGGCTCATTCTGTTTTCTGTAGCAGCAGCAGCAGCAGCAGCGGCAGCAGGGAGCCCAGGATGCAAAGCTTGGTTTCTGAGCCCTGATCAGGAGGCTGTGTTTATATTTATCCTGCTAACTGCAGGGGACTGTTTATTCCCAGAGAAATAACCTCCTGGGCAGGATAGGGGCAGCCAAGGAACCAGCTGCTTCCATCAGGCCTGCTGGGCTCCTCCAGGTTCTCATCATACCACTTCTGTCGAGGCTCTCTCTGACGCAGCTCTCCTCACTCCACACCAGGCTTGGGCCCAGGGGCACAGCCTGGTCTTCCTGAGGATGCTCAGACGCAGGGACCGACTGCTCCTCACAAGCACCCTGGCACATGCACAGCCCAGGGACTGGAGCCTTCGCAAACAAGTCACAGTCCTAGTCTGAGATTCAGTGCAACACTAGGCGCTTAGTAGATGCTCAGTAAACAGAACAACAAGGATTTTCTTTTTTAGTTTTAAAACATTAGTCTACCCATGCCTTGATAAACTGTAAAATGCCTCTGCCACCCATTCTCCCTTCTTGCTCCCTTTCATGGGAGCTCTGAGGGGAAGGTCTCTGGGGTGGGTTCCAGCAACCCTGGGCCTGTTCTGGGGTCCTGCAGCCAGGTTGGGCTTTCAGGAGCCTATATTTCATCTGGGCCCCAGTCACACTACATAGATTTTTGTTTTATCACAGAAATCACTGCCACACTGTGACCCTTAAGGTCCTCAGCAGGGATGGCGCGAGGTGAGAGTATCAAAGCCAGGTGAGAGCACTCAGATGGCTTCTGCCTTTGAACGTGTGAGAAGCTCACTCATGCACAGCGACAAGCAAGAAAGACATGGGAAACTGACAGGTTTTCATCACTGGCTAGTGAAAACACATTTTATACTTCTGGGCCAACAAATACTTGGGTCAATTCACACATTGGCTTGAGAATGAGTTCTTTTTCTTTTTCTTTATTTATTTAGAGATGGGGTCTCACTGTGTTGCCAAGCCTGGAGTGCAGTGGCTACTCACAGGCACAATCATAACGCGCTACAGCCTCAAACCTCTGAGCTCAAGAGATCCTCCCACCTCAGCCTCCGAGTAGCTGGGACTGTAGGTGTGCACTACTGTGCTTGGCCAACGTGTTCTTTTTTGAGGTGGGAACTTTAATTTACTTGAGCAGATGTATCAACGTAGCTGTGAATAAGGAGCTACCAGGGCATTAGACTGCAGACTCTGACACAACCACCGTCACCACAATAAATAGCAACAACCACCACCACAACAAGCACAGACACCTACATTTTTTTTTTTTTTTTTAGCTTTGATTACTACACTGTGTTGCTTTCCTCACTGAGGCTTATGTGGGGTTTTCTGGTTTTAGGAATCATTTTCACACACGGTTTATTTACATTTCTTCACAACCACCTAGTGAGGTAAGCATTATCCTCGGTTTTTAGATGCACAATCTGAGGCTCAGAAAAGTGCAGTGTGAGGTCACTTTGTGAATAAGTCATAGAGGTAATGTCAGAATTTGGGTCAGAGACTCCACAAGGGCTGACCCTCCTTGCGGTTCTCTGAAGACACTGTAGAAACCCGTGGGAAGCTCTGCTGTATTGCTGGGTGCTCCTGTTCTGTGGCAAGACAACCTAGAAGGTGATAGGGGGTCTTCTCCGAGACATGTGCTCTGCTGGCTCTTTGGCAGAAAGGGCAGAGTCGGGGATCAGGACGGTCATGCAGGCTGGCACTGCCCAGGGGCTGATCTTCCAGGAGCTGGGCTAGCAAGCTCGGGATGGGGGATGGGTCATTCCCTCCTTCTCCCCACTGTCACTATAATTCTGGAGATCTGTAAAAGGATGTTTAACATGTTTAAAGTCTTTGTTTCCCATCCTTCTGCCAAGGATTGAGACATCGCCCACCCAGCTTCAATCCTCATAGCTACTTCTGCCACTGATGGGAGGAGGATTGAGGTTCTTTCTACCAAGGAGCCAGGAGGATGGCTGTCACTGCTCCTGGAAGCAGGGACTCCCAGATGTGGGGATAAGTACGCAGGGCCTGCCTTCCCTCCACTCTTGGTGGCTTCCAAAGGCCAACATTCTAGAAAGCCAACCACCCATGTCTCCTCTCTTTCTATTGGAGTGACTCTGCTGCTTCAACAGAGTATTAAAAACAAAGACAGCCTTCCACCCTGACGTCAGACACACAGACACACGAGCACGAGCATCTTGTACTACCCTGTGCCCCCATTCCCCATCAGCATACACGTGGTGTTTCGGGGATAAAGCTACACCAAAGGAACCCTCCCATACAGGCTTGGTACAGTCTCAGCCTGTAACGCTTCCCTTTCGAAGAGCTGTCCCTCCAGCAAGGCCTCATAACCCAGGGAACCCCTGGCATCTCTGCCGAGGGCATAAACCATATTAGCTCTGAATCATAAAGAATGTTTACTGAGAACCACATTTGGGAAGACCTTTCTCTTTCAAACCCTTTCTTCCCAGGCCCCCAGTGATGGCTAACACCATTGTTCGCAGCGTTCCTACTGAA
This sequence comes from Homo sapiens, assembly GCF_000001405.40. Taxonomy (NCBI): domain Eukaryota; kingdom Metazoa; phylum Chordata; class Mammalia; order Primates; family Hominidae; genus Homo; species Homo sapiens. Next base: position 47,544,500 of record NC_000002.12, read on the forward strand.
ACACATTGGTCGTGTGTACTTTCTTGTCTAACTCATAGATTGCAAAAGCTATAATTTCATGGGATTTGTTTTAAGCGCCCTTTTCTGGCAGATGTAGGCTCAGTATGAGCACTCTGTAATTTTCCAGCCTCCTAAATGGCCCCCTGGCAGCTTACATACCACATGGTGTAACCCACCCTTTTCCTATCCTGCAGACAACCCAATTACTCACACAGTCTTCACCAGGGCCCTCCTAGGTGGGTCCCCCAGGCTAGGTCCTGTGGGGGATGCAGTTGCACTTATAACAAACCATGGCACATCCTTTCTGAGGAATACTATGCATCCAACAAGAGGGATGCTTAGAAAGTTGATTCTGACATCACATACCAATACACAAAAACAAAACCCAAAATTCATCCAGAAAATAGACTCAAGGACAAAAAAATCCCTGGAGTACTATTTTAGTGGTGAAGCTAAAGGCTTTTTTTCCCTGTCACTTTTTTTGAGCTTCTCTCTTTTTCAAATGTTCTATAAGAAGTATCTGTTATTCGAGTGAATTAAAGACCACTCGTTTTGTCATTATTTTTAAAGGCAGAGTCTCACCGTCTGGGTGGGGAGGGAAGTCATACACAAGAGAGGAGATGGCAAGGTGCTAGGAGGTTAGATCATCACTGGCAGAAGGCAAATGAAGGAGGAGGCTCCATGAAGCCTGGATGATGAAGGTGGGCTCTGAAGAGGGAGTGGGCCTTAGATACATGAAGGGTAAAGGACAGGCAGGGATGCTCCAGGCAGGGAGAATGCTATGAATGAAGACTGGAGGGACAGTTCAGGGTCTTGCTGACTAGTTTGGCTGGAGGAAAGGCTGCAGTGAGGGTAGCATTAGCCACACTTGGGCTTGGAAAGGCTGGGGACCACTGAAATGCAAAGTAGCTTCCCCTGAAAGAAACCAGGGAGGCTGCTGTCAGAGAGTGGACCCTTTGGGAAGCCTGGATACAGATGGATGTCTTTTCCCAATTCAGTCATTTATAAGTAGCTCATATGTCTCTCAATTCCTCATCATTTTCGCAGCACCAACTTTGTGGGGGAGTAGGGGGACTAGCTGTGGAGTCAGGGACACCTGGGCTAGAATCTCAGCTCTGTCACTTGCTGGCTCTTTGATCTGAGAAAGCCATTGAGCCTCTTTTTGCCTCAATTTCCTCATCTGTAAATGAGATGTGAGCTGTGCTCACCTCCACAGGATGCTGATGAGGATTAAATGAGAAGAAGTGTGTAAAATGCTCAGCATAGTGCTAATAGCATGACCACCTCAAAATGCAAGCCATTTGTGCTAACTGATGGACAGCAAGGAACAGAATTTCTAAAGAGAGTAGATAAGAAAAAAATAGAGAAGAGGAGGTCATGGAATATAAAGCCGAGACTGAATTGCACTTAACTTCTTTTTTTTTTTTTTCTCAAATAATTTGCTCAGGGCTGGGGCAGCCAGTATCATCTACATGCTCTCTCCCTCAGGGAGGAACCCATCCAACACTAAACTTCCAGAGAAAGAGGCAACTATGGACAGGGAAAAGCTGTAAATGAAGCAAGTGTCATAAGTTCTTCAGTAACACCCTCTCTCTTATTCAAAAACTTCCAGTGGCTTCCTAGGGTCTAGAACTGTGAGTCCCAATGATCAGGCTTGGAATCCTTTGGGAACTCTGCAGTTATTGCAAAGGCATATCAATCTACTTGGTCACCAATTGTTGTTTGCAACCTTAACTTTCTCCTACATGGTTATGCTATTACTTTCCAAAAATATGTAAATGGTTTTCTGATGAAGATGCACTTAAAAGTGCTACTGAATTAATTCAGAGGACTTTGTGTGTCAATATGCATTTTCCCTATTAATTAACGGATACTGAAAGTACATGTAACTTCCATCATACAGGTGCTGTGAAACTATTCCTCGCATTTAAAGCGATTCTCATGTTTAAAAAGTTGGAAGCAGCCTAAGCAAAATGGCAAAGCCCCATCTCTACAAAAACTACAAAAATTAGACAGGTGTGGTAGCGAGCACCTATAGTCCCAGATACTGGGGAGGCTGAGGTGGGAGGATCTTTTGAGCCAGGGAGGTTGAGGCTGCAGTAAGCTGTGATCATGCCACTGCACTCCAGCCTGGGTGACAGAGAGAGACTCTCAGTGTCAAAAAAATAGTTGGGAGACTTCTGGTTCAAGATGATTATTTAATTACCTCAATTTACCTACTCTCCCTCTTAAGATCCTATTTAAATGATGGTAAAAGGACATAAAGGTGTAAACTAGCAATAACACAGGGAATGGGCAGAGGGTTTACAGTGGAAGGGCCCGAGAAGTTTCAACATGCTTGTGCAAGATGGACAGCTTGAGAGAGCTGTAACTGATGAAGGCAGGTGGAGAAACCCACAGCTCAGAGGGAGTACAGCTGAGAAGGGGAGGGAGGGAGGGGAACTGCCCTGAAGAACCCTGGAGAGACTTGGGTGTGGGAAAGGCCATATAGATAATGGGTAGCTGCCCACCCTCTGCCCCAAAAAGAAAGCCCGCAGTCCACAAGCCCCACCTATGCACACTGAGTTTCCAGTCCAATTTTCTATTTTTAATTCTTAAATGTGAGTGGACAGCCACAGTTCAGACATTTGAGGAAAGCCTGTAAGCCCTCTCTTGCAGCTCCTCCTAGCTTAGCCTCCTTCATCTTCAAGGGCACTGCGGCTCAATCTTCAGATCTCTTCTTTTCTGGCTCCCACGAACACGCCCTGGGACTCTGTGGTTCTAACCTTGACAGCAACTGAAATTACTCTCATGAGGAGTTTTACAAAATGCTAATTCATAAGCCCCCACTTCCAGAGAGAATGATACAGTTGGTTAGGGCACAACCTGGGCATCAAGGCTTAAAAACTCCCAGGTAATTTTAATATGCAGCCAGGGTTGAGAACCACTCTCCTAGGTGATCTTTTCTTTTTCTTTTTGCGTCTGGGTCTGGCTCTATTGCCCAGGCTGGAGTGCAATGGCACGATCATAGCTCACTGCATCCTTGAATTCCTGGCCTCAAGTGATCCTCCCACCTCAGCTTCCAGAGCCCCCTAGCTGACATTGGCAGGGCTTTATTTATTTATTTATTTACTTTTGAGATGGAGTCTCATTCTGTCACCCAGGCTGGAGTGCAGTACCATGATCTTGACTCACAGCAACCTCTGCCTCCCTGTTTCAAGCGAGTCTCCTGCCTCAGCCTCCCAAATAGCTGGGATTAGAGGCATCTGCCACCATACTTGGCGAATTTTTATATTTTTAGTAGAGAGGGGGTTTCACCGTGTTGGCCAGGCTGGTCTCGAACTCCTACCACATATAAGTGGTTCTCACTCCTGGCTACATATTAGAGTTGATATGGTTTGGATTTGTGTCCCTGCCCAAATCTCATGTTGAATTATAATCCCCAATGTTGGAGGAGGGGCGTGGTGGGAAGTGATTGGAACATGGGGGTGGATTTCCCCCTTGCCGTTCTCATGATAGTAAGTTCTCATGAGATCTGGTTGTTTAAAAGTGTGTAGCACCTTCCCCTTTGCTCTCTTCCTCCTGCTCCAGCCATGAAGGACGTGTCTGCTTCCTCTTTGCCTTCTGACATGATTGTAAGTTCCCTGAGGCCTCTCCTGCCAAGCTTCCTGTAGCTTGCAGAACCGTAAGCCAATTAATCTTCTTTTCTTTATAAATTACCCACTCTCAGGTATCTTCTTCAGTGATGATAACATTGCTTTAGCCAGGGTTAAGAACCAGTGGTCTATAGGCTGGCAAATCCCAAATTTGTATCTCAAACCCAACCTGTCCCTTGAGTTCTAGACTGGCCTATCCACTATCTAACTGGCACCCGGCTTGGAAGTGGAAAAGTCATTTCAGAATTAACATTTCCAAAACCAAGCTCTTGATTCTCCCTCCCAACCAGCCCCTCCTTGATTCCACTTCAGCCTTCCCTATCTCAGTAAATGGCAAATCCATCCTTGCAGTTGCTAAGGGCAAAAGTCTTAGAGCCCTTTTTTATTCTTTTGCTTTCTCTCACACCCTACATCTGATCCAGGAACAAATCGTGCCACCCTACTGTCAACACTTATCCAGATTCTACACACTGACTTTCGCTTCAGGCCACGAGGGCGTAGCTGAATCCAGACTTCCCTCCCACCATAATCAACCAGGAAACCGGAAAAAGTCTATGAGATAATTATTTTCAGACATTGGAAAAAAGGTAGTTCAGGATTATGGTCCCTGAGAGAAGGGAAACAAACAAGGTGAGCCCTTCAAAAGCCCTGGTTTTTGCCTGGTGGCAGCTTTCAGACAGCCATGGGAGTGGAGAGATCCAGACAGAGCCCAGAACTCTTGCTGAATTGAGGGGAGAGAAATTCAGGTTCAGGGAGGATAAAGCAGCTGTCACTGCTTAACTGCTGTAACTACTGTGGAGCACTGGAGAGGAAGGAACCATCAAGAAAAAGGACTCCAGAAATCTACTAGGGGTCCCTCTTTGTTACTCGCAAAGGTCTGAATAACAATCTGTGCAGGTACAGGGTAAAACCTAGAAAAAAATAAGACCAAGGAAAACAACTTCCAGGAAATCACAATTTCCAGAGAGCTGTAAACCAAACAATTTCCAGAGCCCTCACAAAGCCAGGAATCACCTGAGTTCCTATCAGTCAAAGGAGGAAAGGTTTCACTGAATCCACAAGGCATTCAGTAGAGACCCCAAAAAGGTTATTCTTTAATAGTGTGGCTCATCTAGTCCCAGAGAAAAGACTCCTTTAGACCTGCCTTTAAAAAGCTTAAAAACAAGTCTGGAAAATATCAACTGATCTATAAAGAACTGTCTGGCAGAACAAAGTCCAACCCTGCTTGAAAGAGTACAAAACAATCAAGCATCAACAATGTAAAATTCATGATGTTCTGATCTCTAATAAAAAATCAGATATGCAAAGAAGCAGGAAGATGTGACCCAGAAATAAGAGAAAAATAGTCAATAGAAACAGACCCAGAAATGCCAGAGATTATGGAATTAGCAAAGGCATTTAAATACCTGTTAAAATATGTAAAATATGCTCAAGATTTAAAGGAGAAACATAATGATGAGAAAAATGGGAAAAATTTTTTTAAAACCAAGTAGAATATCTCGAGATGAAAAATATAGGGGGCTGGGTGCGGTGGCTCACGCCTGTAATCCCAGCACTTTGGGAGGCCAAGATGGGCGGATCACGAGGTCAGGAGTTCGAGACCAGCCTGGCCAAAATGGTGAAACCCCGTCTCTACTAAAAATACAAAAATTAGCCAGGCGCAGTGGCGGGCGCCTGTAATTCTAGCTACTCAGGAGGCTGAGGCAGGAGAATTGCTTGAACCCAGGAGGCAGAGGTTGCAGTGAGCTGAGATCGCACCACTGCACTCCAGCCTGGGTGACTGAGCAAGACTCCACCTCGAAAAAAAAAAAAAGGAAAAATATCATGTCTGAAATGAAAAATTCACTGAATAGAGTTAACAACATACTAAAGACTGCTGAAAAAGGTTGAACTTGAAGACATAGCAATAGAACTATTCAAAATAAAGCACTGTAACCAAAAAAAGACTGAAAAGAGCCTCAGCTACCTGCAGAACAATGTAAATTAAGACTAACATATGTGCAGTTGGAGTTCAAAAAGAGAGGATAGGGTAGCAAAAATAATATTTGAAGCAATAATGTCAATCTTTCCAAATTTGAGAAAATTTATAAACACGCAGATCCAAGGAGCTCTATAAACACAAAGGAAACTACACAAAGGCACATCAAAATCAACTTGTTGAAAGTCAGGAATGAAGAGAAATCTTAACAGCAGCCAAAGAAAGGAGGCACAATTACTTACAGATAGAGAAAAATATTCACAGACTTTTTTTTTTTTTTTTTTTTTTGAGATGGAGTCTTGCTCTGTCACCCAGGCTGGAGTGCAGTGGCATGATCTTGGCTCTCTGCAACCTCTGCCTCCCGGGTTCAAGTGATTCTCCTGCCTCAGCCTCCCGAGTAGCTGGGATTACAAGCGTGTCCCACCATGCCCGGCTAATTTTTGTACTTTTAGTAGAGACAGGGTTTCACCATGCTGGCCAGGCTGGTCTCAAACTCCTGACCTCAAGTGACCCACCCGCCTCGGCCTCCCAAAGTGTTGGGATTACAGGTGTGAGCCACCACACCTGGCCACAGACGTCTTATCAGAAACTATGCAAGCCAGAAAACAATCTTTAAGGTGCTAAAAGAAACAGGAAAACAAAACAATGAAAAAAACCCCACACTTCAGTAAATATGCATTTCTTTTCTGAAAGATATAATCACTTCTCACTGCCTCCACCAAACATGCCCCGGTCCAAATCATCATCATCTCTCACCTGGAATATTTCAAAAGCCTGCTAATGAGTCCCCACACTTCTATATTTCCCCCGTACAGTTTTTTTTGAACAGCAATGAGTGGTCTTAGAAATCAGATCATGTTATGCCTCTTTTGTCTCCCTGCTTTTTTTAACCTAAGTTTTGCCTCAGGATCTAATCATGCTTCTTCTCAAAATCCTCCCGTGGCTCCCCATTTCACTCAGAGTAAAACCCAAAGGTCTTGCCGTGGCCTGGAGACCCTGCATGACCTAGTCTCTGGCTACTGCTCTGAGCTCACATTCTAACTCCCACTTGCCCCTCCTCCAAACACTATTCCAGACACACTGGCTTCCTTGCGGCTCCTCCAGCAAACCCTGCAAGCTCCTCCTAAGGGACCCTGGCACTGGCTGGAGCCCTCTTCCTCCAGGCAGCCACATGGCTCACTCCCTTACCTCATTCCAAGCCTCCACTCAGGGGTCACATCATCCAAGAGACCCTTTCAGACCACCCTACTTCCATCACTTTATTCTTACCCTGGTTTTGTTCTTTTTGCAGCATTTACCACCACCTGACATTTATTTGTATGTTTATTTTCTATCTCCCCCAACTAGAATGTTAGCTCCATAAGCTAGGGACTTTGTCTACTTGTTCACTGCTGTATCCCTGGGGATTTTCAGTTGCTGGCACATAGTGGAGCGCTCAAGAAATATTTGTTGAATAAATGGATCAATGGGAATCATGTTTTCTGGATGCCAAATTAGAATACAGGGCCTGCTAACTGTTCTGGAAAGTATGACGTGTGAAATCAGTATTACCCCCTACCCCACACGGCACCATATTTTTCTGGAGCTCTCCAGTTCTAGACTCGTTGACACATAAAAATATTTTGGTGCTAGTCCTGGGGAAGGCAGATTATTGGTTTAAGATTCAGTTCTAGCCACAGGCTGCACTGTGCATAAATCTAGGGGACTACATGGAGTTCTGAATGACATGTGTCTCACTACAGTGGCATTACAGAGAAAGCCTGGAAACATTACAAGGGAGTAGAGCCAGGGCCTTGTAGATACTGGCTCATTCAATCCTGCAACCCAGAGGAGCTGGGCCTCCTCCTGAAGGGCCTGCATCACCTCCTTCCTTCTTGTTTGGCCCTGGGGACGACCGGTGGTGGGGAGGTGGGGGGAAGGTCAGGAACTGAGATAGAATTTATCAGCGTGCTGGCTCCGAGTCTGCAGCTAGGATGCCCTTTAGCCACAAACAGCTATAAAAGAATAAGCTTTATGGAAAAACATTAAAAAAGAAATAAAGCAAGAATGTAGATGGAAGTGAAGGGGACTCTAGGGACAAAAATGCTATGAATTAAGGTCATTGCCACACACCAACCTCTGCTGCACCCCCGCCTCCACCAATGGTAGTGCCTTTCCCACCTGCAGGGCACAGGGGGCTGCCCTCAGCAATCTCCGAGCAGTGAGGGGAGGGCTGCCCTGCTGAGCCCAGCTTTGGAGGAGGGGTATCCTCCTCCAGCCTCAGCCTGCTTCATTCCCCACTTCCTTTGTGGCTGCAGCATCTTCAACTGCCTTCCCCCCATTATGAGACATGCCCACAAATCTCCAGATGCATTGTTAGAAACCCTGGGGCCCTGTAGAGCCTGGCGGCTCATGCCTGTAATCCCAACACTTTGGGAGGCTAAAGTGGACAGATTACTTGAGTCCAGGAGTTCGAGACCATCCTGGCCAACATGGTGAAACCCCATCTCTACTAAAAATACAAAAATTAGCTGGGCATGGTGGTGCATGTCTGTAATCCCAGCTACTCAGGAGGCTGAGGCACAAGAACCACTTGAACCCAGGAGGCAGAGGTTGCAGTGAGCAGGGATCGCACCACTCCACTCCAGCCTGGATGACAGAGTGAGACTCTGGCTCCAAAAAAAAGAAAAAAAAAGGAAAGAAATCCCCAGGCCCACGGTCAGCCCCTTTGCCTAGATCTTCCTGTGTGGGCATGATGTCAAGAAATGAGGGGGGAATGGAGAGCAAGAAGACCCAAGATCAGCAGAGGTCTTGTTGAGTCTTGTTGAGTGCCGATAACCAAATTCTGTCTTTGGCTCCTGAAAATATCTCTTACCCCTTTTCTTTTGCTCCTTTCCAAAGGCCACATGATCCCCCAGTTCCTATCCCTAGTCCCCTCTACCCAATTCATCCTGCCACAAATATTCAGCATCCTGGGCTGCCATATAAACAAATGAACAAACATTTACTGGTTCTCAGGCTATGCAAGGGTCCTCCCCATGACCCTGTGAGGTAGACCTCATTGCAAGAGTATATAGCTCTTCAGTCCAATGTGACGAATTCTGCTCTTTGTTTAAAGTGTGAACACCAGTAGCTATAAAATAAAATTATAACGCATAGATTATGAACCACTTAGAGCGCGTAAAGAAACAAGTCATGTTGGCAGTCCTCTTGAATAAGTTTGGAATCATATAGCAGTTCAGAGCTGAATATACAAACTAAGCACATATTCCTCAGTGATTTATCACTGATAGAGATATATAAGCTGTTTTTTTTGGTGGGGTGGGGGGGCACCCAGGATCTCACTCTGTCACCCAGGCAGAAGTACAGTGGTAAGCTCTTGATAAAGTGAGGGGACAGTTGATAATGGCCTGATTTAATGTTTGAGGTGAACAGCCAAAACAAGGGACTTCACAATTATCTGGTTGTTTGAAGGTAGTTCTAGAGACTAACAGTTTAGACTAACGAGGTTGCCTGACTTAACGGCATAACTATATAGTGACTAAAGTGCCAGAATCTTCTTCTAAAATAGTCATGATCACATTACACCCCTGTTCAAGAACTCCAGTGGTTTCCTGTTGCCCCCATACCAAGTTTAAATGTTTCCACCTGGCTTTCAAAGCCCTCCAATATGACCTTAACCTATTGAAGCAGTTTCACCTGTCATTGTTCCTTAACTTGCTTAAGGCAGGCTGGTCCTGACCTCACTCACACTGTTCTTTCAAACCTGCCTACCCTGCAACCTGAGAGGTGGCATCAGACATACTGGAAAGAACAAAAGATCTGGGGTCAGAGAACTCAGCTCAGGGTTTAGCTTTGCCACTTACATGTGAACTCAGCCAGATTATCTATTAATAAAAATATAAGCCCACATTAAAGTGCTTATGAAATACCAGGGCCAGACTAAGTACCTGCATTCATTGTCTCATATAATTCTCCCAACCACCACATGATACAGGTGTTATTATGATTCCCATTTTATAAATGTTAAAATGGAAGCTTTGGAAGTTCATCTATTCAACAAACACAAGGTACTGTGCTAGGCAATGGGAATATAATAGTGGACAAGAGAGACAAGAACCCTGTTCTCATGGAGCAGGGAGTGAGCAGAGGTCAGGGAACAAACAAACACATAAACACGTTATTTGCTCATGAACAGGATGATTTCCAAAAACGGTACATGTTCTAAGGACAATAAGGCAGAATAGTGTGAGGGACAGTGACTAGGGGTTAGTGGGGGACACTACTGTAATCAGGGGGACCAGGGAAGGCTCCTCAAGGGTGACATTTTAGCTTTAGATATGAGGCTTGAATGTGGTTAAGAGAAGTCAGCCATGCCGTGACTCACAGAGCAGTGCGCCAGGCAGCAGGAACAGCAAGTGTTAAGTGCCCAGAAGTCTGATCTGGGTAAGTCCAGCGTGGCTGTAGTGCATTGAGTGAAGGGGAAAGCAGTGCCAGTGAGGCTAAGAGGGGTCAGGGCCAAATTATGCAGGGCCTTGAGTGTCATGGTGAAGAGTCAGATTTTTTGCAACAGGAAGTCACTGAAGGATTTCAAACAAGCAAAGGACTTGGCCTGACTTCCGCTTTTAAAGATCTCTTTGGCTGTGTGTGAAGAACAGGCTGTCAAGGAGCATAGAGAAAGCTGGGGGATTGGTTAGAACGCTAACTTAGTTGCCCCAGCAAGAAATGATGGTGACAGCTGGAGTAGACTGGTCGTGATGGGCAGCGAGACAAGTGGATGGAATCAGAATGTATTATGCGGATTGAGCTGACAAGAGTTGATGATGAATTGGATATGAAAGTTTAGGAAAAAAAGAGGAATCAGGACAACTCTTTATATGGATGACATTTATTGATATGAAGACTCATGGAGCAGTGTACCAAGGAGCAGGAACAGCTTGTGAGGGGAACAGTCAAGAGTGGGATATAGCAGGAATCAGGAGTTCTATTTTGGGCTTTTAAAAGTTTTGATACATATTGAATATCCATGTGGAGATGTCAAGTGGGCAGTTGGACCCATGGTTCTGAAGCTTAGTGTAGAAGATGGGTTATTCATCAATAGATAAATGGGTTTAAAGCCAAAGGGTGTGAGGGGGATCAGAGTATGCCATCCCCAAATATGTCACTTTAGCACAAGGATTGTTTTGAGCTGCAGGCAATTTGGAAGCAGCAGATGCAAAGAAAGCTCCTTATCCTCCCCTATCTGCCTAAAGGCAGGACATAAATTTCCCTTTGCCAAGGTGTCCTCCTTACCCTCTCTGTACTCTTAATCACTGGGGACCCCACTGTCACTCTAGAGATTTTACAAGATTGAGTCTGCATAACAAACCTTACTAAAACCAAAGCTTATTCTCCATTAGTTTCCCTCCTATATTTATCTTCCCATAATTTACCACTTCTAGAAGTCCAAACTCCTTTTATCTCATCATTACTTCACAATTTATCACTCTTTGTTAAAATGGTATACAACTTCTTTTTAGGTAATTCCTTTTCTATGAAGGCCTCCATATGTATATGCAATAAATCTTTTCTCCTATTAATCTGTCTTTTAATTCAGGGCCCTAGCGGCTGAAAATAAGAAAATGTAGGGGAAAAGCTTTTCCTCTACAGGTGAGAGATTGTTTGGAGACAGTCCAGAGTGAGGACTGAGCATGGGGCCCTCTCATACTGAAAGGTCACATAGAGATCCAGCAAAAAGGACCAAGGAAAGCAGCCAGTGAGGATCAAGGACAGCATGATGTTCTGGAAGCCAAGAGAAAAGAGGAGTTTGAGGATAAATGGTCAGCCATGTCAAATGTTGCTGAGATGCTGAGGACAGGCAAGTCATCACTGGATTTTTTTAGGAAGGGGGCCACTAGGGACCTTACAATAACGTAGTCACTGGAAAGGTGGGGCTGGACTCCTGATTGAGGTGGATCCAGGGGAGAAGGGCAGGTGAGGGAGAGGTTGACTACTCTTCTCAGAAGCTTTCCTGTAAAGGAGGGCAGAGAAATGGGAAAGTAGCAGGAGGGTGATGCAGGGTCTATTAAGAAGGAAGAATATACATGTTTGCATACCGATGGAGTATAAATTAACAATGCATGGGGAGTGGGTAATGACAGGAACTAAGCCCTGGAGGAAGTTAGAGGAAGTGAGACCCAGTGAAGCTGGCATTTGTAAGTGGGCACTTCATCCACTGCCACAGGAGAGAAAGCAGCTCCACATGGTGGGTGGATTTAGGGGTGTGAAGATTACTTCTGATTACTTTTATTACCTCAATGGAGTGTGAAAGAAAGGTAGTTAGCAGAGAGTGAGGGGAATGGGAGGCTAAAGATGGAAGAGGGAGGATAAGTGGTGGACACAGTAGGAAGTACAGTGGGATGTGGGGGGTGCTGCCAGTGTGGAGTGTCCAGCTGGTACTCAGGGTCACCAATTTAAAGTTGGACCAGTCAGCATCTCTGCATAGTTTGTTAGCCATATTCAGCTGCTTGAGGGCAGATGAAGAATACGTGGGAAGTTGGTATTTTGATAGGGGTACAACATAGGGAGAGAGGGGCAAGGAAGTTAAGGGTCTCTGAAAAGGGAATGAATCCAAGCTGAGTTAAAAAAGAAATGCAGGCTCAAAGAAGATGGTGGAAAAATAAGAGTGGGAGTGTAAAGGACCTGTAGGTCTTACAGCCAAAGGATTATGATCTCACCCAAACAGGGTGATATCAGAGGATGGGAGCTGGAAGCATGGGAGGTGGTGGTCAGAGGTGAGATGTTTAGAGTCAAAAACTTTGAAGGTAATGCAGTTACTAGTAATAGCAAGGACATACATAGATAGAACCAAATGACCTGCTGGGGTGGGATGGAAAGAAATATGGTTATAGATGAGATGGTTAAGGAGCCCAGTTCTTGGATGCATCATCTGTGGGAGGCTGGAGAAGGCTGGAGAGGAACTCAGTGAGGCAGACTTCAGTGAATGGGCAGGAGATGCATGCTGGCAACCCCAATGACAGAGCTTGCTATGGTTTGAATGTCTCCTCCAAAACTTACGTTGAAATCCAATGGCTATTGTAAGACTTTTAAGAGGTGAGAACTTTAAGAGGTGATTGGATCATGTGGGTTCTGTTCTCATGAATGGATTAATGTCATCATCACTGGAGTGGGTTGGTTATTGCGGGAGTGGGCTCCTGATAAAAGGATGAGTTTGGGCTGATTCTGTCCTGCACTTGCTCACCATGTGATGCCTTCCACATGGATGACTCTTGCCAGATGCCAGAGCCCTCTATCATAAACTTCCCAGCCTCCAGAATGGTGAGTGAAATCAACTTTTTTTTGTTTGTTTTTTTTTAATAAATTACCCAGTCTGTGATATTCTGTTATGGAAGCAGAAAACAGACCAAGACAAGCTAAAATTCATACCCAAGACCAGGGCCCCCAGCATTCTCTCCCTAACCACTACATTGTACTGCAAATTGTCACTTGGCAATGCAGATTTCTTCATTCTTAAAATGGATACATGAATAATGCATACCTGCCCGGCTGAACAATGCACATCAAGGAGCTTTGTAAGGCAATTTCCGTATGTTAGGCATACAATCCAATCTCTGCTTGACTGCACCAAGAGGCCCGAACAACTCCAATCAGTACAGGTGTATGACCCACTTCAGCTCTTGTTATATACTCTGCTGAACTGCCTTCTGGGTCATGTATATTGCTCACTAATTTGATGTTAGGAACTGAGATGCCTTAGGGATTCGGGGACTGTGAAGGTAGAAACGGCAGTAAGGTGGACTTCATGCAGCTGCTGGGTTCCTGACATTGGTTACAAGTTACATCTCTCTTTAAATATAATGGGGTATGTTGCTGCTTACAGGAGCTTTGGAATGAATCCCTTTGAGAAGCAAAGCCTTCTTTTACAAAGCAGGTCATCATCTGATCATCATATTTTACTTTTTATAAAACAGGTGCCTAGGTAGAGTTGGGAATCTTGGAAACGGCCATTCATTCAAATTTACATTGATTCTGAAAATATTTCTGTAGCCCCTCCCATGTGCCATGCCCTGTGCCAGGCACTGGAGACATGGAGGGGAATGGAGGAGATAGCGTTCTCATCTTCCAGGAACCCAGAATCTGGCAAGAGAAGCAGATGCTAAGCACACAGTCACACAAGTGATTCCATGCCAAACCAGCAGGAAGTGTGGGGAGTGACAAAGAGGGTGCTGGCAGGGGCAGGCCCTGCAGTCCCACTTCTGCACTGACACAGGCAAGGACCTCTTCCCTGCCTGCCACTGAGGCTGCCAGACCTTCAGAATTAGCTCCCATGCAATCTCAGCTTTCTTTCCCGACCTTCCATTTTAGAAGAGAACCCAGCAATCCAAACCTGCATGGCCTCCAAAATGCACCCCGCCCCTAGGAAATGCCAACACACTCAGCACAGGCAGAGGCCCGTGCCTACCTTTCCCCCTCGCACCTGGGCTGTCCCTGCAGAATTCCTGGCAGGTCCTGGTGTTAGCAGCTAAACAGGCTCACACGAGGCGCTCAGAATTCAGAACACTTGGCAGCAGGGAAGAGGATCATGGCCATTTGGAAAGGATTAGAGAGGAGTCACGCGGAGTGCGATTCGGAGTTTGCGTTTATCTCAACTGAAACTTTCCAGAAAGCTAGGACAACTGATTCCAATAAAAGCTTCCCCAAGTATTTTTGGAGGCATTGTGATGGTGCTGGGCCGTGTGGGTGGGGGTGGCTTTTCCTGGTTTGTGGAATTGCATTTCATTACTGATTAAACTTCCGTCAAATGTGTGAAGCAACCTCCAGTTTCTAAGGAATGTGTCCTGGGCAGGTGAAGAGAAAAGGCAGAACCACTGGACTGAGAGGTGGAATTGAGCAGGGCCTCTTTATGGCTAAGAGATGTGGCCAAGGCCAGGGCCAGATAGGAAATCTGAGTCAGTGGGAAAACTAGGACCAGAAGCCCCCCTAGTTCAGAACTGAACTTTTCCTACTGCTTTCTGAGGGTAACAAGGGCTGAGGCTTAGAATTGTCTAGTTTGGTTTCAGTCCAGGGCAGGGTCAGGATAAGGACCCAGCTGACTCAGAGAGCCATGGAAACGCACTGCCAGGGAGGGGAGCTCCAGAATGAGCTGGCTGCCCTGCTGCACACCTGCCAGCCACTGAGAGAGCATTAAAGCAACGGCCCAGCAGAGGGGCTCATGCACAGCCAGCCCCTCCAGCTGTAGGAGTGGGGAGCCCAGCAGGGAGGCCCTGGGAGGTTCTGGAAACGTGGTCTGGGCCCAGCTTGCTCAGTTTTTATTTTTTGTTGTTAATTTCCAGCAGTCCAGGGTTTTCAGTTACTCATTCATTCCATCCACTCAACATATGTTGATTAATCACCTACTTTGTGCCAAGTATTATGCTCCATGATTGACAGAAATTACCTCTTTGCTGCACTTCGAAGTAGTCATTCAATGCATAGCTGCTGCCATGATGGTTATTATCATGTTATTAATTGTAACAGTGACAAGCACTACTAAGATGTAGCTTCTGAGGTGGAGAAAGAAGAAACTACGTTTTCTGCATACCTACTATGTGCTGGGCCCTGGGCCAGCTTTAGACACATCTTAACCCACTGAACGGTGGCTTACTTCGCAGATGGGGAAGCTGGCATAGAAACAAATGATTGGCACAGGTCTGAGGGCAGTAAGAGGGACTTCACAGTAGGTCCCTCTCTAGTGGCACCATTTGAGCTGGATCTTGAAGACTGATTTCACCTGGTAGAAAACAGGGAGGAAGGGAAGGGCATTCCAGGTGGAGAGTACAGCATATGTAACAGCCTAGAGGCTTAAAGTGCGAGGTAAGGGGGACAGAAGTTAAGGGTGGCTAGAGAAGAGAGTAGCACTGGCAGGCGCTTGGTGCAAGGTCTAGGCAGGGTCTGTTTCAGGACATGACCTTAGGCAGAGTCTCCCTCAAGCCAACCACCCTTCAGGAGGCGAGTTCTGAGCTGGCTATGTCCCCAGGCTTTCCTTGCTGGTGTGCTTAAGGGAGGCCCTCCTGTTTTTTTGGTTTTCTGTCCCGCCTGTCCATGCCCACTGCAGCTGTTTCCAGTGCAAGGCTGAGGGTTCTCAGGTCTGGGCGGGAGCTCGGTCCTCTTCAACAAGTTCCCAGAGTTCTGGTGAGCTCTGTGGGAAGCACGTGCTCTACCCTCTCCGATCTGGTTGGCAGCCTCCTTCACAGAGAGGTACTAGGTGGCGAAGGATGGGAAGCAGGCAGCCCTCGCTTTAGTGTAGCCACTGACACTGCCAGAAGCACAGCACAGCCAAATCCCAGAGTCCCCAAACTGTGCTTCAGCTCTCACTGATGCCTCCTCATCCTCCTCCTCCACCCACACAACCCTGCAGACCCCAGGCTGGGCTATGGTTCTTCCCCCTCTGTGGAACTGCACAATTCAGAGACAGCAGAGATCTTGAGCAGTCAGGAGCCGTGGATCCTCTATTCTGCCATTGACTGACTTGCTGTGTGATGCCAAGAAAGTTGCTTAACCTCTCTGAGCCTGTCATCTGTGAAATGGGATATAATTTTCTTTGCTGTCCTAGGATTTTTGGGAGCTTACTGAGTAAACACAGATAAAAACACAGTGAACTGGCAAACATGACATGTGGCAGGGAGGGGAGTCAATCAGGGAGACCAACAATGCCTCAGTTATCCCCCTCACTCCCCAGAACAAAGGCATTGGCTGCTGGCATGATGGAGAGTTTGGAAAGGGGAGATACTGGTGGGCTCTGTGGCCTCCCCTGGCCCCAGATCCTGTCCTGCTCCGGGAGGCTTCTGCCTGGGAAGGGGGTCCCGGTGCTTCCTCCACCCACCAGGGAGTCATGGTAGCCCTGGGGTGCAGGGAGCAGCAGCCTGGCACCCACACATGGGGCTATTTGCTGCAGTGCCTTCCTTCAGCGACCTTCACCCAGCAGCCATGACACTGGACCCACCTCAGAGAAGTGTGGCGGGACCTGGCCTCAGCCAGCATCTGGCTTCCCTGCTACTCTTCAACTCCATGACCTCCTCCTCAGCCTAAGCACTGCCAAGAGGCCTCAGCACACCTGGAAACAAGGAGGGTGGCCAGGATTGTGGCTGCCCAGGGCTCTGCTCCGGGTGTGGGGGGCAGAGAAGCACTGGATGTCACTGGTCTAACTCACCACTCAATCATTCATTCAGTTATCCACCAATTACATCCTTGACAATGATTAAAGAGCACTGCGCCTATGAGGGATGATTAAGATATTCTAGTTGAGGACCCAAAGAAAATGCATTTTCAAAAGTACCCTTCCAGGCTGGTTATGTAACAGCATAGGACACAACACACCCGAGAGGCAGTGACCAACCAGAGTGCAGCAGGTGCCACACAGCAGGGGGGCTGAGGCCCAGAGGACTGGACCATGCACAGGGTGGTGTGGCCGGGTGAGCTACAGGGAAGGAAATGTGCCTTGGCCTCCCCTCCTTCACAGAGAGGCAGGGCAGGGCTCACCAACAGGGTTGCCGAGATCTGGGGAGCAGATGCTACTCATGGTTACCAGGCACTGCACCCATGGGTTAGAGCCTTCAGTCTTTAAAGTAACCCCATGGGGTAAGAACCATCATGGTCTTCACTTTAGAGAGGAGGCAACTGAGGCAAGGAGAAGTATATCCACTCACCAGAACCACACAGTTTGAATACTTAAGAATTAGGACGTGAATCCAGGCAAGCAGGCTGGCTGCAGTGCTGGTGTGTTTAGAGTCGACACTAAACTATACTGGAAGGAAGGATATGAGCCAATAGTCTTCCCAGATATAAGAACATCTGAGCTAAGAAGGGGCTCAAAGGACCTTGGGCATTCCCTTCTTTTAGTAAGGGAGAAACTGAGGCACTGAATGGTGATATGTCCTGCCTAAAGCCACGCAGCCAGTTAGTGGCAGAGCCAGGTCTAGACTCCTAGTGCCTGACTCACCGCTGTTCTCTCTACCCTAGCGACTCCAAGTGCAT
The DNA here is from genome assembly GCF_000001405.40 of Homo sapiens. Taxonomy (NCBI): domain Eukaryota; kingdom Metazoa; phylum Chordata; class Mammalia; order Primates; family Hominidae; genus Homo; species Homo sapiens. Next base: position 47,562,104 of record NC_000002.12, read on the forward strand.
CAGCATAGGCATTGCCAGGAGCTCATGAGGAATGCAGACTGTCAGGTCCCACCCCAGACCTACTCAACAGAAACTACTTGGTAAGCAGATTCCCAGGTGGTTCCAGGCACCTTACAGTTTGAAAAGCACTGCTGCATGCTATCCTACCTTCCTGGTCTGTAACATCTGTTGCTGTTGAGTATAAAGACACTGTGAACATTGTAAAATCTGCAATTACAAGATTCTGGATGCTTCATCCTGAGGTCACCTTGGAATGAGATCCTCTGGGATCTGGAGGAAGCAGATGGAGGAGAAACCCCAGGGCTCAATTTTTCTAAGGGCCCAGGCACACCAGTTACCACTGACCTGCTAGTAAGCCAGGAACTTAGCCCCATGTTGGGGGTTGGCCAAGCGCAGGGAGGAGGCAGCACTCACAAGACAGAGTCCGGAGCATTCTCCACCACAGCCAGTGGCCACTTGGAGAGGGGACCTAGAGTCCCCTGGTAGGTGGCTAGGGAATGGCAGGGTTTGGGGTAGAACTTCCTGGGGCCAGAGTCTCATAGCAGTGGTAGCCAAGAGTTGGCTTAGGGTGAGAGCCAAGGGGCTTCAGTACCCTTCTTCATTCTCTACCAGCACCTCCCCAACCTCCTGGAAACTGCTGTGCTTCCTGCAGTTTCAAGCCCCTCCACCCCCTGTTCCTCACCAACTCTCCCCGTGTAGAAACTCTGCAGAGAGTATGACCGTGTCTCTTAAAAAAACTTTGGTGAGGATCAGAGGCTGGACTCTGCCCAAAGCACCCACCTTGGGCTCCACACACTTTCCGGATTGCTGGCTGGTGGCCCCATGCAGAGCCCCCGACCCCGGAAAGTCAGTGGAACTGGACGGAAAAAATGGAAGGGCCAGAAAACTTGGGGAGGACTCCAGAGCTGGGGGTGACACAGGAATAGACCAACGGCCTTTTGTTGTTTCCAAGATCCTCTGAATCTGAGGCAGCCAAACAAGGCATGGGAGTGCTGCTCCAGGTGTCAGGGATGGGTACACTTACTGAACACTTACCCAAGGCTACCACCACCATCTCCAGATCAAGCAGGAGTTTTTACCCAAAGCCCCCTCACAAGTCACTCAGCCTGCCTTCTGCTCCTCAGATACCCACCCTTCTCTCCAGCTCCTCCCCTCTGTGCGTAGCGCAACACTCACCCCTTCTGGGAAGCCTTGGTGCCCTCTCAGAACTGTACTGGATTCTCTACTTGTCTATGTGAGCAGTGTGTGTGTGTGTCTGTGTGTGCTGTTTGTGTGAGAATTATGTGTGTAAGAAAGGGTGTGGGAGAGTGAGAGAGATACACCTACCTTTGGCAATATTGATGTAACTCTTCTAGGGAGGATGAGAGCGCAAGCTCTCAGGGAATCCCCCTTTGACTTGCTGGGTAACTTGGGCAACCTCTCCTCCTCTCTGAGCCTTGTGTAAAATGAGGAACAAGGGTAAATTCACCCGCTTTGGGCTGGTCTTGGAGATGCTCTAGGGCTCTTCAGAGAAGACTTCAGGGAGCGGGCGGCAACTGAGGAAAGGCCCACTGGTCCGGACTCCAGCCCCCACCCCTAATTACAGCAGCTCTGCTCCTATTTGCTATAATGGGCTGATTGTTGGCTTTTGTTGACAAAATGGTCTACATGCCTGGGGAAAGTTATGAAGGATCTTTGTGGTGCTTCCAGCTAGAATACTCTAGGAGTGTACCTTTGCTCCATTCGGCACAATTCTGAGCTGTTCGACGCGGAGGCCCTTGGGCATAGTCAAGACTGAGTGGAAATATGTTCTCTCTCAGCTGGCTTGGCCCAGGAATAGCGGCAGACCATTCCTGGGAGTCCAGGGGAGAGCAGGGGGATCCAGGTACCTTTCTTGTCTCAGTTTTTGATGGCCTGGCAGTGCCCCCACCTGTTTTTTCTTCTTACCTTTCTCCACTCTCCCAGAACTTCCCAAAGGAAGCTGCTCTCATTAAAACAAGGGAGGTTGAAGATCCTAACGCCACAGGCTTGTTCGGGAGGCAGCTCACCTCCTGGAACTGAGTGCAGTCCTGGAGAAAACCAAGTGGATGTGCGGCCCCTTTCCATGGAGCAATTAGGTGGATAACTGTCCAGTCGCTCCTAGGCTTTGTAGAGGCATAGGCTCAGATACAAAGAGACCAGACAGTCTCTCGCTCCAAAGGGGCTGGCCACAAGCACCATGAAGACAGCAGTACCCACTGACTCAGCAATTTCACCAGCTGGAAGTCATCCCAAGGAGATATCACAGAAAGAAAAGGCCATCTTGCGTAAAGATGATCACTGTGTCATTACTCAAAATAGCCCCAAACTGGGAAACACCCAGCTATCCAGCAATAGGGGTAGTGAATTACAGAACATCAACTAGATGGAATATTATGCACCCACTAAAATTAGACTACGTGAAAACACAGAAACAACATCAGTAATAAAATGTTAATAAAACAGAAGCAGCTCAGTACACATCAGTTAGTTTCCTTTCTTTTTCCTACAAAAGGCATGACAAGGAACTGCAGGGGAACGTGCAGACATGAAGAGTTGTGTTAGTGCAGTGGTATCATGAATGACTTGTTCTCTTATTCATATAATAAATATTGTTTACTATGGGCTAGGTCTGATGCTGGGTGCTGAGGATGGAGCAGTGAATGGTAATACATTTCCTGCTCTCCACCCAGAGTTTCAAATTTAAGGAGATATTTTCTTCCTAAATGTCCTTCAAAGCTGTCACAGCATCATCTTTCAATAAAAAATAGTTGATGAGACTGGGCATGGTGGCTGGTGGCTCCCGGGTGTAATCCCAGCACGCTGAAAGGCTGGGGTAGCAGGATTGCTTGAGCCCGGGAGTTTGACATCAGCCTGGGCAATGTAGCGAGGCCCTGTCTCTTAAAAAAAAAAAAAAGTAGCCAGGTGTGGTGATGTGTGCCTGTGATCCCAGCTTCTTGGGAGGCTGCGGTGGAAAGATTGCTTGTGCCCAGGAGGTTGAGGCTATGGTAAGCTGTGTTTGCACCACTGTACTCCAGCCTGGGCAATGGAGTAAGACTGTGTCTCTTTAAAAAAAAAAGTTGATGAGAGAAATACGCAAGGAAGGATGCGCCTCTCCTTCTGGATAATGTGTTTCATTCCAGATATCAAAACTATCTCCAGCTGGATTACATACATGTTAGAAGAAAGTTGAATGTAAATGTGGTAGTGACATTTTGGGCTTATAATGTCTTAGTTTCCTTTGTAGCAAAAAGAGTTTTAAAAATCCATGTTGAAAAAGAGGGAAAAAGTTAGGACTTGTTACTAATCTCGTGGCTGAATAATTAAGTGTGCCTAATTCTGAAAGTAGCAAGCTAAATTATGCAGTGCCAAAAGTGACAACTCTTATACCTACACCATCCCGTCTACAGCGGCATGATTTTAGCTTTATAGCTAAAAAACGCTGCCAGAAAACCTAATAAAAGGAAGCAAAAATATTTCTGTTTATATCAAGCTGCCATTTGAGAAAGATTTTAAAATATGTTCTTTCCTATGTGTAAATCTGACAGCAGATGCATAATTAAAACCCCAGTGGAGAGTTTCCATTTAATCTTTTCAAAGTTAACTGATAAACATCCTTTAGGATGTGAAGTGATGGGTTAATTCTGTTTGGATTGTTTGGAATATCTCTGAGCTGGAATACTGTCTTCAAGAATATTGTTTCGTGCTAAAAGAACACAAGACAGTTATCTTTATCTTTAGGAGTTCATACAATCACAGGAAGTGCAGACAACATGCCAAAGGCCACACATGCATCTATGATGAGTGATGCTTGTCTTAGATGTTTTTTAATTGGCAGAATGAATAAATGGATACATTCACATTAAAACAAACTTGATTTCAACCCCCAGGGAATATGTCACATAGCATAAATGGGAGAAATAATAATTACCCAGGATTTCAGTTCAGTGTAAGCAATCGGTATGAATAATTTAGACCACAAAGTGGATTTTTATTTCGCTTGAGCTATTCAGATTGACTTTCTACACAGCCTGAACGGCTGCTGAATAATCACAGGCAAAATTTTCCACTGGTACCGCACTGTGTAGACACACGTGTATCTACACGATTGCAAACTGCCCAGCTGTGGATACGGGGCCCTGTTCAAACCAAATATCAGGACAAACATTCTACTTCATTGTGGTGTTCCATGTAACCTTGAGTACACACAGCCATACCTGAACCTTTCATTACGTCTTCCACCAGGTGAAAGCCCATTCCTGCTCCTTCTTCCCCTCCTCTATACACATGTGCTCTCAAGAGTGTGTGTGTGCACGTGTGTACACACACACGTGCACACACACATACACACACTGGTGCAAAAAAGGGCAGAAAGCAAGTGACTTCTGTCCTTAGACCACAGTTTGCCAGAAGTTCTCCTACTTGCTAGTACCCCATCTCTGCCCTTTAGGCTGGCTTTTGCCTGTCTAGCTAACTAAGACCTGCCAGATGCTTCTAACTTGTCTGGCCTGTAAATCTGTCTTGTCCTTCAAGTTTTCTCTGGACTTAATCAGTTGATGACGTGACCAATAGACCAGCAGACCAGTCCCTGCCCTGGTTACACACACATACACTCTCTCTCACACTCAGACAGACAGACATTATTAAATATTGCAATCTCAAACAAGAACGTTCCCACCAATTATATGCATGAAATTGGTGGATATTGCACAACTTGGTTTCTGGACCTAGCTGAACCCCTCATTAACTGTGTGACCACTGACAAGTCCCCTAACCCTGTGCCACATGAGATTGGACCAAAAAGGTCCCCTTCTTGTTCTAATCATCTTCAGTGAGGATGGCCAAGATACGTTGCTCATAAATGCTGTGATCCAGCTGCCCATGTTGGAATATGCCTTAATCTCTGCCATGCAGAGTAAGCTTTAACCTTTCAAAATACAGCCTGATACATACAATCATGTTACGGAATGAATGGAAGGAAAGATTTCCAATACTAAAGTCTAGATGAATCACATATCTGGGTCTACACAACACACACACACATACGTATGTCCTTTTGATTAGGCAGTATAAATAGCTGAATCAAATCATTTTGTTCCCCTGAATTCCACAGCACTGTATGAACCATATACACTGTGATACTCACTCATCAAATAAAACTGAGTATGTGCTAATTTTCCTCTTCATTGGATAAAGAGTCAGATAAAGAATCCTGACTGCCCATTTTTTGTGGACTGAGGTTTTGCTCCCTGATCTGTTGAACCCATACAAGCATCAATAATAATAATAATAATTGTCTTTGAAGATTCAGGCCATTTAAGAGAAAGGAACTATGTAAGCAGAAGAGAAACTGACCTGTGGAGATCTTTACTTAAACCTCATCCAAATGCATTTTGCAAAGAGAAAGCTGAAATGCCAATTATGCTACTTGGGGATTCAGCAGAACTTATCTGACTGATGGAAGTGACCAATTTGAACCACTGACCCCAGAATATCCCAGCAGGGGCAATAATCAGCAGAGACCCTGCTACTTTTGTGGCTGTCTTGGCATCCTCACAGAGGCCTGGTTCAACCCTGAGCTGTACACAGGCTGGTTTAAATGTTTCCCCGCAGATTTTGGAAGCAACGTGCTGGGTCACTCGTAATATAACCACATGCTTCAGTGTAGCCCTCCTACATTGCTTGCCTACATCTGAAAACACGAATCAAGAAAGAGAATATAGCTCCTTTCCACTTGACTAAAGAACAGTCAATCCTGCCAGTAGACTAAAGGCTGGGGCATGGAACAATTTCCCAACACACTGACTTGATTTTGTGTAAACTGCTGAAAGAGAAGCTTTAGAAGCTGTGGCTGGGCTCAGAATCAGTGCCTCCAAAGGAGCACCGAATGACAGATTGATGGAGCTCATCAGAGAGGCACAGAGACCACAGGCCATTGGAATGGGGCCTTATTTGGATGGACTCATGGCCCAAAAAGGAAAGGGACACTGCCAACAGCTTCCCCTTTAGCCTGTGGGTTCCATTAGGAAGCCGGAACATGTCACTGGGAGAAAGTGCTATGACCACCCAATATGTGCACAGGTGCCTCTAGGTGGAAGAAAGGGAAAGGGCGTGTTTACAAGAAGAAGAGCACAAGTCAACAATGAGCTATGGATGCATGATGTCATCCTCTAGGACTAAGCATCCTTAGTACTTTTAAAGCACTTAAAAAAAAAAAAACTCTAGTTGCTATAGCAACTTGATGCAGCTCTTAAAAGGGGATTTTTTTTGAGGGGGTCATTTTATATCTTCTATCACCATAACAACATGATATAGCTTTTTAAAGGGTATTTTTATCCAATTTGTGTGTGCCTTGGACTTGGGCCATATTTGCCTTTTCTATTTAAAATAATCAGATCAAGCATGACACATGAAAAATCATTGAAGGCAAGGAAGTGCTTTCATAGACTATACATATACACTTAGAGAGACATCTCTAGCTGCTCATATGCTGCACATGGAGGCAGCCTCTCTCCCTGCCTCCAACCAGCCATCTGCTGTGGCTTATCCTGGGCAGTTACAGTCCATGCCTCTGTATCTGAACTGGCATACCAAACCACTCCAGAAGGTGTGTCTATGAAATCCCTCACTTCTCAAGCCCAGCAAATCCAGCCCCCTCCTCCAAAACTGCACAGGAGAGAGTGCCTTAGGGTGACTAGAGGTGTGACCAGCCAAGTGCCTTCTTCCATCCTGGGATTCAAAGCAGGAGTGGGGGGACACACACAGCCTTGTCAAGGTGATAAGCATGCGTTTCTGCTGCACTCTATACAGGTGAGTAACCGAGGGTGGGGGCTTTGTTTCACATGACACCCAGGGCCCAGGGAAAGTGGGGGATGGGAAAAGTGAGTGAGAGGAGAGGAAGAAAGAGGAATGAAGGGGTGGATGGAGAGCAGGGGTGGCTCCAGAATTTCTCCACAGGAGCTCAGAGGCAGCAATCTGGCCACAGAGGGAGGGGTGGGGGCCTGAAGGAGTATTGACACAGCATTCTTCATAAGGTTGAGAAAACGTGAACTGTTTATATCCAAAAAAAGAGAGAAGAGATGATGGAAAGAATAGGGGAACTATCCCTGCTCCCAGCTACCCCTTGGTACCACTAATGGTTGGAAAAAGTGGCAAGGGAACAAAAAAAGGGTCAAGAAATTGGAGAAGGGGCTGGGAGCTGGGGGAGAACACAAGGAAGGGAGGCAGAACAACAGCAGCTGAAGTCCTGGCCTCAGGCTAACGGGCTTTACTTTGGGGGGCGGTATAGACTGTAGGAGAAGCAAGTGGGAAGGAGATGTAGGGAAAGTGATCCTGGGGCAAGTGGTCACCCTCTCCAGGGTAAAGGAGTTAGAGGCCACTGAGGGAGAAAACAGGGTAAAAGAAGAAAGCGGGGGAGACTATGAAAAGAAATAAAAGCGCCGAGGGTGGAGGGAGAAGGGGCTTTTGAGATCATCCTGGAGAGGAAACTGAGGCCTGGGGGTTGTGGGTGGAAAACAGGAAGGAACCGGTAGCCCTTGGCACGTATTCTTAGAGGAGAAAACGGAGGCTCACAAAGGTCAGATCACAGAGCCGGCCAGTGTTGGAGCACAGGCGGCCCGGGGTGAGCGCCAGAGGTGGGCTTTCTTCCCTCACTGAAAGCCGGGAGGGAGAGAGAGAGAGAGAACGGGGGCCGGCGGAGAAGAGGGCGAGACGAAAGTAAGCAAAGGGACATTAGAAGGGAAGGCAGAGCCGAGGGACGCGGACCGAGCGGCCGAGCAGTGGAAAGGGCGGCAGGTGAAAGGCACAGAGAGGAAAGATGCGCGGGGGACGCGCCGCTCACCTATGGTTGACACCACGGTGCCCACGAAGTAGAAGGCGCCGGGGAAGTCCCAGCGCGGGCGCAGCGCGTCGGCGCGGACGCCGGCGGCCAGCGCGGCCTCGTAGTGCCGGAGGAAGGCGCGCAGCTCTGGCTCGGCCACGCCGTGCGCAGCGCTGAAGTTGCGCAGCGTGGCGCCCCAGCGCGCCCGCGCCTCCGCCTCGCCGGGGCTCTCGAGCGCCGAGAAGACTGTGGCACCCGCCACCAGGTAGAGGCCGATGAGCGCCGCCAGCAGCACGAAGCGGCCGGTGTCCTCGTTGAGGTGCGAACGGCGGCAGCAGCAGCAGCAGCAGGAGGGGCGCGGCAGGCGGCGGCGGCTACGGCGGGGCGGGGGCCGGGGGCTGCGGGAGGACATGGTCCGGAGCTCAGCCCCGGGGCCGGGGCGGCGCTCGGGGCCCGGGCCACGACATCCCCCCGGCGGGAGCAGGAGCGTGAGGATGGTGGCCAGGGGTCCGGGGCCGCCGCGGAGCCCCTCGCCGCCTTCGCAGAGCCCCTCGTCGCCTTCCCAGAGCCCGGACAGAGGGGCGCCTCCGCCTCCTCCCCGGCGCTCAGGCCACACGCGAGTCCCGTGGCCCAGCGGGTGCCCGGGCAGGGGCGCTCCTCTGCGCGCCCCGACGCCTCGCCGGCTCCCGCGGCTCCTTACCCGCCGCTCTCGGGCGCGGGGCTCCGCAGCTAGGCCCCTGCCGCCCGGTGGCCGGCGTCCGCGGGGCCCCGGGCCTCATACTCCTCTCCAGACAGGCCGCGGGCTGCGGGCGGGGTGGGCCGTGGATCCCGGGCGCCTAGGACCGGGACGCGGCAGCAAGGCGTGGAGAGAGCCCCCGGGGGCGTCCCATGAGGCGTTCGGGATCGGCGCCTCCTAGGTGCGGGCTGTGCGGGCAGTCCTGCTCCCGCCCCCGGGGCTGAGCTGGCGGCGTCGGCTTCAGAGCCTCGGAGCCGAGCCGAGTCCGGGGAAGCGCTCCTTTCTCAGCTCCAGCCGAAGAGCCGCCCGGCAGGGAGAGGCGGAGTCACTGGCGCCCGGGGCGGGGTGTTGGGGAGGGGTGAGTAGGGACAGGAGGGAGGGGGTGGAGAGTTGGGCTGCTGCGACGCCTCCCGGTGGCTCTGGCGGCACCAATGCGGGGCACCGGAGCAGGTGTCCGACTGCGGTGCGGGCTACCACTCCGCCGGGGAACCTCGTCTTGCTCCTCCCTGCGCTTCGCCTCTGGAATCTCTCCCTTATCTCATGCCGCGGTGAAACTTTGCTCAAGTTGGTGGTGCTCTGAGGTCTCCAGGGCTGGAGGCCGCGCGACGCGAATCGCCGACACTGGATTCTCGGGCGTTAGTCCGAAGTTTAAGTTCCCTTCGTTCACTCCTTTGCCCTGGATCGAACCGCAGCCCCAGGACGCAGCGGGTTCCACTGGAAACGGGGAATCGGGGAGAGGCGGTCGCTGGGCTCCGGGCGACCTGGGAACGAGGGCGTTTGCTCCCCCTCCCGACCGAGCGGGCGGCCGGCGTCAGCACCGCGGACAGCGCATCGGTGCCGCAGCCGCGGGCGGGCGCCGCTAGGGCTGCCAGGGGTCCGAGGCGCGGGCAAGGCTGCTCACCCCGCTGTGCTGTGCACCCCAAACCTTCCCTGTTTTCCTTTCTACCTCCCGTGTGCACCCCCCTACCCGCCACCCGAGGCAGGTGCGGTCGCTGAAGCAGGCTGCTGACAGGGCGGGGACGCTGCGGAATAGAGACGGGGGAGGAGTCAAGCGCGGGTAGGGGGCCAAGGTGCCACAGGGAGAAAGAGCCCAGGCCCGGCGGACTGCCGGGCTCCTCGCGCCACCCCAGCTCACCGACCCCTCTAGCCCGGGGCGGGGAATAACACCCTGGGTGCGGTAGAGAGTAGAGGAATAGAGGAGGTGTAGGGGAAGCTCACTGGCAGCTCCCCTGAGGCCGGCGCGGGGAACGGTGTGCTATGGAACGCCCCTGGGAAATGGTCGCCCCCCTACGCCCCACCGCGGCAGGAAAAGACGACGGATGCCCCGCGCGGCTGCGGGTGCTCCTCTGCTGGACACAAGCCGGCTTTGCCGGGGCCACAAAAGTTCTGGCGTGGAACACCCTCAGTACAGGCGGAAAATCATCCTCTTCGGGCAGCCAGCTCCTTCCCTGTCCTCCCGCTTACTATGGACTGCGGGAAGCAAGACCCTGGTGATGATATGATGGCAGAAAATAAAAATAATAATGGTGACTGTACTTAGATATCCCAGGTGGGTGAGCGGTGGCAAAAAGCAGACCCCTGCCCCCTGCCCTACCGCCCATTTCCAATCCCGGGCTAAGGTCAACCCAAAGTGGTGGCAGCAGCGTCAGTCAATTACGGGTCATAGTACTAAAAGTGTTCCCTCCACTACTCACTGAGCATTTCCCGCCTTCGAAACTAGGGCCGGTCGCAGACAGGAGAGCTGCTGAAAGCTGAAAGGCATTTGACTTGGGGTGTTGATTGTCCCAAACCAGGGTGCTCTGGAGATTTGGTTCTTCCCAGATATGCTGCCTCAGTTTATAGATGGAGCCAAGTACACTTCCCTCTGTGGTAGGGACAGATGGGTGGAAACTCCACCACCACCATTTCAGAACTAGGCTTCCTGGCACTGGATGGCATGTGGCTAGTTTTGCAGGGCTCTTCTTACAATGGGCCTAGGGTATCGTTGTGTGAGGGGGAGAATATCTTATCCACCAAGAAAGTCGAACCTCCCTCTTTTCTGGAGCACAGCAGAAGGTGTATACAAACACAAATTTTTGTTATTGCAGACTATTGTTATTATTGCCAAAACAGTCAACTCTTTCTCCAAGGCTTTGGCTCCCCTGGACTCTCCACAGATGCTGCCCTAGGCCCTGTTCCCCCAGTACCCCCACTCTTAACAGCTTCAGTACACAGTGAGGACAGCCCTGTCATGGACCTCTGGGGCTGGATTCCGCTTGGCTGGTCAGCTCTTGACAGAAGCCCTGAGATGTGTCATTCTAGGAGTTGCCCTGGAGACTCCAGATGTAACTGAAGGGCATTGCCAGGCCTCTCAGAGGCTATCTTTGCCCAGACTTCCCAAGCAAACACAGGGTGCTTCGCTGCAGTATTCTCTGCCTCTGGGACCAGTTCCTTGCCCAGTTGGCAGAAGGCCTGTCTTGTCCTCCAACTTGCTATTCTAGCTTGATTAGCAGCAAATCTCTGGCATCAATCTCAGCTCCGAATGACCTAATCAATTTGTGTAATAGGGAAATGATGAGTTCCCTGCACATAGGCACAGGATTTTTAGGGAACCAGCCCCGTGATAAATGCGGCTTTTGCCCACTAAATCAATATTTAAGCTACTGACTTCCAGCTGGCTATGCTCAGAGCCTTTACCTCAGCCCTGAATTGCTGCAATAGACTCCTAAGGACAAGGGCTTGCTTAGTGTCTCCCCGCTTAGGTCCATCCTGCCTGCACCTGCCAGTCATCGCTGTGATCATGCCCATCTGATATGATCATGTGATTGAAGTATCTAAACCACAGTCTCCAATGGCTCCCCTAAAGCTATAAAAATGTAGTCTTTAAACCCTTGAGGCTGCCATTCAAAGACCTTGATGAGGTGATTCCTAACAAATCATTCCAGCCTCTCCTTCTACTAACTTTTACTTATTCCCCAAGTACTCTATATCCAGCCCAATCACCAGGCCTTTACTTGTGCTGTGGCCCCTACTACAGCACTATCTTCTCTCTTCTCTCCAGCTCTTTACAAAAACCAGCTCAACTCAAGTTAGACATTTTTTCCAGAAAGTTTTTCCTTTGTAGGATGTTTTGAGCCAATCACTTTGATGCCATCTTTTCAACTCCATGATTATTGAATCTGCTATGCATGCAAAAATTTCAGATAAGACACGCAAATAGGTACGGCCTCTCTTTCTCTTTTCTGTCTCTCTCTGTGTGTCTTTCTGCCATACACACACACACACACACACACACACACACACACACACATGCACGCACATAAACACAATATAGGAGTGTTAACCCAGAAAATTAGGTAAGGTCAAATGGAACCAGTTGGCAACTCCACTCCTAGGTATATACCCAAGAAGATAAACAAAAATGTACCTTCACAAAAACTTGTACATGAATATTCATAGCAGCACCATTCATAATAGCCAAAAAGTAGAAAGTGATCAATCTGTAAGTCCATTAATTGATTAATAATAAATAAAATGTAGTATATACAATGACATATTTGGCAATAAGAAGGAATGAAGTACTAATATATACTACAATGTGCATAAATCTTGAAAACATACTAAATGAAAGAAGCCAGTCACAAAGGACCACATACTGTATGATTCCGTTTGTATAAAATATCCAGAATAGACAAATCTATAAAGACAAAACACTTAGTGGTTGCTTAGGGGTGGGGGTTCAGGAGAATGGTAGTGTCTGCTAATGGGGATGGGGTTTCTTTTGGAAGTGATAAAAATGTTCTAAAGTTGATTGTGGTGATGATTGCACAGCTCTGTAAATATACTAAAAAGCATTGAATTGTACACTTTAAATGAATGAAGTGTATGGTATGTGAGTTACATCTCAGTAAAGCTGTTAAAAAACAAATACAATGGACCAGGCATGGTGGCTCATGCCTCCAATCCCAGCACTTTGGGAGGCTGAGGCGGGTGGATCACGAGGTCAGGAGATCGAGACCATCCTGGCTAATACAGTGAAACCCTGTCTCTACTAAAAATACAAAAAAATTAGCTGGACTTGGTGGCAGGCACCTGTAATCCCAGCTACTCAGGAGACTGAGGCAGAGGAATTGCTTGAACCTGGGAGTCAAAGGTTGCAGTGAGCCGAGATCGCACCACTGCACCACTGTACTCCAGCCTGGGTGACGGAGAAAGACTCTGTCTCAAAAAAAAAAAAAAAAAAAAAAAAAAAAAAAAAAAGATATGAATTGAGATAATCTTTATCCAAAAAATGGAAACAAATTTATCCCAAGGAGGCCGGGTGCGGTGGCTCATGCCTGTAATCCCAGCACTTTGGGAGGCCGAGGCGGGCGGATCACGAGGTCAGGAGATTGAGACCATCCTGGCTAACACGGTGAAACCCCGTCTCTACTAAAAATACAAAAAATTAGCTGGGTGCAGTGGCGGGCGCCTGTAGTCCCAGCTACTCGGGAGCCTGAGGCAGGAGAATGGCGTGAACCCGGGAGGCGGAGCTTACAGTGAGCCGAGATCGGGCCACTGCACTCCAGCCTGGGCGACAGAGTGAGACTCCATCTCAAAAAAAAAAAAAAAGAAAGAAATTTATCCCAAGGAAAATAATTGCTTTTAGAAATGAGAAAATTTGAAACAATTTAGTTGTGTTACAGAGAAAATTATGAAATTAAATTTGAATAAAGGAGTTTCCTCCAAAATACTTTCTCTTAAAAATTAATCTGTGATGGTAAAATTTTGGTGACAAGTTTTGCATTCCAAGTAGTAGCAGATTCAAAATGTTCTGGTTGCCTTCAAACCTCTTTGATCTTCTTGTTCTCAGAACTCCTCTAGTACTCATTGTCTGCATTACTTATTGGCAATTAGCTGTGTAACGGGATACTTTTTTTTTTAAATATGGAGAAGATGGTTATCGCTATCCTGTGAAGGGTCAGTTGCGTTGCCTTCTTAGTAGTATAGATGCAGCAGCTCTTCTCCCCCCATTCTCCTGGAATTAGGTTTTTATAAAACCTTTTATGTTTTAAGTCATTTGGCAAATGTTTCCTCACACCATGTTTCACAGAGCTGGTAACTGGGAAGAAGTGAACCAGTTTTACCCAGGGCCTTCCAGAATGGAAGGGAAAGACATCTGATTTGTCTTCTGTGAATTTAAGATTAAGGGGTCTTGTTGAGAAAAGCATGGGGAGAGTCTGGTCACAGCCCAGGACCTGGGAGAAAGGCCCCTTGAAATAAAATTATTCTGGGGAAGCAGGAGTCTGACTGGAGGCTTAGACAAGGGTCTAAGTGCTTTGGTGACACAGGATGTAACTGATGCTGGATGCCCTGTAGTTCGATCTCCCTAGAACTGTATGGGATTTGAAGACAAGGGTTGAATCTGGACTTGTGACCTGAGAAGACAGTAGCCTTGGTGCCTGAAGTGGTTCCTTATGATAAAGTGCATCTTGAGTGGTAATAGGCAAGAAATGTCTCAAATGGTACAGCAGCACTTAACGATAACATTTGTAATAGCACTTACAATACTGTCCTCCTTTTCTTTCCATTGGCATTTGGAGGACAGGGTTCCTGTTGGACTGAAAAAAAACATGGGTAACGTGCCTCTATTTTCATATTGCTCTTATGTCTAGATGTTCTATCCATTATTGAAGGTGAAATATTGAGGTCTGCAACTACAAGAGTAAAACTATCTAGTTCTCCCTTCAATTATGTCAATGCTGGTGTCACATATTTTGAGGCTCTGTTGTTTGCTGCATATATGTTACAGTTGTTATAGCTTCTTGATGGATTTACCCTATTGTTAATAGAGATGGTGTCTGATTTACAATGGTTTGACTTGCAATTTTTTGGTTCTACAATGGTGTAAAACCATTGCACTTTTGACTTAATGTGTAGTAGTCAATAAATTACATTAAGATACTCAACACTTTAGTATACAATAAGCTTTGTGTTAGATTATTTTGCCCAATTGTAAGCTAATATACATTTTGGACTTAGGATATTTTCAATTAATGATGGAAATATAAAAGAATTTATCCCAAGGAAAATAATTTCTTTAAAATAAAAAAAAGGGAAAATTGGAAACAATTTAACTGTTCTATAGAGAAAATAATGAAATTAAATTTGGATGTAACCCTATCATAATTTGCGGAGCATCTGTATATGATGTCCTTTTTTGGTCTCTTATAATAAATTTTCTTTTTCAGACAGGGTCTCACTCCATTGCCCAGACAGAAGTGCAGTGGCACATTTATAGCTCACTGCAACCTAAAACTCCTGGGCTCAAGCAATCCTCCCACCTCATCCTCCCAAGAAGCTGGGACTATAGGCATGTACCACCATGCCTGGCTAATTTTCTTATTTTTTGTAGAGATAGGGTCTCACTATGTTGTCCAGGCTTGGTCTCTCAAAGTGCTAGGATTACAAGCATGAGCCACCACAACTGGCCTACAACAATTTTTGGCTTACAGTCCATTTTTTCTAGTATTTGTATAGCCACCCAGTTCTCTTTTGGTTACCGTTTGCATGGAATATCTTTTTCCATTCTTTCATTTTCAACCTATTTGTCCTTAGATCTTCAGTTAGTTTCTTGTAAACAGCATATAGTTGGGTCTTGAGACTATCTTATAACTCAACTTGTTAAAAATTTGTGACTGTTCAGCTGCTCTCTGGTTATTTCCAAATAACTGATGAACAGATTTTTATTGAGAACCTACCAGGTATAAAGCAGTGTACTATAAACTGTGTGTGTGTGTGTGTGTGTGTGTGTGTGTGTGTGTGTGTGTGTGTGTGATGAACCTTACTCTCCCTGCAAGAGCTTAGAGTCTGGCTGGGGTGATAAGATGCACATGTATGAAGCAGTAAGGACTATGATATAGCAGATACAGTTAGGAGCTGACTGTATGGTGCTGGTCACGGGAGGTCAGAGAAGGGAGCCTGTAACAAGGGCTGCAGGAGTCAGAGGAAGCTTTGGATAACAGGAAGAATGGGGGCAAGGCCTAACAGATGGGTAAGGTTTGGATTGACTGAAAGAGAGGGAACATCCCAACCAGGAGTATTGACCTGGGTGCAAATATAGAAGCAAGAAAAAACATATTGCGTTCAAGGAACTATGGTGGGCGCGTGTTGAGTATGGGTGAGAGGAGAGGGAAGAGTCTGTTTCTTATAATCCAGGACCTCCATTGGTGGCCTCTCAGCCTCTCAATACAACTTTAGGGCATAGATTAACCGACCCTGTGAAACCCAAAGGTTAGTTTTTTCCTTCTAAAATGAGAGTCGGATATATAATATATGTGGACTCTGGCTTGATGAAGCCAATTTTATGGCAAACTTTGTTTTCCCACAAACATGGCCACACTGAAAGGCACAAGCTATGTCTGCAGGGGAAAAGGAAGACAAATTGGGAACATACTGGGTGCAAAGTTGGGGGCTCTGGTATTAAAACCTCCTTGGGCTCAGTTGCCATATCTGTCTTTGTGAAGAATGCACTATGTCATCTTTAAGTCACCATAATATTTGAGGATTAATGAAGCTGATTGCTGCCTGTTGATAGGGAGTTTTGAAATGAAGACAAGAATCCCAGAGTGAAGAGGAGCCTTAAAGCTTTGAGGGCAACTCCTTATTTCCTAATCCTCTTGTGTAGAAAGTTGTGGGTTCCTTGTCTGAATGTCTTTATGGAGTCCTGTCTTCTAATGCTGAATCACTCTTTATTAAGAAGTGATTTTTTAAAAATGATTTTTAAATATCTATTTCAACTCTTTCTTATTTTAAAATCTAATCCAGATTTTTTTGTTCTCTAGGTAAGGCCATTCATGTGTTGATTTTTGTCTCAAATGGATTTTGATATAACTTTTTAAGACTGTATAAGTAATGCATAATTAAATTCTGATAAGACTTTTAAAAACTATATAAAGTAATGCATAATTAACTTAGAATAATTGGAAAATTCAGGAAAGCTAAAAATAAGAAAATAAGAATTACCCCCAATTCTATCACATTATGCACAGAAAATTACTGTTATCAATCATTTTAATGATCTTACTGCCTGGTTGGTTGGCTCTATCTGTCTATCTATCTACATATACATACACATATTTGATTTTAGTAAAGTTATAGGATATTTTACATACTATTTTAAACTTACTTTTTTATTTAACATCATACATCATTCAAGACATCTTTTGATTTAAACATATTTGTTGAGCACCTACTATGTGCCAAGCACTGTTCAAGGTACCTGAGATTGTTCAGTGAACATGGAGTTTATATTACTTTCATGTCAATAAATACATATGAAGTATCATTTGTTGGCATAGTGTACTCTAAAATAAAGTTTTAGCTGAATTTCACATTGGTAGATATTGCTGGATTCTTAAGATTTCCTACTCTTCTTCCCTCTTCTCTGTCTTTAGTTCATCACTCTCTTTTTTCCCCTATTAGAATATCAGCACATGTTTGAGTTTGGCTTCTCAATGAGACTTCTAGTTCCCACCCAAATCTCTGTTCAACCTCTTTTTTAGCAATAGAACTCCCATTTTATTTGAGATGTCACTGTGACCAGTTAAAAGACCCTATTTTCCATTCTCCCTTATAAGGTGAAACTGTATTTTTTAATTCTAGCAAAATATTATGTGGGTCTTCCAGGAAGGCTGCATAAAAGAAAGCTAATTCCACAGGAAGGGGGGCCCTTTTGCCCTTCTGCCATTTCTCCTTCCTCAGTCATGCTTCCTAGAATATAGATGTGATGACTGGGACTCCAGCTGCCATCTTGAATCATGAGGTGACTTTGAGGATGGAAGCCACAGTGTGAAGGAGCAAGTTCCTGCATGAATGAGTCTGAGATTGGAATTTAAACCTTCAAATGTGGTGAGACCATCAACAGGCCTGACCTTCATTTGCTTCCATTTTTTCCTCTTATCTCCCAATCTCCCCTCTTCTCTCAGGTATTTGTACCTTGTGTTCTCATCATGGTTGACTTTCCTGTGGGATTTTTCCCTCCACTTGGTTCCTCTATATTCTTGCAATTGGGAGAGATGAAATGTCAATAACTTTTCCAATCCAAAACCAATAGGCTGTCAGAACCAAGAGCAAAAACAAAGCAAGGGAGGAAGGCTTAGGAGAAAGATGCTAGAGGGTTGCCATAGCTAGTATTTCATCATTTGAATGAGTCAGGACTCTATGAATATTGAACTGATCGTTTTAGAGAGTTAGAATATTTGTTTTAGCTAGGCAACTCTAAAAAGGGGATGAGACCCAGAGGAGGAAAGAATGGAAGGTGGCATTGGAAGTAGATAGATTATGGAAGCAATGATTTTTATAATGAAACATTCTCATTTATTAACTTGTCTGTGGATTGTGAAACATGCAAAGACGAGATTTGTTCATTAGACATTAATTAAAACTGCAATGCTGAAAATGGATCACAGCATAGAACATGATGTTTGATGTAAATAAATGCGTAGGAAACTGGGGGTAACTGTTTTACTTGCTAATAGCCCAGAAATGAGCATTGGTGAGTGGGGAAATTGGAGGAGGGGTGTGTAGTAGGAGATGATGTGTGGAGGAGTAGCATTGGTGCAGTTAGGTGTGGGGATGGGTTGGGGAGAAGAGTCTTGGGGATGCCTTTCCAGGTATTACATGGGTCAATAGGGCTTCTAGGGGGAGGAATGTTTCTTGTGAATAGAAGGTCTTCTTTATAGTTGAGCACATGAGTGTGGTCAGTCAGCTTCCCTTTTTCTCCCTCCCTCCCTCCCTTTCTTCCTTCCTTCCTCCTATGTAACAATTTTTTTTTTTTTTTTTTTTTTTTTTTTTGAGACAGAGTCTCGCTCTATCGCCCAGGCTGGAGTGCAGTGGTGCAATCTCGGCTCACTGCAAGCTCTGCATCCCAGGTTCACGCCATTCTCCTGCTTCAGCCTCCCAAGTAGCTAGGACTACAGGTGCCCACCACCACGCCTGGCTAATTTTTTGTATTTTTTAGTAGAGACGGGGTTTCACTGTGTTAGCCAGGATGGTCTCCATCTCCTGACCTCGTGATCCACCCATGTCAGCTTTTAAACCTGTACTCTGTGCCAGGCACTGTGCTAT
Organism: Homo sapiens; assembly: GCF_000001405.40. Lineage (NCBI taxonomy): Eukaryota > Metazoa > Chordata > Mammalia > Primates > Hominidae > Homo > Homo sapiens. The sequence goes on from NC_000002.12 coordinate 47,580,742, forward strand.
TAAGGATCCTAACTCATTTAAAATTGCCTATATATTAATGACTGGGTAGGAGGGAGGGTGGGAGTACCATTAGGGGCTGTTGGAATAGCAGATAAAGAAACTAAGGCCCTGAAGGGCAGTCAGAGGTACTCACTTAGTAGTGCATTTGCAGTCTCCATCAACCCAACAATCCCCTGGGCCGGCTGGCCTTGAAGTGGATGGTATTCTACCTCCTTATAGTATTGGACCCTCCTGCATGCAAGTTCCTTGGGGCTCTTATTGAATATGCAGGCCTTTCTGTTCAGCATATTCAGCAACTCAGAGCCTCATAGTAGAACAATTGGAGGAGAATTGTCAGATGGTGATGAGGGAGAATGAAAGGGGAGACAGAAGACAAAAGCTGGAAAAGAGAACAGCTTGAGAAAGGTTTCCTGGAAAGTTGAAATCTTTGCATGCATATTGAGCAGGAGCAAAAGTGCTAAATAAATGCATTCTCAGACATTGATTACAATCTGGGTGGGGTTGTCTCACTGTATGAGCCCTCATTATGTTATACTTAAAAAGCATAATATACTGTAACCTGAGGGTAATAAGCCAGCCAAAGCACTTGCAGGATTCACCCTGGGAGCTATAGCCACCCTTAGCATTCTTCATAAGCAGATTTTATCAGGAGAAAACCTCAGGTTGGGGTAGAGGAGGCCCCACTGAGTGAAAATGCCAGGATTCGAGTGACTCTCTCCCCTCTTCCCGGTTCTCTTAACAGAAGCTATATCACAAAGGGCCCCAGGCTCATTGGAAGGATCCCAGTTTGGTTTGCTCATTTCTTTCTCCATCAAGTATTATGGAACACCAATTAAATACTAGATATGTGGCTAGATGCTGGATACAAGAGCCAAAATTGACTTGGTTTCTGCCTCATTCAGCTTCAGGATCAAAAGTTACACAAGTCAATGAAAAATGACCATGGTGACAATGGCTGTGAAGAAAGACTATGTTGTTTCAGGAGATGCATATAGGGATATTTGACTTAGGCAGGGCTGAGACAGGTAGGCATTGACCAGGAAGAGGGTAAGTGAATGACAGAGGGCAGCTGTGCAGCTTGGAATGGCATGCCAAGGCTGTTGGCAGGAGGAGAGAACTATGGAAGACCACTGTGAGGTCATTTGGGGCTGGGCAGAGGCCTGATCCTACAGGGCTTTGGAAGCCCTGTTACTGGAAAGGGGTCCCAGTCCAGACCCCAGGAGAAGGTTCTTGGATCTCGCGCAAGAAAGAATTCAGGGCGAGTTCATAGACTAAAGCAAAAGTAAGTTTATTAAGAAAGTAAAGGAATAAAGAATGGCTACTCCATAGACAGAGCAGCCCCGGGGGCTGCTGGTTGCCCATTTTTATGGTTATTTCTTGATTGTATGCTAAACAAGGGGTGAATTATTCATGCCTTCCCTTGTAGACCTTATAGGGTAACTTCCTGATGTTGCCATGGCATTTGTAAACTGTCAGGGCGTTGGTAGGAATGTAGCAGTGAGGATGACCAGAGGTCACTGTTGTCGCCATCTTGGTTTTGGTGGGTTTTAGCCAGCTTCTTTACTGCAAGCTGTTTTACCAGCAAGGTCTTTATGACCTGTATCTTGTGCCGATCTCCTGTCTCAACTTGTGACTTAGAATGCCTAACTGTCTGGGAATGTAGCCCACTAGGATTCAGCCTCATTTTATGCAGCTCCTATTCAAGATGGAGTTGCTCTGGTTCCAACACCTCTGACAGCCCCATAAGAATTCCTAAGAAAAAGGGGAAGCCATGGTGTTCTAAGCAGAGGGTGATGGACTCACCAGCTACTTCTGCCTCACCCAAGGTCTCATTGTGCATCAGGAGAAGGCTGTTCAGAGCCTTGACTCCCTCTCTCTTGCACTTGCCCCATCTGGGGATACCCAACTGCTGTTTGTCATGCGCATCTGTGTGAAGAGACCGCCAAACAGGCTTTGTGTGAGCAATAAAGCTTTTTAATCACCTGGGTGCAGGCAGGCTGAGTCTGAAAAGAGAGTCAGCAAAAGGTGGTGGGATTGTCATTAGTTCTTACAGGTTTGGGATAGGTGGTGGAGTTGGGAGCAATGTTTTGTGGGCAGGGGGTGGATCTTACAAAGTGCATTCTTAAGAGTCGGGAGAATATTACAAAGTACCTTCTTAAGGGCGGGGAAATATCACAAAGCACATTATCACAAGGGCCGGGGAGAATATTACAAAGCACCTTCTCAAGGGTGGGGAGGGTGTATTGTCAAAAAGTCAATTGATCAGTTACGGTGGGACAGGAACAAATCACAATGGTGGAATGTCATCAGTTAAGGCAGGAACTGGCTATTTTCACTTCTTTTGTGGATCTTCAGTTGCTTCAGGCCATCTGCATGTATACGTGCAGGTCACAGGGTATGTGATGGCTTAGCTTGGGCTCAGAGGCCTGACATTCCTGTCTTCTTATATTAATAAGAAAAACAAAACAAAATAGTGGTGAAGTGTTGGGGCGGCAAAAATTTTGGGGGGTGCTATGGAGATATAATGGGCGATGTTTCTCAGGGCTGCTTCAAGCGGGATTAGGGGTGGCGTGGGAACCTAGAGTGGGAGAGATTAAACTGAAGAAAGATTTTGGGATAAGGGGTGATATTGTAGGGTTGTTAGAAGGAGTATTTGTTGTATAGAATGGTTGGTGATGGCCTGGATGCGGTTTTGTATGAATTGAGAAACTAAATGGAACACACAAGGTCCAAATAAAAGATGAAGAAAAATAGGTATTAAAGGGCTAAGAAGTGGGAGTACCCAGGACATCCAATTAGAGAGTGTCCAAGGGGGTTCAGCATAATTATTTGCTTGGTTGGTGAGTTTTTGGGCTCTATCCTTGAGTTTTTTTATGTTGTCATGTACCAGGCCAGATTGATTTAGGTAAAAACAACACTCTTCATTTAAAAATATACAGAGTCCTCCTTTTTCAGCAGTGAGTAAATCAAGGCCTTGGCAGTTCCGGAGGACAACTGCAGCTAAAGAGTCAACCTGGGCTTGGAGGACAGATAAAGTTTGTGATATATCTGTAACGCTAGCAGAAAAGTCATTAGAGAGGCTGCGGAATGTTGTGACAGAGGTGGATATGCCTGCTATTCCAGTTCCAAGAGCAATAGTAGAGGCAGAAAGTCCTAGGCCTACAAGTGTAGGGATTAGTGGGATGACTCTTTTTTGTTGTGTTGGTGTCATGAGAGGGACAAGCAGTTGTTCATTCCCATCTGCAAACTGGATTTTGGGGGTAAGGAAGACTAGAGTACATGTGCCCATCCATTTGGCAGGTAGGCACATGTAGGTGGAAGAGCCACATAAAAAGAAGAGACCTTGTGTCAGGCAGAACTGGAAATGTAAAGTGAAAAAGTGAGACGGTGTACTCAAAGAGGAGTCCTGCACCTGAAATCTTAGAGATCCAGCAAGGGCAGCAGCCATTAGAGGTTATAATGGGGATTGATGGTGCAACTGCATAGAGGGAGAGGTTTGGTTTTCGTGGTATATGAGAAAGTGCATAGTGTCTATGACTAACCTTTCACTGCTATTCATGGGGCTTGGTATAAGCAAGCAAGAGGAGGGCCTAGGAGGAGATTCAGACAAGCAGGGGGAGGGTAGCCAAGGATGGAGTGAGATGCAGGGTAGGTGTCTTCCTTAACAATAGTGACTGCCAATGTTTTTTAGTTTGTTAATAATGATAGAGGGCTTATCAGTAATGTGAAGTTGGAACGCTCCCATCTCTTTGATAATGTGTGTGGCTGGGTTCTGGAGATAAAGAGTAAAGGAACGTTTGGACGGTGGAAGGTTGCCTAAAGGGATTCCAGTAGGCTGTTGTCGGGAGATGCATAAAGGAGCGGCAACAGGGATAGTTGTTTGTGTGGTTAGAGGTCCAAATATGGCGGGGTGGAGGGGGGTGGAATTGACATAAGGAGAAAGGTGCCGTAAATAGACGTGGAGAAGTGTGGCAGCTTGTTGGTGCAAAATATCTGGGGAGTTCTCACCAAATCTGCCTAGAAAGTAAAGAAGTTCCTCAGATGGGTAAAGATGAGGGCTATTAAAGGAGGTTCGGAGGTATAGGGAGACAGGAGAGTAGCCCAGTCAGCCTGTAGAGCAGGGATGGCTGTGTAAGAGTGGGAAGAAAGGGAAATGCATGGCCAACAATTATTTGCTAGAGAAGGATTGGAGGCAGTGAGGAGAGAGTGGGTGAGATTGATAGTGTGCTGGAGGTAACTAGGGAGAGGTAGAGAGTGACTGGAGAATGGGGGCAAGGATAAGAGTGAGTAGAAAAGTAAAAAAAAAGAAAGACCTTCATCAGGATAGAAGAATTGGAGTGTACCTTGCCACTGAAGATCTTCTATCCACTTCAAGAGAGACTTAGGGGTGGCGGTTTGAGGTAAAACCAGGAGATATCAGTTATGATGGTTTGGAGGAAAAGTGTGGTATTTACGATTAGTTGAGAATGGTGAATAGGAGTGTGACTAGACAGAAGATAGTAGGGATGACAAGTTTTTGGGGTGCAGTCCAAGTAGTGGGAGTGACTGTGTAAAGCCCTGTTGCAAAAAGTAGGGTAAGGATGAATAGACCTAATAGAATGAAGGGATGTATTAGGCTCATAAGGGTTATTACTGCTCTTCAGAAATGCGAGTGAGTTTAAGGGAAGTAGGGGAGAGTACTTGCAATTTCCAGGGGGAAGAGGAGAGATCAGGCTGGCTGTCTGATGGGCACAGCTTTATTCTGGAATGGTGAACCCAATGGGGAGGGTCCTGCAGGAGGACGGCAGTTGTGGTACTATAGATGACTAAGTAGGGTCCGGTCCATCGAGGTTGTAGAGTTTGAGGGGTCAGATTCTTAACAAGAACTGATCATCCAGCTAGGGTGTCTTCATATGGCTGGGAATCTGGAGTAGGCAAGAGAAGATTAGCAGCCTGGTGAATTTCCTGTCTAGCCTGATGGAGGACTGGAAGATAGTCGCACAGAAGGCTGGTGTCTGGGATGAAGTTGGGGCCGAGCAAGAAAGTGCGTCCGTATAAAAGTTCAAATGGACTATACCCTGTAGCATCTCAAGGACAAGCTCTAATTCTGAGAAGGGCAAGAGGTAAAAGTACTGCCCAGTCCTTTTTAAATTGGAGGCTGAGCTTGGTGAGGTGTGTCTTTAAAAGACCGTTAGTCCATTCTACCTTTCCTGAAGATTGAGGACAGTAAGGGGTATGAAGATTCCACTGAATACCAAGAGCCTGAGAAACTGCTTGGGTGATTTGACTAATAAAGGCCTGTCCGTTATTGGACTGTATAGAGGTGGGAAGTCCAAACCAAGGAATTATGTCTTACAGAAGGGAAGAAATTACCATGGTGGCCTTCTCAGACCCTGTGGGAAAGACCTCTACCCATCCAGTGAAAGTGTCTACCCAGACCAAGAGGTATTTTAGTTTCCTGACTCGGGGCATGTGAGTAAAGTCAATTTGCCAGTCCTGGGCAGGGGCAAATCCCCAAGCTTGATGTGTAGGGAAGCAGGTGGGGGTGGCGGGGAGGGGAGCCTGAACAATCCCTGAGGAGTAGTAGAATAGCAGATGGAACACTGAGAAGTGATTTCCTTGAGGATAGATTTCCATGAAAGAAAGGAAATGAGATATTCTAAGAGGTGGGCTAGCGGCTTGTAACCTACATGGAAGAGGTTATGAAATGACGGCAGAATAGAATGGGCCTTTGAGGCTGGAAGGAGATATTTTCCTTGGTCCAAGAACCATTTGCCTTGTGTGAGAAGAGATGGATAGATGGAGGTTTTAGTGGGAGAGTAGGTGGGAGTTACCAATGAGAAGGAGAAAAACTGGCCATGAGGGACAGAAGTTGTAATGCTCGCTGCTTCTTTAGCTACCTTATCAGCATAAGCGTTGCCCTGAGTGATGGGATCTGATGCCTTTTGATGGCCCTTGCAGTGAATGACTCCAGCTTCCTTTGGAAGTAAAGCGGCCTTGAGAAGAGTTTTTATTAAAGTGGCATTAATGATGGAGGACCCTTGCGTAGGGAGGAAACCTCTTTCAGCCCATATAACAGCATGGTGGTGCAGGATACGGAAGGCATATTTAGAGTCAGTATAAATATTGATGCGTAGTCCCTTTGCAAGAGTGAGGGCCCGAGTTAAGGCAATGAGTTTGGCTTGCTGAGAGGTAGTGGAGGGGGGCAGAGTGGCAGCTTCAATGATAGATGGAAGGTACTATAGCATAGCCTGCCTTTGCTGGTTAGTGGCGATTAGGCCTGGTAAAACTGCTGTCAATAAACCAAGTGTGATCAGGGTGAGGAACAAGAAAGAAGGAAATATGGGGAAATGGAGTGAATGGCAGGTGGATCAGAGAGATACAGTCATGGGGGTCAGATGTGGTATCCGGAATAATGTGGGAGGCCGGATTGAAGTCCAGGCCAGGAACAATGGTAATTGTGGGAGACTCAACAAAGAGTGAGTATAGCTGAAGGAGCCAGGGAGCAGAAACTATACATGTCAGGTGTGAGGAAGAAAATAGATTTTGGAAGTTATGAGAACTGTAGAGAGTGAGTTGAGCATAGTTTGTGATTTTGAGGGCCTCTAAAAGTATTAGGGTGGCGGCAGCTACTGCATGGAGACATGATGGCCAGCCTAAAACAGTAGGGTCAAGTTGTTTGGATGAAAGGCTACAGGGCATGGTCCCAGTCCTTGTGTAAGAATCCCGACTGCACAGCCCTGCACTTCTGCTGTGTGTAATGAAAAGGGTTGGGATGAGTCAGGGAGAGCTAGTGTGGGGGCAGTATTTAAAGCTGTCTTCAAGGAACGGAAAGAGGAGTGGGAAAAGGATTTAGGATCTATGGGGTCCCTTTGTGAGTTTATATAATGGTTTCCCTTTGTGAGTTTATATAATGGTTTTGTTAGGATGGCAAAACCAGGTATCCAAAGGTGAAAGTATCCAACCATGCCCAGGAAGGAAAGGAGTTGTTTTTTTATAGAAGGGTTTGGGGTTTGAGAGATCAGCCAGACATGACCGGCAGGGAGAGCATGTGTGTTTTCATGAAGAATTATGCCGAGGTAGGTAATGGATGGAGAAGAAATTTGAGCTTTGGAGGGGGATACCTAATATCCCTTGGAGAATAAATATTAAAGGAGCAGGAGGGTGTCTTGTTGAGAAGATTCAAAGGAGGGGCTACAAAGTAGAAGGTCATCAACATATTGAATAAGGTGAGAAGTGGAGGCGTGGAAAGAAAGTAAGTCATGAGAAAGAGCTTGGCTAAAGTAATGAGGGCTGTCACTGAAGCCTTGTGGCGGCAGTACAGCCCAGGTAAGCTGCTGGGACTGATGGGTGTCAGGGTCAGTCCAGGTAAAAGCAAAGAGAGGCTGGGATGAGGGGTGCAGGGGAATAGTGAAAAAAGCGTCTTTAACATCAAGAACGGAATAGTGAGTTGTGGAGGAAGGTATTGAGGACAAAAGAATGTATGGGTTGGGCACCACAAGGTGGATAGGCAAAACAATTTGGTTGATAAGGCACAGATCCTGAACTAACCCGTAAGACTTGTCCGGTTTTTGGACAGGTAAAATGGGGGAATTGTAAGGAGAGTTTATAGGCTTTAGAAGCCCATGCTGTAGCAGGCAAGTGATAACAGGCTTCAGTCCCCTTAAAGCCTGTTGTGGGATGGAATACTGGCGTTAAAGCAGGGTAAGGGTGATTAGGTTTTAATGGGATAATAATGGGTGTGTGATTGGTTGCCAGGGAGGGAGTAGAGGTGTCCCATACTTGTGGGTTAAGGTGGGGGGATACAAGAGAAAGACACAAAGGAAGCTTTGGGTTGGGGAGAAGGGCAGCAATGAGATGTGGTTGTAGTCCAGGGATAGTCAGGGAGCAGATAATTTTGTTAAAATGTCTCAACCTAATAAGGGAACTGGGCAGGTGGGGATAACTAAAAAGGAGTGCATAAAAGAATGTTGTCCAAGTTGGCACCAAAGTTTGGGAGTTTTAAGAGGTTTAGAAGCCTGGCCGTCAATAGCCACAACAGTTAAGGGGGCAAGGGAAACAGGCCCTTGAAAAGAAGGTAATGTGGAGTGGGTAGCCCCCGTATCAGTTAAAAAGGGGATGGACTTACCCTCCACTGTGAGTTACCTGAAGCTCGGCGTCTATGATGGTCCAGGGGGCCTCTGAGGCAATCAGGCAGCATCAGTCTTCAGCCGCTAAGCTGAGCAGATCTGGGAAGGACTCAGTCAGAGAGCCTTGGGCCAGAGCTCTAGAGGCTCTGGGAGTGGCTGCCAGGTGAGTTGGACAGTCCAATTTCCAGTGGGGTCCTGCACAGATGGGACACAGCTTAGGAGGAATCCCAGGCTGTGGGCATTCCTTGCACCAGTGACCAGATTTCTGGCACTTGAAGCAACATCCTGGGGGAGGAGGCCCTGGAGGAATGCCTGGCCACTGCAATTTAGGCGTTTTGAAGTTCTTGTGTGGTGGAGATGTGGCTGGGGTTTCTCTCACAGTGAAGGCAAGTAATTGCAATTCAGAAATATGTTGCTGCTTGGCTGCCTCTTCTCTATTATTGTACACCTTGAAGGCAAGGTTAATTAAGTCCTGTTGTGGGGTTTGAGGGCCGGAGCCTAGCTTTTGGAGTTTCTTTCTAGTGTCAGGAGCAGATTGAGTGATAAAATGCATATCGAGAATAAGACGGCCTTCTAGCCCTGCTGGGTCCAAGGCTGTAAAGCATCTCAGGGTTGCTGCTAAACAAACCATGAGCTGGGCTGGGTTTTCATCCTTTCCTTGGGTAGTTTCTTTAAGTTTGTCATAATTAACAGATTTGTATGCTGCCTTTTTAAGCCCTTCAACTAGGCAAGCAGTCATATAATCTCACCTAGCTATACCTGGGGGAATCTGCCTGATAGTTCCATTGGGGATCTTCTCGGGGAACTGCTCTAATGCCTTCCTGGAGGCCTGGCTCATGAAGCCGGTGGTTGTCAGTGTGAGATTGGGCTAGAGAAGAAACTCTTTCCTGTTCATCTGGGGAGAGAGTAGAAGTTAGGATGACATTTAAATCACTCCAGGTTAAATTGTAGGACAGAGTTAGATATTGGAATTCCTGTATATATTTAGCGGGATCTGATGAGAAAGAGCCTAAATGCTGGCTGATTTCAGAAAGCATTCAGAGAAAAAGGCACATGTACCCTGACTATGCCTTCAGCTCCAGCCACCTCTCTAAGAGGAAATTTTTGGGCAGGTGGGGAAGAGCTAGTCATGGAACGAAACTGTAAGCCAGACCAGGTGTGAGGAGGAGAGGTGATAGAAGGGTTGTAGAGTGGGGGAGCAGAGGCTGAAGAAGAGTTGGAACCTGATTCAGCCTGGCAGGGAGCAACCTGAGGAGGAGCAGTCTGGGGAGGAGGTGACAGGTCAGATGGGTCGGTAGAAAAGGAAGATTCAGAAGACTCAGCGATGCTTGGGGTTGGTACTGAAGGGACAGGTGGGAGGGAAAGAAGGAGGATTTGGGATGAGTTGCATTGGGAACAGAGACTAGGGAGGGAACAAAGTGTGAAAAATGCCTGGACATAAGGCACCTCAGACCACTTGTCCATTTTTTGACCAAAATTATCTAGGTCTTGTAGGATGGAGAAATCAAAAATGCCATTTTCTGGCCATTTAGAGCCATTATCAAGTTTGTGCTGGGGCCAAGTGGTATTGCAGAAGAAAATAATATGCTTAGGTTTTAGGTCAGACGAGAGTTGAAGAGGTTTTAAATTCTTGAGAACACAGGCTAAGGGAGAAGAAGGAGGAATGTAGGGTGGAAGGTTGCCCATAGTGAGGGAGGCAAGCCCAGAGAAAAGAGAGGATAGAGACACAGAGAGGGGGGTGGTACTTGCCACCCAGGGGAGGTGGTGCTTGCTACCCCAGGGAGGTGGTACTTGCCACCAAGGTGAAGGATCAAGGCAGGCGTCCCCGTGGTGATCAGACACCTCTGAAATGTGGGTGAATAATCAGGCAGGCATCCGCACAGTGATTAAACACCGAGGTAAGACTGTTTTCCTGAGTCCGTGACCAGCACCAGAGTTTTGGGTTCATGGATAAAGCACGTCTCCTCTGTCTCTACCAGAAAAAGAAAGGAACCAAAATTAAGGAAGAAAGAGATTGAAGGGTGGAAGGATGGTGAGAGAGATTGGAGAAGAGAATGAAAAGACCGCTTACCCGATTTGAAATTGGTGAGATGTTCCTTGGGCTGGCTGGTCTGAGGACCCGAGGTCATAGGTGGATCTTCTCACAGAGTGAGGGCGAGGACAGGGTACTGGTCTCCCGAAGGAGTCCTCCTGTCCCAGGTCTTTGGCACCAAATGTCATGCACGTCCGTGTGAGGAGACCACCAAACAGGCTTTGTGTGAGCAATAAAGCTTTTTAATCACCTGGGTGCAGGCGGGCTAAGTCCGAAAAGAGAGTCAGCAAAAGGTGGTGGGATTATCATTAGTTCTTATAGGTTTGGGATGGGTGGTGGAATTAGGAGCAATGTTTTTCAGGCAGGGTGTGGATCTTACAAAGTACATTCTTAAGGGCGGGGAGAATATTACAAAGTACCTTCTTAAGGGTGGGGGAATATCACAAAGTACATTATCACAAGGGTGGGGGAGGATATTAAAAAGTACCTTGTTAAGGTTGTGGGAATATCACAAAGTACATTATCGCAAGGGTCGGGGAGGATATTACAAAGTACCTTCTCAAGGGTGGGGAGAGTGTGTTGTCAAAAAGTCAATTGATCAGTTAGGATGGGGCAAGAACAAATCACAATGGTGGAATGTCATCAGTTAAGGCAGGAACTGGCTATTTTCACTTCTTTGGATCTTCAGTTGCTTCAGGCCATCTGGATGTATACGTGCAGGTCACAGGGTATATGATGGCTTAGCTTGGGCTCAGAGGCCTGACAGTGTTTATTCAGCCTTAGAAATTCCTCTCAAATGGATGTTTCCTTCTTCCTGAGCCTACTGCCTCTGCAAGAGTGGGAGGCCTAGCCTTTCCAAACCTGGACTGTTGCATCCTCCTGTTCCTCCACTTGACAGTCTTCCTCTGCAACCCACCGTCCATGGCTGGTTTCCTTCCTAAAACACACGCTGACCTTTGCCTGGCTCCCCAGAGCCTAGAGGAGCAATCCCAGTCTCATTTAAGGAGCCCTCAAGGCTCTGCTTTTTCTGACCTAACTTACCTGTTGCCTTGTCTCCTTTTTCCCCAAAATCTTCCTACCTTCCCTGTACATCTGATGCTTTAGCCCCAAGGACCTTCTTGGCCTTCCCCAAACAACACACCATCTCTGCTATTCTCTCTTCCTGGAATCCCCTTCCCTCTTTTTACTGGAAAACTGTAACCATAATAGGTCCATTGTCTGTTGTGTACAGCAAATCAATACACCAAGATACTGGGATGCAGCAGAGATAAGAGATTTAATCATAGAGTTGCCCAGAAAAGAGATGAGAGGGAACCTCAAATCCATCTCCCTGAGGAGTTTGGGGCTAGGGTTTTTAAGGGTTTTGGAGTGGGCCAAAGTGTGGAGACCATTGATTGGTCAAATAGTGCAGGGCGAAGTCATGGGACAGGGAACTGAAGAAACTGTATTCTTATGCTAATTCCATTTCTTTGTGGGAGTCTTCAAACTGGCTGGCATCAGCTATTTTGCTGGAATTTGGGATCTGAAAAACATCTTAAGCGATCCTTAAAAAAAAGCCTTATGATTCAAACGTCAGAAATCCTCTTTATAGAAACAATGGGTATGCAAGTGGTCAGGTGTCTTGTGCTAGGAGACTTATAGCAACAAGGAAGTGGGTCAAAGTGCAGCCTAATTAACGCTTAGTTATAACAATATTTCTGTACAGAATTCTTGTTAACCATGTGAGGATGGCGTCAACTCCTTTTCCTCTGTCAACATAGCAAAGGAAATGCCAGAACACTATTGGCTGTCCCAGGCAGGGTAATTCTGCTGCTGCAGGTCCTTTTCCCTGGCTGGACTGAACCTCTTGAGGGCAGATAGTCACATAGTACCTGGCCCATGGTGGATGCTCAAGGGATGATGAAAGGAGAGGTCACATGTTATATGCTCCCATTTTTGTGAAATTTCCAGAGTAAACAAATGTGTAGAGACAGAAAATAGATTAGTGGTTGCCAGGGGATAGGGGGAGGAGGGAACTGGAAGGTATGAGGTTTCTTTCTGGGGTAATGAAAATAGTCTGGAATTAGATAGTGGCGATGGTTGCCCAATATTGTGAATATACTAAAAACAATGGAATTGTATACTTTAAAATGGTTACAATGGTGAATTTTGTCGTAGATGAATTTTATCTGAATGTTTTTATTTTAAAAATGTTAAATAAAATTTATAGGAGGCCATTGATTGAGACTGAGCTCCTGCACTAGGCCCCTGTAGGCCAAGCCAAAATGGAATCCCTTGTGCTAAAGTCTCACATCACCAAACTGAAACTAAATTGTTTATCTTACCTTGCAAGGAATCAGGAGAAAGAGAGAGATAACAAGCAAATCCCCAAACAAGCCAGTGTTATTCCTCACGATAAGGAAGTCCCCTCTTCTTTAACCCTGAGGAAAGGAACCTAAAGTAACTTGATGCTAACCAATCCACTTTGTGTTCCCAGTTTCTGATTTTCTCAGCCTTTTCTGCCTGTAAAACCAACCTCCTCGGCTCAGCTCATCATAGGAATTTTCTAAATTATTGGAGGAGATGTCACCCCGATTCATGAATTGTAAACAAAAGCAAATTCGATCATTTAACTAAATTTGTTGTCATTTTGAATTTTGTCTTTTGACAGAAATGATGAAAAGATGAAGGAATAATAAAATACTTTTTCTTATTTTCTAATTTGCTTTTATCCCAGACCCTTTTTGTCATTCTTCAGCTACTCCCCCATGTGGAACTATTATAATCTAAATGAAAGTGTTTACTCAATCACAGACCACATCTGAATTATAATCAAATACCAATTAGCAGTCTTGGATTGATGGTGTCTGTTACTTTTGCTGTTTGTCCTTTTCCTGCTGAAGTAGAAACTCTGCAGGGAGAGAAGCTGTCTAGACCTGGTGGGTGTCATCTCTAATACATCCATCTGTCTACCTTGCTAGAGACCAAACTTGGACTAATCCCTGCAAAAGAAAAACCAGCAAGGAGAAAAGGCATCATTAGGAATGTAGTTTGTGACAAAAATAGCTCTTCAGAGCTTTTCACACACACACACGGGTTCATTTATTCATCATGAAAACCAGTGCGGGGCAAGGGGGTACCTTTTGATGGGGAAAAAAAGCTTCTGACCTGCCCTCACTAGTGAGTGGGCTGAGGGGGTGAGCTAGGCTCTTCTGACCTGTTGGTTATTTCTGCAGGATAAGGAGAGAGAATGTGTTGAGCTTTCTCTGAGTGAGGCTTGTGCCTGTTACTCTCATTATTTCACGAGTAGAGCCCAGTCTGCCTGGAACATTGGAAAACAACAGGACATACAAGCATTGAAGGCCCCACTGTGGCCACTTCAGGAGAAAATGGCAAAGACAAGTCCTGATTAATGAAGTCACCTATGACAACTCCACTTCAGACAATTAACTCAAGTTCCCATCTTCAGCTCCCGGAGAACTGAGACACATCATTAACTGTAAATTATAGTGACTCCTCCACCCTGAGGTGTCCTAAACATTCTTGTGACCAGAGAATTTTCAGCTGATAAACTTAAGATATGATAGAAAAAAATGGAGTTGGGGAACCAGTTACTCTATGAAAACTTTTGTAAGTAGTTTCCCATGGATTAATAAGAAAATCTCCGCTCATATTACACAAAGATAATTTCAACCCCATTATAGACACATGATGTTATTATTTGTGGTAAGCCAACATTTTCATGGCACATGCGATGTTGCCAGTGACAGAGCAGGAGCATTGCCATCTTGGACAAGCACTGCCATTTTAAAGTTCCCCTTGATCAAAAACTGCCTAAATCAAACCCAAAGGGCATCAGCCTAATGGCTAATGTCAGTATGACCATAAACCACAACTGACATCTCTGACCAGAAACATTCCAACCCTAAGATAAACCCCTCCCCGACCAAGGACATGCCAGCGCCAAGATAACCTCCCCTTTGACCGGAGAAATGTCAGCCCCAAGACAATCTCCTCTCCAACCAGAGACATTCCAACCCCACAATAAGCTTCTCCTCCACACAGAAACATTCCAAGCCTGTGATAAGCTCCCTCTCCCTGAACCCTTAAATATTCTTAGTCTGTCAGAGAGAGTGCTCCTGACCAAAATCAGCCAGAAGCCCCTCTCAGGTTTATTCTCCGAAATAAACCTATCTCTGACTGTTGAGCTGCTTTTTTTGTATTTCTTGTCTTCTTTCTTTAATTCTTACAGCAAGCACTATTTTAAGTGCTGTTGGTAAACTAACCCATTTAGTCTACACAGCAACCCTATAAGTAGATTACTGTTATCCCTTTTTACATATGAGGAAATCGAGGCACAGGTAATTTGCCCAAGGTTACACAACTAGCAAATGGCAGAGCTGGAATTTGAACTCAGGCCACCTGGGTCCAGAGTCCATTCAACAAACAGAGCTCACAGGGTTGTGTGGTTAGTGAGATGGGCAATCCATGCAAGCATGCAATTTGGGCCAAAAGGCTCCCAGTGCAGGACACAGCACACAGAAGTAAATCTGTGTTTAGTAGGATTTCACAGAAGAGTTATTTGTGATTGTGAAAAGCTTTCTGTTGTGCAGTTTTTGTTTTTTTTTTCCCCCAGAGAGGAAACAGATTACATGGACTATTTTCATATGTTTGTGAACTGGCCATTTGGGCCAGATTAAGGGGTCAGGCATTGGTGGGGAAGGGAGTGGAAGAGGTGGGGTCAGCCTCATTATCCAGCCCTTCCATCCTACAGAGCACTCCCCAAGGCTGCATTCTTCATTTGAATGCATTTCAAAGTGCAGCCTGATTAATGCTTAATTATAACAATATTTCTGTCCAGAATTCTTGTTAACCCTGTGAGGATGGCTTCAACTACTCTTCCTTTGTCAACATAGCGAAGGAAATGCCAGAACACCATTGGCTCTCCCAGGCAGAGTGTTTCTGCTGCTGCAGGTCCTATTCCCTGGCTGGACTGAACCCCTGGAGGCCGACACTCACACAGTGCTCAGCACATTCTTCAAATGAAGCATTCTTCATCCGCCTCCTGTGCCTTCCCCTGGCACACTGGATTCCTTTCACATTCAAAAAGACCTCACATCACCTCCCTGTTCTCTAGAGAGAAGTGCCCTGTTTCTTAAGCAAAGTGCTAAACAGAGATAGTTAAATAAATTTTCAAGTAAGTAAGAGAGGGCTTCGGTAGTTCCCTAATGTAGGGGCAAGCCCAAATTATTTTAAAATTGCATTGGAGAGACTCAGCAAATTCTGAGTATAAGTTGGATGCCTGCTGACTTGGGCCCAGACAAAAGACCTAGCACCCACCTTCTCCCTGCCCCACCCCACTCCCACCTCCTGGCTTCCCGAGAAGCTCAGCAGCTGTGCTAGTTCATCCAGGCCCAGGAACTGAGTGGAGAGGGGGGCTGGGGTCCCTGGGATGGGTCATTCCCAACTGCAGAGGACAGAAGCCTTCTGGAATAAAAGCCTTCTGCCAGGCATACCCCTTTGGTCAATCCATCACCAAGTCTATAATCAACACTAAAGTGGTCCTAATTGTGTGGGCTCAGGGAGTGCTGGGAAGGAAGACCTGGTGTGGGCACAGTGATCATGGAGGGAGGTCTTAGAAAGAGGGCTTGGATTCAAGTGTGAGAGAAATGGCAGCTCCCCATGAGGGAAGGGGCATGTTTTCTCTTTCTTACCAGCTGTATTCTCCTGATCCAAAATCATTATTCATCATCAAAATAAAATTCCAGAGGGCCAGCTTGTTCTGGCATGGCAAGGACAGTCAGATGACCTGAGGGGGCATAATGAGGGGAAGGATCATACAGTTAGTGGGGCTGAGACACTGGTGGCATTGGGACAGATGAGTGGAGATCACGCCTATGCCAAGGAACTCATCTTCCCCTCGTGCTGCAGCCTTCAAAAGTATCTCAGCACAAGAAGAGGGAGGGAGAAAGAAAAGCTACACTTTCCAGAGTCCTGGAGTGGACATTGGCTATTTCTTCCCACCCAGACTCCATTGCCCTTGAGGAACACCTCCTCCCCTTTCTCAGCCCCTCTGGTTTGGATGAGGCAGATCCTGTGATGCTCACCCCCAACCCTTGCCACAGGGTCAGACCAGGACCCACCCTGGCCAGTTAGAGCATTTTACCTGCCTGGCCTCAGGGACTGGCTCAGGCAAATGAGACTCAAATTAGGGGCTTTTGATGAATCCACTGGGAAAAGTGAAGCTTTCCTTCAGTGGGGATCACTAGCTCTAGGGATAATGTCTGATGGAAGGTCCAGAAGCCAGCACGTGGCCAAGCCTGCCGAGGGAGCAGCATTGAAGGATGGAGGGAGAGAGACCAAGTCCTGATGAGATCCTTCAAGTGCCTAGATTTGGAGGGCATGGAAGCCCACAAATTCATTTTTTTTTAAATTAACCATCTTAAAGTGAACAAATCTGTGATACCTAGTACATTCACAATGTTGTACAAACACCACCTCTAGCTCCAAAACACTTTCATCACCCCCGAATAAAACCCTGTGCTCATTTAGCGGTTACTCCCTATTCTGCCTCCCCCCAGCCCTGGCAACCACCAGCCTACTTTCTACTTCTACGAGTTTACCTGTTCTGGATATTTCACATAAACGGAATCATACAACATGTGATCTTTTGTGACTGGCTTCTTTCACTTAGCATAATGTTTTAGAGGTTCATCCACCTTATAGCATGGGTCAGTACTTCATTTGCTTGTATGGTGTATTAGTCCATTCTCGGGTTGCTATAAAGAAATAGCCAAGACTGGGTAATTTATAAAGAAAAGAGGTTTAAGTGGCTCACGGTTCCACAGGCTGTACAGAAAACATGACGCTGGCATCTGCTTGGCTTCTGGGGAGGCCTCAGGAAACTTACAGTCATGGCAGAAGGTGAAGGGGGAGCCAACACTTCACGTGGCCAAGCGGGAGCCAGAGAGAGTGAGGGGGAGGTGCTATATACTTTTAAACAACCAGATTTCATGAGAACTCACTCACTACTGTGAGGACAGTACCAAGCAGATGGTACTAAATCATTCATGAGAAATCCACCCTCATGACTCAATCACCTCCCACCAGGCTCCACCTCCAATATTGGGGATTACAGTTTGACATGAGATTTGGCAAGGACACAGATCCAAACCGTATCATATGGCTTAATATTATTCCTTTGTGTGGACATACCACATTATTTACTTATTTAGACACAGGGTCTCACTCTCACCCAGGCTGGAGCGCAGTGGGGTGATCATAGCTTGCCTAATTTAAAAAAACTTTTCTTTGTAGAGACAAGGGTCTTGCTATGTTGCCCAGGCTGGTCTTGAACTCCTGGCCTCAAGCAGTCCTCCTGCTTTGGGCTCCCAAACTGCTGGGATTACAAGAATAAGCCACTACACCTCGCCAACATACCACATTTTGTTTATTCATTCATCTGTTGATGGACGTTTATGTTGTTTCCACCTCTGGGCTATTGTGAACAGCACTGCTATTAGAATTCATATACGAGTATTTGTCTGAACACCTGTTTTCACTTTTGGGGGGTATATATCTAGGAATGGAATTTCTGGATCACGTGGTAATTCTGTGTTTAACTTTTTGAAGAACTGCCAGACTCTCACAGCATCTGAGCACAAATTCCTTTTTTATTGTCCCATTTGACTGAACAAGATCTCGTACATGCCAAGACTGAAACCTTTACTGTCCCAGGGCCTCCAGCAGAATGTCCCTCACTAGTTTGGAATTGTTCCTGGGCTGGTGACTGTGATGGTGCAATCCATAGCCCAGGAATGACCACAGCTAAGAAGCCTTGCCCCAAAACAGCCCCTTTGCAGCTGCTGGGGGAGGCCTGTCTGGCCAGTGACTGTCAGTCATTCTGTCTGTGCCTTCTGCCTGGATGGCCTCCCACAGAGCAGTGCTGAGAGGTCACTGGCTGGTTTGGGCTGAATTTCGGGTAGGGGCAAGGCTGTGGGATGGTCTGTCTCTCCATAGATCCAGGCCTTTGGATGGCCTTTTCCACCCGTCAGCAGGTATGGGAATGCCAAGTATAGGTGCTATGCTCTGAATGTTTGTGTCCCTCAAAATTCATGTGTTGATATCCTAACCCCCAAGTTGATAGTATTAGGAGGTGGGGTCTTTGGGAGGTCATTAAGTCACGAGGGTGGAGACCTCCTGAATGGGACTAGTGCCCTTATAAAAGAGGCCCCAGAGAGTGACCTTGCCTCTTCCACCATGTGAGAAGGTGCCACCTATGACAATGGGATCCCTCACCAGCTACCAAATCTGCCAGTGCCTTGATCTTGGACTTCCCAGCCTCCATGATGGTAAGAAGTAAATTTCGGTTGTGTATAAGCTGCCCAGTTTATGGTATTTTGTTATGGCAGTCTGAATAGACTAAGACGGTCGGGGGATAACCACGGAAAGAGAACCAAGGCCAGGACACTTGTACTTCACCTACCACCTATCCAGTATATGGCATTGAGGAAGTCACTTTCTGTCTCTGGGTTTCAGTTTCTCAAGTGACAAATGAGAGGGACCTATTAAATGATGACATTGACAGTCTCTGGTCCTGGGTGCATCTCACTCCATCCTGCTCTCCAGCTTTCCCCATCTCTCTGAATCTTCATAAAAGTCTAGGATTTTGCAGCTGGCAGGGGCCATGGAGATAATCCGGACCACCTGCCCTGGTGTCTCTTCTCATCTCTCAGAGCTCGCATGCTGGCCGCTGTGTGCCAGGCAGCTCCTGGAGGGCATTCATGATCAGCACCAGCATCTTCCTGTGGCTGTCCCAGCAGATAAAGCAGTTATTACTGATGGAGGGACAATGAGGTGTGCTCGCCACAACTGGCCTTAATGATGTTGGACTCCGCAGGATTGCCTTGGCTAGGCAGCTTCCTGTTTAAATGCAGGGCCTGGAGACACCAATTTCGTCTACACCAACAGCAGCATTGTAAGTGCCCTCAATGCCTGTTGCAGCAGCTGTGGAGTGCTGAGCAACATTTGGGGTGCATTTTCTGTGTCTTTCTTGTACACACACACACACACACACACACACAGAGCTATCATGAGGCTTGCCCTCTACTACATACACCTAAGAGTGCCCCTCTGTAATATTTCATCATTTTAATCAAATGTTCACTCTTTCACAACATGTATAAGTGTACTTGGTATACCAAAAAATGCTATCACAGAGTAAGGTGCTTTGTTATTATTGCTATTATAATTGCCCAATCCTTATAAATCCAAAAGATACAAATGACAACCTCCTAATTGCAATTTCAAGAGGAGTCTCAGTACCAAAACTTTGATGTTCATTCACATGGGAAATCTAATGCTCTTGGACTGGTATTTTAAATACAACATGATAGAGGCCAACACTTGGGCCCTTTCTGTGGGAGTGGGGCAGGCTGTGGTTTGAAGAACATCCTGTTCATGTCATGGACCCCTGCTTTTTGAAGGGCCACTCAATTGCCTTATTGAAAGATGGGTGCTGTATGATCCCTGGGGCTCCATGCCCCATCCCTAGGTGTCCTCTCAAGGAGCCGAGATTACCATGGCTATTGGTGGGCTGAGGGGCCTTGATGACAGGCAGCACCAAGGGGGCCTGGGTAATGAAGGGCAGTGAGGGGGTCAAGGACCTGTGTGGAGAAGACTTGGGCAGTGGCGTTCCTGCTTTTTAAGTGCTGCTGATGTTGGCAAGGGGAGGAAGGCAACGGATGAGGATGGGATAGGGGCAGGATGCGATGAAACGACCCCTAAGTAGTTCCTACCCCGAGATCCAGGGTCTGTGAGTAAAGCTCTGCAGCCCCTGAGGATTTGGGCCATATGGTTTCATCCTGCCCTGGGAGGCACCCTTAGGCCCTCATCTCTCAAGCCATCTGCATCTCCCCAGCCAGGAAAGGGTATGTGGTCTTCTCTGTAGAAGGTGGCACAAAGCAGGCACACAGTGCCACAAAAAGGCCTCGCTCTTGATTGACTCATCAATGCTGTGTGACATGTGAGGAGTGAGGATGTGTGCAGGAGACCCCTGCTCCCAGCACTGTGCTTACCCCACTGGCCCCCAGGCATTCTGCCAGCTGGGCAGAGCAGGACAGAGGCACAGAGAAGGTGAGGCGCTGTGTGTGTGGCTGTGTGCATTTGGGGACATCCATCCATCAATCCAGTCAGACCAGGGCAGGCTCTTCCTTGGGCCCCTTCTGTTCTGTCCCTTAGGCCAGGAATATGGAATGGCCAGGAATATAGACTGGCCAGGGCCACCGGAATCTGTGCTAACGGGAAAGGGCTAACAGAGCCTGACAGTGAGCCAGGGGTCTGCACAATGGAGAACTCTCCACTGGTACTGACCAGGAACCTGTGTTGCCCTTTGACCTAGGCAAAATAGACAGCTGCCTGTGTGGTAGATAGTGAAAATCAGAAAAGACTCCAGTGCCCCCTCAATGTAGTTCTCCTTTGTGCCTGATATCCCCTCATCAGCAGTTCTCACCTTTGAGTTTTAATGGATTCAAATGGATATGTTTCTGGAGAGGGGGAGGGTATCACACGTGAAGACCCTTCTCTTCAGCACTGTATTTCTCCCATGATAGAAGGGCCCTTAGCCCCCACCCCTGCTGCCCCCAAGGCCTAGAGCGTGGTAGGGGCAGGGTGCCTCAGTGGGACAGATGTGTAGAAGTCCAACCTTCTTGACTTCCTTGCTTTGCTGTGAGCATCACAGCAGTGCGCGAAGGAGGGGGCAGGCAGGGGAAAGGGGTAGGCTTGTGTGAATGGCTGCTGTGAATTTTAATTCAATTCAGTCTGGCTGGCTTACTGAATCAATGTTGGGAAAACATAGCGCTCTCCTGGGAGGAGAGGTGTTTGGTATAAATAGAAGGTATTATCATTAAGAGGCAATTAGGGGACGTCATGTCGCTCAATACAGCGCAAGGCAGCAGCCAGAGCCCCAGCCGTGGGCTGCAGAGCTACAAGGAACTGCTTTCATTTACTTGTCCCTGGAGAAAAAGACTTTCCTCCATTCCAGGGCTCTCTCTGGTCCCTTAGCCCCTTCTCTGCTGGATAAATTGAGCCACCTTATTCTCAGGGGTTGCTCGATGGGGTCGTAACCACACCAGTGAACTAACCATAGAAAGGGGTTACCATTCTCCACTCAAACTCTGAGCAAGAGCATTGCCTTCCCTCACATACCACCTTACTCTTTCTAAACAGCTTTATTGAGGTACAACTTACATAGCATACAATTTACCCATTTAAAGTATATGATTTGTCCAGGGGCGGTGACTCGCGCCTGTAATTTCAGCACTTTGGGAGGCTGAGGCAGGCAGATCACCTGAGGTCAGAAGTTTAAGACCAGCCTGGCCAACATGGTGAAACCGTGTCTCTACTAAAAATACAAAAACTTAGCCAGGAGTGGTGGCAGGTGCCTATAATCCCAGCTACTCGGGAGGCTGAGACAGGAGAGTTACTTGAACCCGGGAGGTGGAGGTTGCAGTGAGCTGAAGTCATGCCATTGCACTCTAGCCTAGGCAACAATAGTGAAACTCTGCCTCAAAAAAAAAATAATAATAATAAATAAAAAATAAAGTGTATGATTCAATGGTTTCTAGTATATTCACAGATATATGCAACCATCACCACAATTTTAGAACATTATCACCCCCAAAAAGAATTTTATATCCTTTAGCTGTCACCTGTCCATCTCCCCAACACATGCCAGTCCTAAGCAAAAACTAATCTACTTTCTGTCCCTACAGAGACTTATTCTGGACATTTTATGTAAATGGAATCATATCATATGTGGCCTTTATGACTGCCTTCTTTCACTTAAACATAATGTTTTCAAGGTTCATTTATGTTTTGGCATGTATCGTTAATTCCTTTTTATGGCTAAATAATATTCCACTGTATGGATATACTACGTTTTGTTTATCGGTTCATCAGTTACTGGGCAGGCATGTGGGTTATTTCTACCTTTTGACTACCATGAGCAAGTTTTTGTGTGGGCATATTTTTCCTTTCCCTTGGGAACATACCCAGGCGTGGAATTGCTGGGTCGTATGGTAACTCCATGTTTAATCATTTGAGGAGTTCCTTCTTGCTCTTTTTAAAAAAACTATTATTTTTTTTTTCCAGGACACAGAGATGCCAGAGAAATGCGGTCAGTTCTTCCTCCTCCTCGTTCTTAACAACACTTATTAAATAACTACTACTATTAACTGGGGACCTGCTGGGCAATCATTTAGCAAGTATCTCTTTAGCCCTTTTTATGTTCCAGGCACTGTTCTGGAAGCTGGGGGACAGCAGAATGGTGAATGGTGAGTCAGCGATGTTGCTTCACCACTATGAGGACTTTGGCTTTTACCCTGAATAGGATGCAAATAACTTGGAGGTTTGTTTTTTCTGTACAGGTTTATTGAGATATAATTGACAAAACTCAATAAACTACACACAAAGTGTACAATTTCATGAGTTTTGGTGTGTGTGTATATACACACGAAACCATCACCACCATCAAGATAATGAACATCTTCCCCCAAAAGCTTCATTGTTGTGCTTGGCGATTCCTCCCTCCTGCCTGTCTGTCCCTACCCACCTATCTTGAGTCAACCATTGAGCAAACTACAGATTAGTTGCATTTTCTAGAATGGAATAGTATGTGGTCTTTTTTAGTGTCGCTTTTAAAATTTGGCATAATTGTTTTGAGGTTTATCCATATTGTTGCTTATATTAGTAGTTCATTTCTTTTTATTGTTGACTAGTAGTTCATTCTATGGATGTGCCGCAATTTGTCTATCCATTCCCCAGTTGATGGACATTAGGGTTCTTCCATGTGGGATCTTATGGCAGATGTATGTTTAAGTTTATAAGAAACTATCAAACTGTTTTCCTAAGTGATTGTATTATTTTATACTCCCACCAGCAGTATATAAAAGTACTATCGATTGCAGTTTTTTTCCAACACTTGGAATGGCCCATCTTTTAAATTGTAACCATTCTAATAGGTATGTAATGATATCTCATCATGATTTAAATTTGCATTTCTCAGTGACTGGTGATGTTGAGCATCTTCTCATATGTTTGTTTGCCATCTGTTTATCTTCTTTAAAGAAGTGTCTGTCTAAATCTTCTGCTCTTTTTTTTTTAAGTTGGGTTTCATGTTTTCTTATTATCGAATTCAGAGAGTTCTTTATTAAGAGTCCTCTCAACAATGTTTTGTAGTTTCCAGCATGCATCTCTATAGGATATCTGTGCTCCCACATACCCTGGTGTGGAATCACCGCCTCCTGGGTGGGCTCAAGGCATATTGCTATGGTTACCCGCCAGGCACGGCGGCTCACGCCTGTAATCCCAGCACTTTGGGAGGCCAAGGCGGGCGGATCACCTGAGGTCGGGAGTTAAAGACCAGCCTGACCAACATGGAGAAACTTCGTCTCTACTGAAAATACAAAATTAGCCAGGTGTGGTGGCGCATGCTTGTAATCCCAGCTACTCAGGAGGCTGAGGCAGGAGAATCGCTTGAACCCGGGAGGCAGAGTTTGTGGTGAGCCGTGATCACGCCATTGCACTCTAGCCTAGGTAACAAGAGTGAAACTCTGTCTCAAAAAAAAAAAAAAAAAATAGTTACCCAATTGACTGATACAGCAAGAATTTTCTCCTGGGGCCACTTGCTGGGATCATGGAGATCCTTATTAATACATGGTATCAGCAGCTGCCTATTCTCCCTGCCAGGGAGTACCCTGTGGCCACCACAGGGAATGATGAGCCTTTCTGGCTGCCATCCTACAGACCTGCAAGAGCAGCCCAAGTGCCTTGGAGCTTTATGGCATCCAATTCCAAGTAGCAAGGTTAACCCTATAGGAGAGGAATAGCTTTTCCTCACCCATTGCTAGGTTCACAGCTGAGGTCCCGATAACAAAAGATAGATCAACAAGAGATCTATCAGATCAACAAGAGAAAAGATCAACAAGAGAAAAGTATAAAAGTATTTAGTAAGTTTTATGTGAAACCGATTACAGTTTATAAGGAAATGAAGACACAAAGAAACAGTAAAACCTGTGGATTTTTAATGCTAGGTTTGATGAAGAAGTGAATGACGGCGGTGAAGTATGATTGGATTAGAAGTATGATCTAATGCTAACAAACTAGGGGAGCTTAGCAAGGCCCATTTGTTTGGTTCCCCTCTGTGACCCTTTGTCTTCAGAGATGAGAATGTTCCTTACCTCTCACACGAGGGTCTTCTGATCCGCTGTAGGGGAGGGCAGAAAAATCTTTCCTAGATCAGATGGCCTGCTTCAGGGGAGAAGAGGGGAAGGTGAAAGTGATCTTCCTACTTCCACTGTTTTGCAAATGCCAAGATACCATATTTGGGGGTAGCATGCCCTGAACCCCATCAAGCCAATCTTTCAGAGAGCCAGCTCCTTCCTCCCACATGGCATTGTGCTTCCTGACATGGGCTTGTCAATGCAGCTCTGCCTGTGTCCCCTGAATCATTTTCTTGGCTACTACTATAACTTTTTCCAGGAACACACCCACAGATGAGAAATAGCTAGACCAATGTTGTTGATGCCAAAAGCCAAGAATTAGTGGTGGCAGGGTGAATCTGGAGCCCAGAAGAACTTCTGTGAATCTTCCACGGGGTGTTTCTAAGATTGGTCTACTCCCCTCCCCCATGCCCCATTATCTCATGCTGGGTTAAAACCATAGATGCCAGGCTCATCTCCTTGCCTCTAGACTCTTATCTTTAAGCATTGCTGCACAGTATGGGCCAGATTCATTCTCTTCTGTTACAATAACCATCATCTTGCTTCCCTGTTCAGGAACCATCCATGGCTGGGGACAGCGGCTCACGCCTGTAATCCTAGCACTTTGGGAGTTTGAGGCAGGTGGATCACTTGAGGTTAGGAGTTGGAAATGAGCCTGACCAACATGGTGAAACCCTGCCTCTACTAAAAATACAAAAAAATTAACCAGGCATGGTGGCAGGCACCTGTAATCCCAGCTACTTGGGAGGCTGAGGTAGGAGAATTGCATGAACCTGGGAGGTGGAGGTTGCAGTGAGCTGAGATTGCACCATTACACTCCAGCCTGGGTAACAGAGTAAGACTCCATCTCAGAAAGGAAAAAAAAAAAAAAAAAAGAACCATCCATGACTCCTCTGTGCCCTCAGGATGAGTTCTAAACTCTTGGCCTCATGTTCAAGAAAGCCCAACACCTGGTCCTTCCCTGTGTGTCCCAAATACTCTGCTCCAGCCAGCCCAGTTTTCTTGCAGGCCCCAGCATGCTCCTACCTCTAAGCATTTCTCATGTATGCCCTGTCCTGTCCCTCCCCACACCCACCTGCCCAAATCTCACCTCTCCTTAAAGGTCAGTGCGAATCCTAGTTTTCTATGAAGTGTTACCAACAATTATGGCCGACTTCACCATCTTCTGTTCCTTAGGGTTAATCAGAGGTTTTATTTTAGAACTTGCTTTCACTTTTATTAGTTCTATTAGTTCTTTATTAGTTATTAGTTCTATTTATCAGTTCTATTAGCTCCCTTTTAGTGAGGCTATGCTAGACACGACACATATACACACACACTTGTACTTTTTTTGCTTGGTTTATACATGTTGGTTCCTCATAAGAGTTGTTCTAACTCAAACAGCAAAAGTCTGGACTCCCAGAAACTCTGTTTGTAGATGCCAACATGGGGATTCAGAGAGCCCAGGTAACTTGCTCACGTCCTACAATGAGTGAGTGTTGTGGGTGGGCTTTGAGCCCATGCCCACCCCCTTCCTGCTCTCACATGACCTCCCATGGCCCTGGAGGACAGGCAGGGCTGAGAGCCTCGAGCTGCAGGGGAAGAGAACTGAAGCACAGAGAGGTTGCTCCCTTCAAGGACACATGGGAGCAAATGGCAACCAAACGTGGAAAGTGGGTCCATTTTAAAAAGAATTATAGAAAAACACTACATAAAATTTACTATTTTAACCTTTTTAAATGAATAATTTGGTGGCAATAAGTATACTCCCAATGTCGTACAACATCCTCACTATCTAATTCCAAAACATTTTCATCGCTCCGAAAGGAAACGTTGTACCCATTAAGCAGTCCCTCCCTGTTACCTCCTCCCCCAGCCCCTCATAACCATGAATCTGCCTGTGTCTCTGTGTATGTGCCCATTCTGGACATCTCAAAGAAGTGAAATCATATGATATGTGGCCTTGTGTTTCTAGGCTTTTTCACTGGGCCCTTTCATTTTAATGCTGCACTTGTGGTAGCTCATCTGGGTTGTAGTGAAAAATTATGTGTCAAGTGGCTGTATCAAAATGGAATGAACCTTTTCTCTTGCTGATCTCTCTTTTGTTATAGAGACCTCAGCTGTGATGTTGCTCAGCCTGGAATCTAGGTTTTCTGATGCCTATTGGTGAAGAAAATGCATCCCACTGCCTGCCCCAGTGCTTTAAGTTTGACCCCTAGCCTTGAATTGCCTCTATTTCATGAGGTCTATCTGTCTTCTTGCTTTTCTTCCAGACCCTACTCCCACCCGAAACACACAGCCCCTGACACAGAGCTGGGCATGTGTGGGCTCTCACTAGCGCTGGCTGAACTGCCTGCACCGGCAGGGCATCTGGCCTCCTTCAGCGGAGAGGGCCCAGCAAGCAGGACTCCGACCGCCTCCACTACTCCAGCTGAATTCCAGCCCCTGCTCTCCCGTCTCCAGGTCAGAACATCAGCATTTGAACTTGAGTACTTCCCCCATGCCTGTCCTGCGGGACTTGGGGCTTGTACTCCCTCTGAGGTTGGACCACCCTGAATTGGGGTTTTCCAGCTAGAAGAATCCCTCCACAGAAGCTTGAATTTTCCTTCTGTTCTCTCCTTTGCTCTGTACTTCTCAGCAAAAAGCATCACCTATAAATGTGAAGGCTGATTAATTCTAAGTCTGGGGCTAGTGTTAATACAGACACAGCTGGCGAGATACAGAATTAAATAAACACAAGGTCCTCTGCTGACTCAGCAGTTGGTGGAACAGGGGATAAGCCCTTGGGCATTCTAGAAAGTTCTGCCTGCCCAGTGGTAATTTTCCCTTTCAGGTTTCTTACCTGGAAAGAAATTCCCAGCCACTCTTGCCAGCCTGTCTATTTCACTAAGCCAGAGAACATATTTTGTTGTAAGAGATTTGAACATTACTTTCTGCTCTCAAGGGACCCCCCTCTATCAAGTCCAATTTTCTGTCCCTGCCTTTACCATTAGAGAGTCTCTTTGGTGGAGCAAGGCAGTACCCTCTCTATGCTTTTTTAGTGTCTGGTAGAGGCAGTGCCAAGGGGTGGCTGGGAGGATGGTTAGCTACCAGCTCCATTTCTTTTTTTTTTTTTTCTTTTTTTGAGAGAGAGTCTCACTCTGTTGCCCAGGCTGTAGTGCAGTGGCACAATCTCGGCTCACTGCAACCTCCGCTGCCCGTGTTCAAGCGATTCTCCTGCCTCAGCCTCCCAGGTAGCTGGGATCACAGGCACCTGCCACCGTGCCTGGCTAATTTTTGTAGTTTTTAGTAGAGATGGGGTTTCACCATCTTGGCCAAGCTGGTCTTGAACTCCTGACCTCGTGATCCACCTGCCTCAGCCTCCCAAAGTGCTGGGATTACAGGCATGAGCCACAGCGCCCGGCCGCCATTTGAGAATAAAAACACTGCACTTTATAATGCTAGCACTGTTTCCACCCAAATCTGCCATCGTCCTTCTTCCAACCAATTGCCCTCCCTAAATCCTTTCTAGATAGACATTCCGTAGTCACACCACCCCTCGTATGAATGAGTTGATCAGGCCTTTCCCTTTGCGGGAGGCACAGCTTGCAGGCCCATTTTAGTTGCTGGGTCTCTGCATCTCAAATTCTGGGCATGAATATGGGTAAATTTTTCATCTGTGTCCTACATGCCTCTGTGCACATGCAACGTGCAGACTGTTCACCCCTTCCAGGCAGCTTTCAGACTTTGCTTCACTGTGATCAGCAGTGGGTATAAGGGATGGTGTGCATGTACAGATCCCAAGTACAGCATTGGCTTGGGGTCTCATGCCCTCTGGCTTGTTCCTTAGGCTTTCATAGGCCTACATAAGTGACTGATGTATTTCCTCTCTTTTTTTTTTTCGGGGTCTTGCTCTATTATCCAGGCTGGAGTGCACTGGCACCATTATAGCTCACTCCAGCCTTGAATTCCTGGGCTCAAGCTCCTCCTGCCTCAGCTTCCTGAGTAGTTGGGACTACAGGTGCCTGGCACCAAGGCCACCTTGTATTTCCCCTCTTGCCACCTTACCCTGAATGTGATCTGAGATCCAACAGTTTCTTTCCTGGCCATTTTATTTGTTCAAATTGTTAGGCTGTTACAAAAGATGCTACAATGATCATCTTTGTGCCTTCCATCTGTCATTGAAGTAACCTCAATGGGAGCCATGCAGACAGGGAAGGATGTTCAGAATCCAGTTGGATTTAAATATATTCAAGAGGTGTGGCCCCGACAGATTGGAAGAGCATAAAAAGAATTCAGAATAGTATTAAGCAGTCAATAGAGGACTTTTAATGCAGAGGGGAAGGATCTGGGTTGCTGGTGAGGGGCTGGTTTTGTAAACTCAAATCAGGCTTGATAATTGGGGAAGATATAAAAGGTAAGGAAGATATAACCCAGAGCACAGGCTGTGAGACCACCCCATTTGGAGGGTTTGAACTGGGAATCACAAAGTTTAGGCACAACTTCTACATAATCGGGCTCAAGTTATTTGTTGTTGTCATGAGAAAAATTTTCCTGGGTGTCTATAGCTCCAGATCTCATGACCCAGCCAAAAATATGGTCTATGAGCAACCCAGCCTAACAAGAGGGTCATCCAATTTGCTTGGAATGTTAATCCCAATTTCTTGCAATGGTAAAAATATTTTTTTTTCTTAGTGAATTAGAGTCTTTAACCCAGAGGAAGTTTACACTTAATTGTGGATATAGGCCAGGCTTGGTGGCTCACGCCTGTAATCCCAGCCCTTTGGAAGGCCAAGACAGGTGGATCACTTGAGGCCAGGAGTTCAAGACTAGCCTGGCCAACATGGTGAAACCCCTGTCTCAACTAAAAATACAAAAATTAGCCGGGCATGGCGGCATGTTCCTGTAATCCCAGCTACTCAGGAGGCTGAGGCAGGAGAATTGCCTGAACCCAGGAGGTAGAGGTTGCAGTGGGCTGAGATTGAGCCACTGCACTCCAGCCTGGGTGACAGAGCAAGACTCCATCTCAAAACAAAACAAAACAAAATTAATTATGGATATAAAAATGCAAATAAAAATAATAATATTACTAGTTTTTTAAAAATTAAGTTTAGGAATAATCCATGTATATTTGGTGTTCTTAAAGTGCTTGTTAAGAGTAATTAATAAGTTAGCCTCATGAGATGGTCTTTTCCTACCCCTCCCCTACAGTGCTTAAAACAATAACAGCATTAATTTTGCTCTCTTTACGTAGCAAAATTGAGGCCTGCCCAATTTCAAGGGGAAGAGAAATAAAGCCCCACTTCTTCTTAGGGGGCAGGCAATATTGTAGTGGTCCTCCAGGGCCATCGGCTTCCCCTGACATTCCCCTTGAGTCCCTTTAGGTTTTCATTAACCCCTTCATCAAGATGCTTCCAGCCTCCATTGCCACCTAGTCCCAAGTTGCATTCTTTGGGTTTCATTATGGTAGTATCCCACTTCCAGGTATCTAAGTCTATGTCAAGTATTAATTGCTGAGCAATAAACCATCCCCAAACATAGTAGCTCAAAACAACTAATTTTTCTCATGGGTCTTCAATTTGGGGGAGACTTGGTGGGGATAGCTTATCTCTGCCCCACACCATACTAACTGGAGCAGCTTGAAGGCAGGGGCCTGGGTCCTCTGGAGGCGCAATCACTCACCGATCTGGCAGCTGGTCCTGGCTGTGGACTGGAGCCTTAGCTGGGGCCTTAGCCAGCAAATCTATACCTACCTTCCCCATGTGGCCTGGGCTTCCTCACACCATGGTGGCTGGGTTCCAAGGGCATGCGTCCTGAGAGAGGCAGGTATAAGCAATATATCCTGTTATGGCCTAGAGTCATGAACTACACAGCATTGCTTCCAGCACATTCTGCACAGAAGTAGTCACGAAGGCCCAGCCAATTTCAAAAGGAGGGAAAACAGACTCTGCCTTTTGGTTGGGAAGCAGCAGTGTTCTAGAAGAACACGTGGGACCAAGATGTGGCCATTTTGAGAAATTGTAATCTGTCACAATTTTGTACAGGTCTGTCATCGGCTGTGACCTACCCTGGGGTGGAGGGTGGTGGGGGGTGAATACAAACACCCAGGTGCTTTCGGCTGAGAAAAGGATCTGCAGTAACTGAAAGGTTATCTTCTTAAGATAGTCACTGGTATGGGGTGTTCATAATAAAGGCATATAGAAGTTGAGGAAGAGATGCTCAGAAATACTCAAGGGTAGGTTTAGGGCTTATGGGAAGCATCACCAGTGTCTGCTACAGGATAGTAAAACAAAATACTAGGCCCAGCATGGTGGCTCATGCTTGTAATCCCAGCACTTTGGGAGGCCGAGGAAGGCAGATCACTTGAGGTCAGGAGTTCCAGACCAGCCTGGCCAACATGGCAGAACCCCGTCTCTACTAAAATTACAAAAATTAGCCAGGCATGGTGGTGGGCACCTGTAGTCCCAGCTACTCAGGGGGCTGAGGCAGGAGAATAGCTTGAACCCAGAAGGTGGAGGTTGCAGTGAGCTGAGATCGCGCCACTGCACTCCAGCCTGGAAGAGAGTGAGACTCCATCTCAAAAAAAAAAAAAAAAAAATACTGTTGGTTCAGAAGTCAGGCCCAGCTGTAGTGGTTCGCATCTGTAATTCCAGCTCTTTGGGAGGCAGAGGCAAGAGATCACTTGAGGCCAGGAGTTCAAGACCTTGCTATGCGCAACATAGCAAGACCCAGTCTCTATGAAAAAGTTTTAAAAATTAGCCAGGTGGTATGCGCCTGAAGGCTAAGATGAGAGAATTGCTTGATCTCAGGAGTCTGAGGCTGCAGAGAGCTATGATCATACCATTGTACTCTAGCCTGGATGACAGAGTGAGAGCTTGATTCTACAAAAAAAAAAAAAAAAAAAAAAGTCAGGGTGAATTATATTCCCTCATGTGATCACAGAAGGCAGAGAAGAGGGAACCCGACATCTCAGTCTTTCAGGAAACATTAAGTGACAGAAAATGTGAACCTGAGATCGGCTTGGTGCCCTGCTATAACTGAGAGCTGGCCTGACCCCGTGTGTCCATCTCTCAAATCTTTCTGGTCTCTTCCCACTGAAGGGATGGACCAGTGGCTCTCCACTAAATCATGCCATCATTTTGTCATAACTTGTTTTGATCCAACATAGAGTGTAAATCAATCATTTTGTTTTTACACATGGTCCCATATGCACGCAAAATAAGGAAGTCTTTATCCACTGAACATATTGTTTAAATAACAGCTACCAAAATACATTTAAAGATCTTTATTGGGATACTAAGACTGTAGCATTTTGGGTATGGTGAACTAGCTTCTCTGAGAAAACAATAGGCAAGATCTTTTTTCTAAGGGTGAGTGGGTGGAAGGACGGAAGGTGGGCATGAAGTAGCTAAAGAGCACATGCCCCAGCTGTTAAAGCCAGGGTGTTTAATGTATTAGGTAAGACGGTGCCATGGAATAGAATTTTCCACTATAAAATTTTTCACTCTATACCAAACCTAGAAGTTTTTCTCCTACTGCCAAAACCTCACAGTAAGGTGAGGATAGACCCCTCCACCATCACAGTGTGGCTTTGAGGAAGGAAGTGAGGCCTCACAGAGGGCAGGGAAGGAGTGGGAGCCATTTCTAGACACAGAAGACATCCTTTATTCTAAAAAGTGGTCTCCTAAGGAGTCTGCCACCTCCAGTTCTGACATCACAGGGAGATGAGCCTGCCAAGCTGCCTCAGTTTCCTCAATGCAATGGTGACGTGACTGGTCTGAAGAGACACTTAGTGGGGAAGGAACACTCAAGGATCACTTGTGCTTGGCTGTTTAATTTGCGAACCACACCTCCCAGCCCTTGCCAGGAGGACTGGACAGGCCATGGCGCTCACATGATCTGACAGAAATATCCAGTGGGCATTTCTAGAGGTGGTCAGGCTCCAGCCTCTTTAAGCGCCCAGGTCTGTGGCTGTGACCTCCATGGCTAGATGCTGCCTATTTCTCTTCTAGATCAAGGCTTTCTTCTCCTGGTCCATCTCAGAAT
The DNA here is from genome assembly GCF_000001405.40 of Homo sapiens. NCBI lineage: Eukaryota > Metazoa > Chordata > Mammalia > Primates > Hominidae > Homo > Homo sapiens. The sequence continues at coordinate 47,613,144 of NC_000002.12, forward strand.
CTTTAATGGAGATAATGTAATATACAAAGTACCTTCTTTGAGAAAATTGCTCATGTAATTCCTGGCCTCTGTCTCCTTGGAAAAATAATGAATGGTCCCAAACCATAAGAGAAAGCCATTGTACAACCTCAACACACATGTCTGGGCAGCCCTAAGGAGAAGGACTGCCAACGCCGGAGAAATACAGCGACTTTCCATTGGATTTCAGGGTCATGCTTGGCCCAGCTGCTGTCTCTTTTTTCTTCTCTGGTGGAGGCCAAGGGACCCTTCAGATGGACTCTGGGATTTGTTGCTACAGCTGTCTCCTAGAGCAATGGAAAATGAACCAGATTTGGAAATGCAAGACCTGGGGACAGGCCCCAACTCCCCTCTTACTAGCTATGTAACTGGGGCAAATCCCTTAGCCTCTCTAAGCCTGCCTACCTATCCTCACAGGCTGGAGGTGGACCAGATGAGATGGCATGAGAAAGAGCCTGCTGGGTTCTAAAACTCTCTGTCTGGGCTGGGCGTGGTGGCTCACAGCTGTAATCCCAGCATTCTGGGAGGCCAAGCTGGATGGATTGCTTGAGGCCAGGAGTTTGAGACCATCCTGGCCAACATGGTGAAACCCTGTCTCTACTAAAAATACAAAAATTAGCCGGGCATGGTGGCACATGCCTGCGATCCCAGCTACTTGGGAGGCTGAAGCATGAGAGTCACTTGAACCCAAAAGGAGGAGATTCCTCCTGGACAAAATAAAACTTTCTGTCCATATATAGAAGATCGTAAGTGGCACTGGCTCAGCACAAGGCTTCAGGTTCCTCAATTTGGAACATTGAACAGATCAGGTTCTGAGTCCTCTGCAGGATCTTGAAGACAGAATTGACTATTCTCAGTTGACCCCTGGGCTTCCCTCGGGACAGGCTTTATAGCCTCACCCGCTTAATGCATCCCTGAAGCCTCTCAGGCACACAGCATCTCACAGCAGTGCTATTGAGGGTGGACTGTCTGTGGGTATGGGAATTCCATATGGGTGGGTATGATGGATCCCTCCTGCAACTGGCCACTAACACAGAATATAGAGAGCTGGCTTATGGAATTAACGAAGACCTCATAGAAAAGTGAAAATTGGGATGAAATGCCAACATAGCGCTGGGTGCTGAGATACGATCAGTGAACTCAAATTTGTGGCTGGTTTGAGCTGGGCACTCTCCCTCTTCAGCTGCCCAGAGCTCCCACCTACCAGAACCCACTCTCAGGAAAGGCCTGCTGTCAGCCAGTAACTTCCATCTTTGATATCAGTGGAAGTTACTTGACCCTTCTCCTGTGGGTGTCTGCACTCCCAATGCAGAATGGAAGGCATTGGTCCCAAGTTGAGGACCATCAGCCCTCAACTAGCATGTTAGGGATAATCTTTTGGGGCAGGAGGATTGCCCTGGTGTCCTTAAAATTCTTCCCTTTCTCTGTCTGAGTCAGGCTGGACTTGGAGAACCCTGAGATCTGGGCTGTGAAACGTCTCAGGGATTACTTTCCACTTTCGGATGAAATAAACAAATATAGAGAAGTGTCATCTCCTCCACCACTATAAAAATGGGGAGCCACCCAGCCCCCCAGGGCTCATCTGACAGCTGTAAACACCACCAGCTGAAACCCAGGTGGTGTGCTCAGCTTTCTGTTGAAAGAGGCACTTTAGAATGAGACCTTCTCAAGGTCAAAGGCCTTGAGTCCAGACTGGGAAAGAGCCCAATGTGCGGTGTGATTTCAGGGGCTGGGAAGGAAGCCTCCTCTCCCCACCACCAAACTTGAAAAAAAAAATAGTTCTAATCTGATCCTTGGGCTGTGTTTAAAATGCAAATTCCCCTGGGAGGGTCACAGTACTTTAAGTTTCTGGTGATTTACCTTGCAGTGTGAATGAGTCCCAGACCTATTCTTGGAAGTTTTTATTGGAATAACCAGGTGAGCTCTGAAGGATATTCAAGGACAGAGTTAGCTACGATAATAGAGTGCTGCTGGGGGCCGGGCAGGATTAGACACTAAAGTATATTTTCTCATGTTGGTCTCACAATAACTATGTAGAGTTGGGCTTATCCTTATTGTATAAACGAGGAAACTGAGGCACAGACAAGCAAATTATCTAAGATCAGTCAGCCAGGAGTAGACACAGCTGGGACTGGAAGCCAGGTCTGCTTGGCCCCAAAGCAGTGAGGATCTCATGGGCCTACACTCCTCTAAGGCAGAGGAGAGGAGGGTGCTGATAGTATCAGAAGGGAAGAATGGGATCCAAACAGCAGATGAAACATCATCAGGCTGTGAGCCTCCTAATGCACAGCTCCAGGGCTTCAAGGAGAGGCTGTTCCAAACCACCCTCAAGGCCACCATGTGCCCTGCACAGTGGGTGGTGCTCTGAGTCTAGAAAGGAGAAAACCTAGAGCAGTGGTTCTCAATCTTGGGTGTTGTCAGGGAGCTTGTGGACACACACATTGCTGGGCCCCATCCCCAGAATTTCTGACTCAGTAGGTCCAAAGGGAAGGGTCAAATTTGCAATTTACACAATATCCCAGGCGATGCTAACCCTGCTGATCTGGGGACCACACTTTGCAAACCACCTGAGTTAGTGCCCATCTCAAGGAGTTTCTCTCTGTTGAGGTCAAGATATGTACCGGTAACCAGCAGAGAGATTTAGTAGATGGGAGTGGGGGAAGCTGCTGTAATAAAGAGACCCTACAATAAATCAGTGGCTTAAAGAAGATCAAAGTTTCTCCCTTAGGTGACAGTCTGCAGTGGATGTTGTGGTGCACCACCCAGACCCTTTCTTCATCCATTTCCCCAGCTGCTGGGTGCATTGGTTGTTGAGGGCTCTTAGCTTAGTCCCTCTCTGGGAATTACCCTTGGAAAAAGGGGGCTGCCTCACCCAAGTTGTGCCCCTTTTGGGAGCAGCCTTTATCCAAAAAGGACTAGTAGGTATGGCGTAAAAAGTTTCCATCCCCATGCCTCAGTCTAGGACATCTTGGAAGGGCCATCCCAGGTCTAGAGCTCCCCACTGGATCAGTGCAGGGCTCTTGCCAAACTTCACTGTGGTTCAGTTTCTCCTGCCCTGCCACTTACAGGTGCTCCTCCTGAGAGCTTTCCCCAGCAAACCTCTTGGGGAGTCTGTTCCTAGTCAACTGATCTAAGATACAGTCAAAGTGAGCATTACTGGTTGGCAGGTAGCTTTGCTGCCCTTGATCATTGAGGGACCCAAGTTTTTTCCATCTTGTTCTTTATCCCTTCAGCTTTGTCCCAGGTTGAAGCCAGGTTGCAGGCCCCTCTGTGCTCCAGCTTTGTGGGAAATGGAAAGAGAATGTAGAGGAAACACACTGTGCCTTAAGACATCGGCCTGGAAGTGGCACACATCGCTTCTACCACTTCACTGTTTCTTAAAACATAGTCACGGGGCTCCACACAAGGAGGCTAGGAAGCACCCAGCAGCTGGGCAGCCTGGTAGGCTACGCCTGCTACTTTGGAAGAAGAGTAAAAGAGAGGGTGGTGGGTGGCCAGGAGTCTCCATGGCAACCTCTGAATAAGAATTTGTGTAGCCCTGAGAATCTGTACCACAAAGCTCGTTAGATAGGGCCGCAGGTGTGAGCCATTTACTGGGCACAAAGACCCCTACAGCACTGTCATTCATGTGGACAAAAATTTCTAGAGCTACTTAGGCATTGCTCACTAGGGACTCTCCATAAAAAGCAGCACTGCAGGTTTTGCACAATACTCTTGTGCTGGCCATAACTTGTCATTTCTTCTCCATTCAAGACAGCTTAGCTGGACATAAGTGAGACAAAGTAACACGACAGAGATAACCTTCAACAGACTCAGTCAAAGAAAATGATTCCCAAGCTTCAATTTTTTTTTTTATTAATCACAAATTACTTGTAAAAGTCTTCCATCTGATCAAGACGAGTGGTTGCCTGATTTTGCTTGTGCCCTCCCCACTTGAGAGCGGGGCAAGCAGTGTGGGTTTGACAGTGCCGACGGGGAGGGCTGGCTTATTGCACCCGGATAGGGCAGACAATCCTTGGCTGTCACGGAAGTCTTGTCAAAGGCCCAAGCAAAGGGTCACATCATACTGACCCTACCATCCCCCTGGCTTAGAGTTCACAGTCCGTCTTTGTTATAACTTTGCTGCAAACACCCTCAACTTGTTTGCCTCCCTCCCACTCTGACAAGCCTTTGTCTCCTCCATTCTGTGCCTGAGATGCCAAACATTGCTGGAGAGAATCTTATATTTGGGCCAATTCACTTAATGTTTATTACCCTAAACCTCAAATGTGCAGGCAACACCATGGGGCAGTTTTTGCCTTGCATGCCTCCTCAGGAAATTCCTGCACAGCTTCCCACTCAGCCCCCACATCCACTTTCCCTCTCCATTCCAGCCCTTTGCAGGCGCCTTGTTCTTCATGGAGAAAATAGAAAGCATTAGAGGAGACTCCTTCTCCAATCTCTCACCAATACCACCAGTGCCCACTGCACCTCACCCCAGTCTCTAGTTTCTGTCTAAGGCCAACCCCTCCTCTTGGTCTATAAATCTTATCCCCAAGTCCTGAGTTTACATTGGCAGCCCTGCCGGCAGACTCAATACTGAGCTGTCTGCTCAGCATCCGCACTGGGTGTCCAGTGGCAGAGGGAAAGCAAGGGCTGTGCTGGGGAGACGAGTGATGGGGAAAAGCTGTGGGAGGCCACCTCCACCAGGAGTGAGTGACCCACTGCCTCCCAAATACCTCTGATGGGAGGGTTATGCAAAGCCCCCCTCAATTCTACTCCCAACAGGCCACACTCTTTGGCCTTGGAGCCGATGGCCTCCCTGGAGGTGACTTCTAAGACTGGCTCTCTTCCCGAGCGGGTGGGAGAGTTGGGGCTAGGCTTCGGTGCTTGTCCTTCTCTATCTCAGGGGGTGCCAAATTGCCTGAGGCCCAAGCCGTGCCAGGGAAAATTTGCTGACAGGCCTGTGTCCCGGTGTCCCTTCTGGGGAAGGGAAGGGAGGCACCAGCTGGGTGAGGAGGGAGTGCTCTCGCAGAGGAGCCCCTCCCGCCTGCCCTGCCTGGGGGCGCCAAGAGCTCCAGGTTCTAGATCAGCAGCAGAGGCATCTCAGTAAGAAGCTGCCTGGTGCCGGGTGAGGGGCAGTCTCTTTACTCACCCTGCTCCTGGCCTGTCCTCTCTCCGACTCCCCACACTGTCCAACTGGTTTGTTCCTTGGCCAGCATCTGGGAGCCAATTTATTCAGCCCTGAGGTTTGTTTTGTTAAGGACTTTAAAATGTATTAAGAAATGCGCGAAGAGCTTTGTCATCACTTTTCCCTTTCTAACGTACCTGAGCAATTGGATCAGGAAGTCCTTGCCTGCCTGTCCTCCTGGCGGACCACCAGAGCTAGCCGAAGTCCCAAAATGGGGCAAGAAGGTAGGGCTGTGTCCCCTTCAAGCCACTCCTCTGGCCAAATAGCCTGGGCTGTAGCAATCTGAGCCAGGAGGGGTGTTCATGGAGGAGGGTGTGATGGCTCGTGGCTGTAATCCCAGCACTTTGGGAGGCCAAGGTGGGTGGATCACCTGAGGTCAGGAGTTTGAGACCAGCTTGGCCACCATGCCGAAACCCCATCTCTACTAAAAATACAAAAATTACCCGGGCATGGTGGTGCATGCCTGTAATCCCAGCTACTCAGTAGGCTGAGGCAGGAGAATCGCTTGAACCTGGAGGGCATAGACAAGAGGTGGGCCCAGGTCTCTCTTAGGAGTTCTCCCTGTGGCTGTGGAGAGAATGCCTGATGTTTCTCTCATCTTAGCCCAGGCACTGAAGAGAGAATGCTTGTCTCAAAATGAGTTCAGAGGCTTTTATGGATTCAGTTGTATCTCCCTCCAAAGAGGTATGTTGAAGTCCTAACCCCTGGTACCTCAGAATGTCACCTCACTTGGAAATAGCATTGTCATGGATATAATTAGTTAAGATGAAGTCACGTTGGAGGAAGGGTCCCTAATTTAATGTGAGTGGTATCTATTTTTTTTTTTTTTTTTGGCATGGTCTCACCGTGTCACCCAGGCTGGAGTGTAGTAGTGTGATCATAGCTCACTGCAGCCTTGAACTCCTGGGCTCAAGGGATCCTCCCATCTCAGCCTCCTGAGTAGCTGGGACTATTGTGACCTACCATGATGACTGGCTAATTTTAAAACAATATTTTTTAGAGATGGGGTCTTGCTATGTTGTCCAGGCTGGTCTCAAATTCCTGGCTCAAGCAGTCCTCCACCTTGGCCTCCCAAAGTACTGGGATTACAGATGTGAGCTACTGTGCCCAGCCTAATGTGACTGGTATTTTTAAAAGAAGAGGTCAGGCTGGGCATGATGGCTCATGGCTGTAATCCCAGAACTTTGGGAGGCCGAGGTGGGTGGATCACCTGAGGTCAGGAGTTTGAGACCAGCCTGGCCACCATGCCGAAACCCCATCTCTACTAAAAATACAAAAATTAACCGGGCATGGTGGTGCATGCCTGTAATCCCAACTACTCAGGAAGCTGAGGCAGGAGAATCGCTTGAACCTGGGGGGCGGAGGTTGCAGTGAGCCAAGATCGTGCCATTGCACTCCAGCCTGGGCAACAGAGCAAGACTCTGTCTCAAAAAATAAATAAATAAATAAATAAATAAATAAATAAAACAAAATAAAATAAAAGAAGAGGTCAGAGTCATGCAGGCTAAAGCCAGCCATTTGACAGTGGAGGCAGAGATGGCAGCAACACATCTCTCTGTAAGCCAAGGAATGCCAAAGGCACCAGAAGCCAGAGAGGCAAAGAAGGATTCTCCCCTACAGGTTTCTGAGGGAGCATGGCCCTGTCAACACCGTGACTTCAGATTTCTAGCCTCCAGAACTGGGAGATGATATATTTTTGTTGCTCTAAGCTACCCAGTTGTGGTGCTTTGTTACAGCAGCCCTAGAAAACTAATACAGAGTTGAAAGCAGCTTCACTCCGCAGCACCCATTTAAACAGGATTTATGTCGTCTGTGCACAGCCAGTTAATGGTCCAACACATCCTGGAGGTTCATCAGTCACTCCAGTCCTGAAAAGCCCTCGATGGAACCTAGTCACCATCAGGACAAGGAGGGTACCTGTGTGTCGAGCCCCACTAGGATCTTGGGCAGAGATCAGGCCTCTGGGGTCAGGGTGGTTAATAGACCTGGACCCTAATCCAGGCTTTCAATATGTGTTCTGCAAAGCCACATTAAGGGCCAACCCTGGGAAATCTATAAGATGCACTGTCTTACTCAAAGTTAATGTGCTTCAGATTAATGTCTCAGCAAAACAGCAGGTTATTATTAAAGGTCACAAACCTTTAAATAAAAGGTTCACAAACCTTCAGAGTTGACTAGAGAATATCTGACTCTATGAATGTTACATCTGTGAATGCTGAGGCTATGGCAATGAATGAGGTATCCTGATACATTCCAGCACATCTGCATCCTACCCTAAATGCCCTGGTTGGTCCTGGATGTGCAGACCTGTCCTCCTTTTCCATGCGTCATGCTTGGGGGCTCTGCTGCACAGCTCTCATGCACACCACCAACCCCATGAAAACTCAGCTCTCCCAAAACCACACCTGGCTAATCTGAGAAACAAATTCAGGTCCTCAGTAATAGTAACACGCCCCATTTGTTCACCTCCTATACCCTGCTCCAGGCAGCATTCCATTTTATCCTCACAATAACTCTGTGAAGTGGCCTGTTATCTCCTTCTTACAGATGAAAACACAGCAGCTCAGAGAGGTTGAGGAGTTGACCCAAGGTCACACAGCTGGTGATGGGCAGAGCTGGAACCAGCCCCAGTCCATGTGACTCCAAAGCTGCAGCTGTCTCCACTCTGTCCTGATGGGAGGGTCACTCTGCCCTCCTCCCAGGAGAGCTGCCTACTTCCCGACAGAGGCCTTTTACAAAATCATAATCCTTGAGAATTTTAGGCAATGTGACGTGCCATGGTTGGAAACCATTGGAGAGGCAAGTCCTTCTAGGGCAGTATTTATGCCTATGAATTCAGGAAAGTCTCAATGCTCAGTTCTGGGTCTATTTTTAGCTCCTCTCCATCTTGCCACTGGCCCAGGAGTGGCCTGAAACTCTGTTGGCCTCCTAGGGCAGCACTGCTGAGCAGATTGGGCTCCATCTATTGAAATGCTCATGGCATTTGAGATGAGGTGCTTTTCCCAATTAATTCTAACCTGTCAGTTTTGATTTTTTTCCTTTGAAGCCCAAATAACAACGTGTCACCTTTCTCGACAAAAAGCCAGCATTGGCGTTGACTTTTCTCTTTGGGCTAGACTCATGGAAGGTGCCAGAATCAGGGAACTGGAGCTTGTTTTTGTGTATATAGGGGAAAAAATCTTGGAGTTACATAGATCATGCAGGATCTATTCCATGGAAAGTAATGCAGCTATTACAATGCCAACGTATTTATTAACATGAAAAGGTGTTTATACTACATTGTGGAGTAACAAAAACTGTGTGTAGTATAATCCATTTTGTATTTCTTTTATCTACTTATCTGTTTTTTTTTTAATCCTAACTTTTCTCCCAAATTAAACATGTATATCAGCTCTTCAAGTGGGGGAAATTTTTTAAAAAAGAAAAGGAAAAGGAAAGAAAATACATACGTGTTTAAATTTATAAGTAAATTTAAATACTACAGCAAATTTACTGTTAAGTGTGGAGCTGTAACAGCAAACCCTGGCCCTGAATTTCAGTGGATACTGGTCTCTCAATCAGTTACAATAAACTTAACATTTGAATAAATTTCTGTGCGGACCCATATTCTATTTATTTAAACTTTTTTTTTTTTTTTCCCTGAGACAGTCTTGCTCTGTCGCCCAGGCTGGAGTGCAGTGGCTCGATCTTGGCTCACTGCAACCTCTGTCTCCCGGGTTCAAGAGGTTTTCCTGCCTCAGCCTCCCAAGTAGCTGGGATTACAGGCACCTGCCACCACACCCAGCTAATTTTCTGTATTTTTAATAGAGACGGAGTTTCGCCATGTTGGCCTGGCTGATCTCAAACTCCTGACCTTATCTGGAACTCTAATCTGCCCGCCTTAGCCTCCCAAAGTGCTGGGATTACAGACATGAGCCACTGCGCCAGGACTCATTTAAACATTTAAAAATTTTATTTTTATTGACATATAATAATTGTACATATTTATGGGGTACAATGTGATGTTCTAATACATGTATACATTGTGTAAAATTCAAATCAGGGTAATTAGCGTATCCTTCACTTCATACATTTATCATTTCTTTGTGGTACGAACATTTGAGATCCTTCTAGCTATTTTGAAATATACAATACAATATTGTTAACCATAGTCACCCTACTGTGCAATAGAACGCCAGAACTTATTTCTTCTATTTAATTAGTTGTTTAAATTTTTAAATTTTGAATTTTTGTGGGTATATAATATGTGTATATATTTATGGGGTACATAAGATATTTTGATACATACATGCAATGCATTATAATCATATCATGGGAAATGGGGTATCCATCAACTCAAGCATTTATGCTTTGTGTTACATACAATCCAATTATACTTTTAGTTATTTCTAAATGTACAATTAAATTGTTATCGACTATAGTCACACTGTTTTGCTGTCAATTACTAGGTCTTATTCATTCTAACTATTTTTTTCTGTACCCATTAATCATCCTGATCTATCCCCTATACCCGCACCACTAGCCTTCCCAGCCTCTAGTAACCATCCTTCCCTTCTCTATATCCATGAGTTCAATTGTTTTGATTTTTAGATCCCACAAATGAGTGACAACATGCAATGCTTTTTTTTTTCTGTACTTGGAGGGCTTATTTCACTTAACATAATGATCTCCAATTCCATGCATATTGTTGCAAATGACAGGATTAATTCTTTTTTTATGACTGAATAGTACTCCACTGTGTATATGTAGCATATTTTCTTCATCTATTCATCTGTTGATGGACACCAAGGGTGCTTCCAAATCTTGGCTATTGTGAACAGTGCAGCAACAAATATGGGAGTGCAGGTATCTCTTTGATATACTGATTTCCTTTTCATTGGGTATATACCCAGCAATGGGATTGCTGTATTGTATGGTAACTCTATTTTTAGTTTTTGGGAGAACGTCCAAACTGTTCTCCATAGTGGTCATACTAATTTACATTTCCACCAACAGTGCATGAGGGTTCCCTTTTCTCCACTTCCTCTCCAGCATGTATTACTGCCTGTCTTTTGGATGAAAGCTATTTTAACTGGTGTGAGATGATATCTCATTGTAGTTTTTTTGTTTTGTTTTGTTTTGAGACAGAGTCTTACTCTGTTGCCCAGGCTGGAGTGCAGTGGCACAATCTCAGCCCACTGCAACCTCCACCTCCTGGGTTCAATGATTCTCCTGCCTCAGCCTCCCAAGTAGCTGGGATTATAGGTGCCCACCACGCCCAGCTAATTTTTGTGTTTTTAGTAGAGACGGGGTTTCACCATGTTGGTCTTGAACTCCTGACCTCAAGTGATCTGTCAAGTGATCTGTCTGCCTCAGCCTCCCAAAGTGCTGGGTTTATAGGTGTGAGCCACTGCGTCCAGCCTCACTGTAGCTTTGATTTGCATTTCTCTGATGATCAGTGATGGGGAACACCTTTTCATATGCCTGTTTGCTATTGTATGTCTTCTTTTGAGAAATGTCTATTCAAATCTTTTGCCCATTTTTTTAGTTAGATTATTAGTTTTTTTTCCTATGAAGCTGTTTAAGCTCCTTATATACTCTGGTAATTAATACTTGTCAGATGAGTCGTTTGCAAATATTTTCCCCCATTGTGTGGGTTGTCTCTTCACTTTGTTGATTGTTTCCTTCACTATGCAGAAGCTTTTTAACTTGATGTGATCCCATTTGTCCATTTTTGATTTGGTTGCCTATGCTTGTGGGGTATTACTCAAGAAATTTTTGCCCAGACCAATGTCCTGGAGAGTTTCCCCAATGTTTTCTTGTAGTAGTTTTATAGTTTGAGGTCTTAAAGTCTTTAATTCATTTTGATTTAATTTTTGTATATGGCAAGAGGTTGGGGTTGAGTTTCAGTCTTCTGCATATAGATATTCAGTTTTCCCAGCACCATTTATTGAAGAGACTGTCTTTTCCCCAGTATATGTTCTTGGCACCTTTGTTGAAAATGAGTTCACTGTGGGTGTGTGGATTTGTTTCTGGGTTCTCTATTCTGTTTCATTGGTCTATATGTTTGTTTTTATGCCAGTACCATGCTGGTTAACAAAACTCTGTAGTATAGTTGAAAGTCAGGTAATGTGATTCCCCCGGATTTTTGGGTTTGTTTTTGTTTTTGTTTTTTGCTTAAGATAGCTTTGGCTATTCCGGGTCTTTTGTGTGGTTTTTTTTTTCTATTTCTGTGAAGAATGTCAGTATTTTGATAGGGATTGCATTGAATCTGTAGAGTGCTTTGGGTTGTATGGACATTTTAACAATATTGATTCTTTCAATTCACGAACATGAAATAGCTTTACTTTTTTTGGTGTTCTTTTCAATTTCTTTCATCAGTGTTTTATAGTTTTCATTGTAGAGATTTTTCATTTCTTTGGTTAATTCCTAGCTACTTAATTTTATTTGTGGCTACTTTAATGGAATTTTTTTTTTCATTTCTTTTTCAGATTGTTCGTTGTTGGCATATAGAAATGCTACTGATTTTTGTATGTTGATTTTGTATCCTGCAAATTTACTGAATTTGTTCACAAGTTTTAATAGTTTTTTGGCAGAGTCTTTAGGTTTTTCCAAATATAAGATCCTATCATCTGCACATAAAGATAGTTTGACTTCTTCCTTTCCAGCCTGGGTGCCCTTTATTTCTTCCTCTTGTCTGATTGCTCTAGCTAGGACTTCCAGTACTATGTTGAATAACAGTGGTGAAAGTGGGCATCCTTGTCATGTTCCAGATCTTAGAGGAAAGGCTTTCAGTTTTTCCCCATTCAGTATGTTATTAGCTGTGAGCCTGTCCCTTGTCTCTAATTGTAACTTTGTACTCACTGACCAACTTTTCCCTGCCCCTGCCTCCCTCATCCCCTCCCAAACTTCTAGTGGTCACTATTCTACTGTCTACTTCTATGAGATCAACTTCTTTAGATTCCAAATCTGAGTGAGATCATGTGATATGTGTCTTTCTGTGCATGGCTTATTTCACTTAATATAATGCCCTCTAGGTTCATCCTTGTTGCCATGAATGACAGGATTTCTTTCTTTTCTAAGGCTGAAGAATATTTCATTGTGTATATATATCACATTTTCTTCATCCATTTATCCATTGATGGACACTTAGGTTGGTTCCATATCTTGGCTATTGCGAGTAGAGCTGCAATGAACTTGGGAGCACAGATAACTCTTTGACACACTGACTTCCTTTCCTTTGGATATATACCCAGTAGTGGGATTGCTGGATCATATGGTAGTTCTATTTTTAATTTTTTGAGAAACCTCCATACCGTTTTCCATAATGGCTCTACTAATTAACGTTCCCACCAACAGCGTAGGAGGGTTCCCCTTTCTCCACATTTGTATCATTTGCTGTCTTGTTTTTTGATAGCAGCAATTTTAACAAGTGAGAGATAATACCTCACTGTGATTTTGATATGAATTTCCCCAATGATTAGTGATGTCCAGCAATTTTTCCTGTAACTTTTGGCCATCTGTATGTCTTCCTTTGAGAAATATCTATTCAAATCTTTTATCCTATTTCTAATTGGAATCTATTCAATTTTTACTTGATTTTCTCTTTAGAAAAACTTAAAACCCACAGAAAAATTGCAAGAATGGTGTACCATTACAATCAATACCCAAATTTCTTTCACCTAGTTGGATTGACTAGGATCATTTTGCCACATGTGCTGTCTCCATGTGGTTCTATATATGTCACCCCTCATCACCTAACACTGTGCTGAATAAATGAATGGCTGGAGTGGCAGAAAGGCCAGTCCTTAAAGGGCAAGGGGGGTCATACAGTGGGCACTATCTGAGGTCCAGTGGGTAGCTGGAGGAGAACCAGAAGCAGACAGACATCACAGGCAGAGAGCAGTGTAAGCAAAGGCTCAGAGGGTGGCCAGTGCAGAACTTCAAGGAGGATATAGATCTGGCCAACAGGATGTGAGAGGGAAGGTGGAGATGAGCCCGGAACTGGGGAGATTCCCAAAAGTCTCAGCTACAACCCAAAAGTGACAAAGTGTAAGGGGAGTGATATCATTTAGATCTGTGTCTCCACCAAATCTCATGTTGAGTTATAATCCCCAGTTGGAGGTGGGACCTTGTGGGAGGTGAATGGATCATGAGGGTAGAGTTCTGATAAAGGGGTTGGCACCATCCTCTTGGTGCTGTTCTTATAATAGTGAGTTCTTGTGAGAGCTGGTTGTTTAAAAGTGTGTGGCACCTCTCTGCCCCCCTCTCTTCCTCTCGCTCTGGCCATGTGAACTGCTGGCTTCCCCTTCCCCTTCTGCCATGATTGTATGTTTCCTGAGGCCTCCCCAGAATCCCAGCAGATGCTACCATGTTTCCTGTATAGCTTATGGAACTGTGAACCAATTAAACCTCTTTTCTTTGTAAATTACCCAGTTTCAGGTATTTCCTTATAGCAGTGCAAGAACAGACTAATAATACAGGGAGCCACTGAAAGGAGTAACGTGAGCAGTTTTGTGCATTTTATTTTATTTTATTTTATTTTATTTTATTTTATTTTATTATTTTATTTTATTTTATTTTTTTTATTTTATTTTGAGACAGAGTCTCGCTCTATTGCCCAGGCTGGAGTGCAGAGGCGTGATCTTGGCTTATTGCAACCTCCGCCTCTGGGGGTTCAAGCAATTCTCATGCTTCAGCCTTCCGAGCAGCTGGGATCACAGGCAAATGTAACCATGTCCAGCTAATTTTTGTGTAGAGATGGGGTCTCAGCATGTTGGCCAGGCTGGTCTTGAACTCCTGGCCTCAAGTGATCTGCCCACCTCGGCCTCCCAACGTGCTAGGATTACAGATGTGAGCCACCATGCCCAGCCAGTTGTGCGCATTTTAAAGATCTCTCTGCTACCATGATGAAGAGGGACTTTCAAGGTGCAGTTGGAGGGATGGAAGAGAAGACAAGTTATGGTCCAGGACAAAGACAAGGAGGCCTGAACAGGTGAGAGGGGCCAGAAGGATGTAGAATGAGTAGCTCTTGGAGTGACTGCCTGGGTGTGGTGAGGTGGGGAGGATTCAGGACAACTCCCAGGGTCTGGTCAGGAACACGTGACTAGAGGCCAGTGCTGTTTCTCCAGATGGGCAATACAGAGGAGAAGCCAGTGGTGAGGGAGTGGGGAGTGAAGGAGGCACTGACTTCAGTTTTTGATGCATGGAAGCTGAGTGGCCTATAAGACATTTAAATGGAACACCCAGCAGGCAGTTGAATCTGAATCTGGATCTCGGGGCCAAGACTGGTCTGGGGATGGAAATGTTGGAATCATAAGAGACTTATGGATAGGATGACCGCCATCCTGGATGGCAGGTGCAGCCCCTGTTCATGCCTATGTTCCAGCATATTTATTAATTGTTCCCTCTTTCACTTTTCCAGTTTGAGCAATATTTTGTTTTGTTTTGTAGAGATGGGGTCTCACTATGGTGCCCAGGCTAGTCTTGAACTCACGGCCACCTTAGCCTCCCAAAGTGGTAGGATTACAGGCATGAGCCACCGTGCCTTGCCAAGTTTGAACAATAATTAATACAGTCACCCTAAAAAGGGTAGATCAGTCACTCCCTGTATTCACCTAACACTTGCCACCCCTGGCCTGGCATGGTTCTGTGGGTGTTTCATGCTGTATGTGGTTAATCACTAGAGGTCTGTGGCCTCTGTTCTTGCGTATCTCCCACCGTTCTTCCCTTGCTATCTTTCAGGTAGATGGTGCCTAAGAAATATTTACCTGTCCCGTGGTTGAGAGATTCATAGGCCCCAACCTACTGAGGGGAGAGAAGGTGGGAGAAGCTCTATAAGTTATCTTACTGGAGGCTGGTGGATTAAGGGGCACCCTTGGACCAAGTCCCTACTACATATGGGATTTAGGAAATGTAGAGAGAAACAGGGAATCTAAAACATTCCCTGTTTTCATAACTGGCCCGTGCTGCTCCGCTTCCTTCACCCCTTGCGTGGGCTGTGACAGCTGGAGTGAGTTTGCAGGCCTCTCCCTTTCAGTGCCTCCTCAGAGGCAGTGTGGCTGCCTGGCTCTGAGTGAGACCTTTTGGAACCCACCCTGCTGACAAGAGCCACACCCTGACCGTCCTTGGACAAGCCCTGTCCACCTCCACCTTCTGCTGTTCCCCTCCATGTGGCCTTTGCTCCAGCCACATTCTGAACATATCCTGACCATGTTTGCCTTTGGGACCAGTAAAGCCCTTTTTCCGTACCCTCATTGCCCCTACTCCTATGTCTATTAAAATCTACCCACTTGGCTGGGCATGGTGGTGAGCCACCAGCGCATGGAGCACCTGTAATCCCAGCACTTTGGGAGGCTGAGGTGGGTGGATCACAAGGTCAGAAGATCGAGAACATCTTGGCCAACATGGTGAAACCCCATCTCTGCTAAAAATACAAAAATTAGCCAGGTGTGGTGGTGCATACCTGTAATCCCAGCTACTTGGGAGGCTGAGGCATGGAGAATCGCTTGAACTCGGGAGGCGGAGGTTGTAGTGAGCTGAGATTGCACCACTGCACTCCAGCCTGGGCAACAAGAGCAAGACTCCATCTTAAAAAAAAAAAAAAAAAATCTACCCACTCTTCAGAGCTGACTCAAACATGACCTGGTGCCTAGGAGACTGTCCTGGATTCTCCCTGCTGGAGGCAAGGCTCCCTTCATCCAGAACGCCACTGTGGTCCCCACTGCCTCCTTCATGGTTTCATCTGAGTTCTTGCCTTACTTACTGTTTGGAACTCAGGGTGGAGACGCTTTATTTTACATTTTTGCATTTCTCCATAATGCCAAACATGGGGGTAATTATGGTGTGTACAGACAACATGTGGAATGAACTGCCACATATTTTGTCTCCAGGTAAGAGGGCAGCATTAAGGGTTATGGAGCAGGAGGTAGCAGGGTGAAGGAATTTGCATTCATTCGTTCATTCATTCAGCAAATATTTATTGACAGCTTCTGTGTACTAGACACTATGTTCCATGGTACATTTAGAGAAATAAATCTTCAAGGACCTCATTATCTAAAGGAGAACAAAAAGGAGACATGTAAACAAAGAGTCACCAAACAATGCAATAAGCACCATAAAACAGCAAGGCCAAGTGCACAGATGGAGGAACCCATTCTGTCTCATGGAGTCTGGTAGCGTTTCACCAGAAAAGTAACATTTAAGCTGGGTCTTGAGGCATGCCTAGGAGGTCGCCAGGTATCAAGGAAAGGGTACTTTTTACTGTAGAGGGAACAATAAAAGCAAAAGCACTGAGCCCCAGAGAGGCTTGTGTAGTGGACTGGAAGGCATTCACTGGGGAAGAGGAGAAGACAATAAGCATGAGGGTAGGGGAGGCAAGGGAATGCCAGGAGATGAAGCAAGGGAGGGAGAAAGGAGCCTGACATTGCAGGCAGAGGGCAAGTTTTAAGGTGAGTGAAGTCCTGGTGACCACAGCAGCATTACAGGAATTACAGGCAAGTTTTCAGGTGAGTGAAGTCCTGGTGACCACAGTGGATTACAGGCATGAGCCACTGTGCCTTGCCAAGTTTGAACAATAATTAATACAGTCACCCTAAAAACGGTAGATCAGTCACTCCCTGTATTCACCTAACACTTACACAGAGTGGAAGAGAGATACGGTCCTGAGCACACAGCTGCTCCCCACCCGCATTTACCTGGGGCTTCCCTGAATTGTCAGTCATGACTGCCTTGCTTTGGATTGCAGCTCCCTGCAGGGAGCTGCCCACCTTACACCACTGAGTTGCTGGCAGCTGCCACAGAGGCCAGCCACCTCCTCACCGACTCTCCTGGACAAGCACTTCTGAGGACAGAGTCCTTGTCAGGGCTGGTTTCTTGGCTGAACCCTCCTTTGCCACCAACAGAGAGATGCCTGCACCCCTCAAGGGCAGGCAGATGGCTAGGCCTGCCCTCTCAGCTGGGCAGCACACTGGACTGGCCGTGCCCTTTCAAGTGTGCAGGAGTTGGCAGGAGCCTGCAAGCCAGTATCCACCCTCCCAGGTATCCACGCTTGGCAGCCTCACTTGTCTCCAGCCTGTGTTCTTGCAGATGAAACTAGCAGAAGGAAGGAGCTTGCTGCCAGTTGGCTCCCTAATTTTTTTTAAATCACAACTTTGATGTTTCCTAGTCTGCTGGGTGACACCAGTTGTCCTTGTTTATTACTGCTTAGTGCTCCCAAATGGTGTTGGTCAGCATGGAGTGCAGGGATTGTCTCCTTCTTCAGACCCTAGCACTTACCAGTCCCTGGTCCTTGCTGGCCTGCCTGGAGGCCTGTCTCGTTGTGAATGTTTACACAAATGGAAAATGTCAGTGTTTAATCTGTAAAGGGAGCCCAGATTGCAAAGCTCCAAAAAGAAACATCTAAAGGTGAGCATCCTTCCTCTAGGTGTGGGACATTACAATGTCACATCAACTCACATCTCCACATTCACTTAGCACCTCTGTGGGCAAGAGGATGGGGAAGGCTCCCTGAACTTCCAGAGCTTCCTAAAGAAAAAGACAAAGTTACAACTTGTAAAATCCCAGAGTCAGTGTCACAGTGCTGTGGCTAACTGAACTGTCAAGCAGATGCAACTTGCCCCAGGCATGGACAAAAAAGGTTTAGTGGGCTGGGCACAGTGGTTCACGCCTGTAATCCCAGCATTTTGAGAGGCCAAGGCGGGTGGATCACCTGAGGTCAGGAGTTGGAGACCAGCCTGGCCAACACGGTGAGACCCCCGTCTCTACTAAAAATACAAAAATTAGCCAGGCCTGGTGGTGCATGCCTATAATCCCAGATACTTGGGAGGCTAAAGCAGGGAGAATCGCTTGAACCTGGGAGGCAGAGATTGCAGTGAGCTGAGATCGCATCACTGCACTTCAGCCTGGGCGACAGAGTGAGACTCAGTCTTAAAAAAAAAAAAAAGTTCCCGATGAGTTAGGCTGGGAACTGGGGATGGATAGCGATGGGGAATGGATGGAGATGCTTCCAGGAGGAAAAGGACATGAGAGGTGGTGAGGAAATTTCATGCTAGAGTAATGATAGAACCAGAAGGCTGAGGGGAGAGCTCAGGAACATAGATGATGGGCAAGCCTGAGGGGGTGAGGAGACTTGAATACCTGTCCAGTGAGTTAAGCCCTTCTGTGCTCAGGAGAAGGGAGGCAGGCACACCCAGTCCTGGCTTTGCCACTAATCAGCCTGAGCCTTGGGCAAGATACTTCTCCCTCTGGGTCAGATGAGGGGGGTGGATCACAGCAAAGGTTCCCAACCAGGAGGACAGGGGTGCTTTACACATGCGCGCGTGCGCGCACACACACACACACACACACGCATGCATCTAGAGCTAGTTCTGGGGTATCTCTGGGGATGTTCCCTGGACATGTCTGGGTGTTTAAAGATGCTTGGTGCTTCTGGTGTGGATCACTGGCTGAAGTCATTTCTAAGATCCTGTTAGCTCTAAAATGACCATGTTTCTGAGGCACGAGTAGTTGGTGACATGGCCGGTGTGAAGAAATCACTGGCCAGCCCAGCACTGTCCTTTAAAACCAGAGGCTGTGGATTCACCTCATGTGTAGACAGTGCGACGGAATCACCGGGGTGATGCGGATAATTTCAGAACAAAGCTGGTGCTGGGGGCTGGGGGTGGAGAGAGCCTTTGGGCCTGAATGATCCAGATAATTGCAGTGCTGGTGATGCCCTCTCAGCATGCCCCAGGGTGGGTGGTGGGAGCCCATTAGTCATGGGGTGGGCTGAGGCGAGGTGGCTGAGGAACAGGGAATAAATAAAAGGAGTGAGCAGCCATGTCTCAAGCAGGCCTGCAAGGGCGGGGGTGGCTGCCAGTGTCCCAGGCAGGGTGGCTGAGACATGAGTCACACCCGGAGACGCTGACCTGGCAGCACCCAGCCTCTCTAGGAGAGGGAAGGAGGAGGCGGGCGCTGGGAGTTCTGAATGTCAGGATTGCCTCTTGCTGTATCCTTGGGCTTGAGATCTTTGTCATCCCTTATCACCACCCTTTGCAAAGCTACATGGTGGGGACACCTCTGTTCATAGCTCTTCTGCCACTCTTTATCCTTAGGCTATCAAAAGCTCTACTTCTACCTTAAGGGCCATAGCCACTCCGTTATCATTCTGGACCATAGTAACCAGAGCATTCTGACCTTTAGAGCTGCCCTATGTGACCATTCTCTGTTTTAGACAGCCGGCCTGGTGTGTGAATGGGAGGGAGGAATGAGCTTTGTTACTACCTTCTCAGCAACCTGCTTCTCCCCAAGGCCTCAGTTTGTTCTTGCTCCCCTTCAAGTGTAACCCATGGCCCATACAGGAGATCGTCTTCCCAGAGACGAAGGCTTTCCTAATGTTCAGAGAAGATCCAGACCCCCAACCCCTGGACAACATAGACAGCTCTTCAGGACGCCTGAAAAGCCAGCTATTGACAAATCTGCCTAACACTCTCGCAAACTCCATTTTCTACAGGGTGAGATGCAGACATCTTTCCATGACACCTGTGGATGCTCTACAATCTGGCCCAGGCTGACCATATCCTGCCTGGAGGGCCGGGTAAGTGGGGCACTCAGGCTTAGAACAGCCACATGCCTTCCCCTCCCTGTGGGACCCACTTCCAAGGGAGCCAGCCTGAGGCTTGCATCACTGTTTGGTCTCCTCCTACCCTTCCAGATCTTCCTGGTGCTGGAGTTAGTGCCCCCTTTTTTCTCAGCTGAGTCATGACCCTCACCCAGCCCAGCCCAGCCCCCTACCCTAGATCTGCTCCTACACCTGATTGATGCCCTGGCCTCAGGCAGGGCTGGAGCTTGGGGCTGGTGCCTCGGGCCTTCAGCCTTGCCCAGGGCAGCCTGGGCAGAAGCTGAGATTGGATGTCATTTGTCAACCTTGGCAGAGAAGTACTGAATGCGTCAAAATAATTGAAGGTTATTTGGTGCCTGTGGGAGGGATTTTTATTCCCAAGGATTCTGCTGGACCATTTGGGGCAGCCCTGTTTGGCTAGCTGAGGGTTCCTATGTTTTCCAACAATTGGATGTTTACAGTATCTGTGCTCTTGCTTTTTAAAAATGTCCTCATTTAGAATAGCTTCCTTTTTTTATATGTTTTCCTTTTTATCTTTTAAGTGGGAAATGGGAGGTGAGTATGAGGGGACAATTGTGAAGCTTGCCTGTGCTCCAAGTTAGGGACATGAGACCCCTTCACCCCTGGTTTTCCCCTGTAATCCTTCCAGAGCTATAGAGCTGAGCTTGTATTCAAGCCACAGACAGGGCCCTTGACCTTGAACCAGACAAGGCTGACAGCCCCGGAGCAGGAGCGCTGCTGTGAAATAACTCGGAGATATCCTCCCAGAGCAGTGAAGAGGCTGGAAGGAGTCAGGAAGCCTCAAATCCCCAGCCTCTGACTTACAAAGCACCCAGACCTCCCTCAGGACTAGACAGAGCAGCCATTTCACCCAGAGCTGCCTCCATTCCAGCACTGGGATGTGGTTGGTAATGTGAGATTCTCACTATCCAATGCCGCAATCAGAGCCATATGCGGCTATTTAAACCTCAATTTAAATGAATTAAAATTAAATAAAGTTTAAAAACCAGTTCCTCATCCACACTAGCCACATTTTAAGTGCTCATGAGCCACATGTGACTGGTGGCTGCCTCACTGGACAGCACAGGTTCAGAACACCTCCGTCATCACAGGGCTCTCTTGGCAGGATTTATGGGTCCCCTTTACGCTGAGCTGTCTACCCCTGTTGCCTAAATGCCTTTCCTACCTAACAGTAGCTGTTCAGTGGGTGCATTGGCCCTACAGACTCTCCCAAGCTTCTTTCTCCACCAGTAGAAGTAGCTATGTGGCCTTGTGAGGTCTCCCTTCTAGAAAGAACAGGTAGCATGCCTCTGACAACCACGTTGACCAGGTGACCTGCAAGCATCCCCAGGATCAACTAGCAACCTAAGATTTGCTGCCCAAACTAATGCTTCTCCCTGTCCAGTGGACACTTCTCAACTAGGCTGCCCTTCTGTGTCACTGCTGCTACTTAGTCACTCGTTGACTTTGGAAGAAGAGGCCCTTCAGAGGCTCCAATGACCAAGAACATTCCCTTCCCTACTCCTCAGTGTCACGCCCCGCCTCCTCCCAAGCATCACCATCACCAAAAATAAAACTGCCTTGGTATCCTTGCTGTAGTCCATGAAGCTTCTGTATTAGAATTACTTGGAAGGAAGAGGCTTGTTTAAAATGCAGATTTTGGCTGGGCGCGGTGGCTCACACCTGTAATCCCAGCACTTTGGGAGGCGGAGGCAGGTGGATCACCTGAGGTCAGGAGTCTGAGACTGCTCTACTAAAAATACAAAAATTAGCCGGGTGTGGTGGCGTGAGCCTGTAGCCCCAGCTACTCAGGAGGCTGAGACAGGAGAATTGCTTGAACCTGGGAGGCAGAGGTTTCAGTGAGCCGAGATCGCACCACTGCACTCCAGCCTGGGGGACAGAGAGAGACTCTGTCTCAAAAAAAAAAAAAAAAAAAAAAAAAAAAAAAAGGCCAATTTCTTCTCCCCACAGCAAGCCAATGGAATCAGAATCTCTGGGAGGTGGAGTCTACTGAATTTGAGACCCACTGCAAATGAGGAAGCCACACAGGAAGCACCTTGGGAGTCCTTGGAAACTAGAAATCAACCCCCTTTGCATTCTAAGGTCTCTGGTTTATTGCAGACCAGCTCTCCCCAGGGCTGAGAGCCAGATACTGGGAGCTTGTGGTAGTGGTGATGTGACAGAAATGTTCCCCATGGCCTCCTGTTGTCCTCCTGCCCACCCCCCACCTGCACACACACAGGTGCATACACATATCCACATGCACACACTACTCTCTCAGGAGGTCTGCTGGGAAACCAATACACTTTCAGAAAAGCCTGTTCCAACCCTGGCTTCGTGGGGCATGGTGAGCTCCTGGCCTTCTCTCACAGGCTCTTACTGGGGAGGAAAGATTTCTCTCCCTCACCCATCACTAGGTTTATGGCTGAGGCACCCATAGTAAAAGACAGATTAACAAGAAAAAAGCATACACATTTATTTAATATCTAGGTTTGACATGACATGGGAGCCTTCAGAAATGAAGACCCAAAGAAACAGGAAAACCTGTGTGTTTTTATGCTTAGGTTTGATAAAGAGTGGACAGTCGTGCAGATGTGGACAAAGGGGGTAATACACTAATTTATTACTATTCCAATGATAATAAACTGGCGGGAACTTAGCAGGGCCTGTTCAGAATATTCTCTGTGTCCCTGTGTCCTCAGAGATAAGAACATTCTTTTCTTGTGGGTATAGGGTGGGCACCTCATGTAAGGGTCTTATCACCTACTTCAGAGCAAGATCAAGGAATTCTTTTATGGCCTGCTTTAGGAGAAGCACGGAAGAGGGTCAGAGAGGCTTTTTGTTTCTGCTGCTTCCTCCAATGCCAAAGTGCCATATTTGGGATAGTCTGTTCTGAACCCCATCATCCTGCTGCATGAACCCCCCATGACCTGAGTCTCCTGCCTCAGAGAGACCTTTCTTTACTCTAAATCGGTGTTTTGAAATCTTTTTTAACCCTTGCCCCACTTTGGTGAACACAAAAGTCTGTCTCTGGGATTTTAATATGCCACTTTCTTCTCTCTTCATATCCTCCCCAAATATCCTGCAGTTTGTGTTACAGAAATAAGGTTTTCTCCTTATTTTCCAAATATAAAATTATATGCACACAATACTTGAAAGAGTATAAAGGTAGAGTATATTGCTAGAAAGAAAGTCATACTGCTAGACTCTAGCATGAGCCTGCATCAGAATCACCTCCAGGGCTTCTTAAAATACAGATTGCTGGGCCCTACCTCTGGAGTTTCTCATTCAGGGGGTCTGGGATGCCTGGGGGAACCACACTTTGAGAATCACTGCTCTAGAATGATGATACACACTCCCTAGGGCCAGAAGAAAGGCCAAGCCTTTAATACAACAGACACCAGATCATCTCATGGGGCTCCCGTCTCTCTCTGTGCTCCCTCCCTCTTCAGCGTGGGAGCATCTACCTGGGTCTCAGTAACACTGAGGGCCTCTCCTGGGTGAATCTCTGCATTGTTATGTAGACCAAGTCTCTATCTTGGCAAATACTTCACCCACTTCAGGGAGAAAGGAAAGAAAGAGGTGAGAAATGAAGAACCCTTTCTTGCCAGAGTGATATTGAGCACGTTTTCAAACTCCACATCCGGAAGGCTTAGGATATGTACATGGGGTGTGTGTGTGCGTGTGTGTGTGTGTGTGTGTGTGTATGTGAATGTGCACATGAGACACACATATATGTTTTTTGTTCCTGCGATTTCTGGGCACCATGTGCAGTAACCAAAGCAGAATATTCATCCTGTGAATCTGAACAGCATTAATGAAGAATGTAGGTCTCCTATTCCAGCCGGGACTCAGAGCGGAACAATGGCATAGCGTGCATATTTATTTAGGCCTTGGCATCTCAGCAATGAAAAAGTTCATGGAATAAATGAGCAAAAGATGGAGAACTTTTCTGCTCTGTGTTTATAGGTTTCAGCTGTTCCCAAACCATCCATCTTGAGCTCTCACCGTAAAGCAGGCAAACAGCCCTTTGACGCGCACATCTTGAAAGTTTTACACTATTTATTTTTTCCTCTGGGAAACAATCTAGGTCTCTGCCACTGAGGCTGTCAGGCAGTAACAGAGTGCCTGAGCTCATTCAATTGTTTATGAGGCTTTCTCTGAAATCCTTCGCCCTTTCCTACGGATGGGAAAAGCAATGAAAAATCTCTTAGCAACAACCGAGCAGGGCTCATCTGTCCTCCCTGTCCTGATGCTGCCTCCTGTTTAGTATTTATCACTAAACAGGGATAGTGATAAATGGCTCAGCTGGTCCCTTTCTACCTGGGGCTGGAGCATTACACTCAGTTCAAGAAAGGAACTTTAAGAGGAGAATGACCCATATGGTGAAGAGCTTTAAATTATGCCTTACAAGGAAAGACAGAGGGAACTTGGAAGGTGTAATCTAGAGGTGGACACTACCCCTTGTCATCAAATATCCAAAGAGCTGTTAGGTAGAAGCACCTTGAACTTGCTTCCTGTGGCTCTTAAGGGAAGTCCTATGATGTTCAGGGTTTGCCAGGGTTCCCTCCTCTACCAGGCATTAACGTTAGCGGAGACTCTTTTCTCTTCTTCTTCTCTCTCTAGGCAATCTCATTTCTTCTCATGGCTTTAAATATCATCTTTAGGCTGATGACTCTCAAGTGTATATGCCTAGCCCAGATCACTTTTCTAAAATGAGAGCTTGGATATTCAGCTGCCTACTCACGTCTCCACTTGCTGTCTCTCTGACATCTCCAACTTCATATGTGTAAAAGTGAACCCTTGATCTGGACCCCCTAACCCAAATCTTATCCTCCCACCATTTTCCCCATCTCAGTAAATGGCACCAGCCTCCACCCAGTTGTCAAGTCAGGAATCTGGGTGTCATTCCTGGCATTTCCTTCTCATTCACACCTCACATCCAATCCATCACCAAGTTCTGTTTATTCCACCTCCAAAATATTCATTGAGCTCCTCTATTCCTCTCCACCTTCATATCCACCACCCTCATTGAAGCTGCCATCATCTCTCATGGGGACTATTACAAATGCCCTCTAACTACTCTTCTTGCTTCCATGTTACCTGCCATCCTCCCATCCAACAGCCAGAGAGACACCTGAAAACTCAACATCTGACCATGTCATTCCCCTGCTTAAAACCCTTCAATGGGCTGGGCACGGTGGCTCATATCTGTAATCCAGCACTTAGGAAGGCTGAGATGGGAGGATCATTTGAGTCTAGGAGCTCAAGACCAGCCTGGGCAACATAGTGAGACTTCGTCTCTACAAAAAATGTAAAAACAAAAATTCATTCAATGGTGTCTGTTGCAGTTAGATAAAGTCCAGGCTCCTTCTGAGATGCACAGGGTCCTGCATAATCTCTCTTCCCTCATCTGGTACCACCCTCCCCACTGCTCTACACGGGAGCCACACTGGCCTTTTCAGCTCTTCAAATGTACCGAGCTCCTTCCTGACACCTCTGCCTTGATTTGCCGTCCCCCAGCGCCCCCTCCCCTCAGTCTTTTAGTTCTCATCTCACATGCCATCTTTCCAAAGAAGCCATCAATTTTAGTTATCTTTTGCTGCAAAACAAACCATCCCAAAACTTAGTGGTTAAAAACAACAACCATCTTATTTCTTGTAATTCTGTGAGTTGCCTGGGGCTTAGCGGGATGGTTCTTCTGCTGATCTTGCCTGTCAGGTGTTCACAGTGAGATGGCACCTGGGGCAGAAACATTCAAGATGGCTTCACTCACATGTCTGCCATCATGGCAGGAACATCTCACCTGGTACACTGGGATGGCTGGGCCTCTCTGTGTCACCACAGGGCTCACTCTCCCAGTGGATTCTTCATATGATCTCTCCCAACAAGATGACCACACTGATTTGGGGCTGGAATTATCCCATTAAAAACTTTGTTAGAATAGAGAGCTGTGGATATTGGATATGTATACTTGTTAGTGTGAATAAATGGTTCCCAGGAGTGAATGGTGTAGTATACTGGAAAAGAACAAGGCTTTGGAGTCCAAAGTTCAAATCCCATCTCTACCATGTATGATTCTTGCTTATTCATTAAGGCTACTTTGGTTACTAACAATAGAAATGGATTCTGGCGAACTTAAGCCAAAAAGGGTGAATTTATTAGAATGTATTAGAGTTCTTCAGAAAAACAGAATCCGTAGGATGGATATATATATATATATATATATATATATATATACAGAGAGAGAGAGAGAGAGAGAGAGAGAAAGAAAGAGAGAGATTTACCAGGAGGGATTGGCACACACAATTATGAAGGCTGAGAAATCTCACAATCTGCCATCTGTAAGCTGGAGGCCCAGGAACAGCAGTGGTGCAATTCCAGT
Organism: Homo sapiens; assembly: GCF_000001405.40. NCBI lineage: Eukaryota > Metazoa > Chordata > Mammalia > Primates > Hominidae > Homo > Homo sapiens. The sequence continues at coordinate 47,639,295 of NC_000002.12, forward strand.
CCAAACCCCAAAGCTGGAGAACTAGGGAGTGGGAGGGGGGAGGTGAAGGGGATGGGTAGGATATAAGATCTGGTCTGAGTCAGAAAGTCCAAGAACCAGGAGCACAGATATCCAAGAGCGGGAAAACCTGGATGTCTCGGCTCAGACAGCAAGAAAATATACACTTCCCCTGCTTTTTTATTCCATTCAGGCCCTCAGCAGATTTGATTGTGCCCACCTGCACTGGCAAGGACGATCTTCCTTAGTCAGTCTACCAATTCAAATGCTAATCTCTTCTGGAAACACTCTCACAGACACACCCAGAAATAATGTTTTACCAGCTATATCATAGACCAGTCAAGTTAACACATAAAACTAACTATTACAGATCACATGGAAGGGTTGACAACCATGACTCAGCAGTAGGAGCCTTTTTTCCAGAGTGTTGCTACTAACCTTTCTCAACCTTAATGATTTCTGTGTCTCTCTCTCATTCTTTAAAGTCTTTTTTTTTTTTTTTTTTTTTTTTGAGACAGAGATTCGCTCTTGTTGCCGAGGCTGAAGTGCAATGGAACAATCTCGGCTCACCACAACCTTCACCTCCTGGGTTCAAGCAATTCTCCTGCCTCAGCCTCCTGAGTAGCTGGGATTACAGGTGCCTGCCACCACGCCCGGCTAATTTTGTATTTTTAGTAGAGACGGGGTTTCACCATGTTGGTCAGGCTGGTCTCGAACTCCTGACCTCAGGTGATCCACCCGCTTCAGCCTCCCAAAGTGCTGGGATTACAGGCGTTGAGCCACTGTGCCTGGCCTCTAATTTTAAGTCTTACATTTTCATCTGTCTCAAGACTGTTTGACCCAGCTTGGTTCAAGTATCAAATTCCTTGGTCGGGCCAGGCACAGTGGCTCACACCTGTAATCCCAGCACTTTGGGAGGCCAAAGCGGGTGGATCACCTGAGGTCAGGAGTTCGAGACCAGCCTGGCCAACATGGTGAAACCCCATCTCTAATAAAAATACAAAAATTAGTCGGGCATGGTGGCGGGTGCCTGTAATCCCAACTACTTGGGGGGCTGAGGCAGGAGAATCACTTGAACCTGAAAGGTGGAGGTTGCAGTGAGCTGAGATTTTGCTACTGCACTCCAGCCTGAGCAACAAGAACAAAACTCTGCCTCAAAAAAAAAAAAAAAAAAATTCCTTCATTGGCCAACCAGCTAAGGCTACAGGGTACAGTTACATGGTACAGGGCAGGCTGCCAGGGGCGCCGGAGGATGGGGTACACAGCCAGGAAAGGGAAATCAGCGTGAGGCAGGTGGGGAACCCAAGATGGGTCAACTACACTAGGTCAAGTTACTGGTAAGCCTCAGTTTTCTTACATATAAGGTAGGATAATCTACTTCTTAAAGTTATTGTAAGGATTAATCAAAATAATGTCAAAAAGTGCCTAACACATAGTAAACACTAAGTTTATGGTTAAGTGTTGTTATTTTTAAAAAACAGTGTATTTTATTTATTTTATATTTTTTAAAGAGATGGGGTTCTTGCTGTGTTGCCCAGGCTGGTCTCAAACTCCTGGACTCAAGCGATCCTCCCACCTCAGCTTCCCAAAGTGCTGGGAAAAATAATTTTAATACTGGTGAAGAACTGAATGAACTAGTAATAGCTTCAAAACATCATCATAATCTTAAAGAAAGGTTCTGGGCTCACCTTATACTTGTCTTGATCCAGCCCTGGAATCAGCCATTTCTCCAAGGAGCTCTCATTCCTTTTATGAAAAATGGTATTCAAAAACCAAGACCTGGTCCCTAGATGTGCTCACTGCTATTAGGGTGTCACTGTTTCCAGGTGTTCTTAGGGGACAGAGCTGGGGAACACACATGTGCACACACACATTTATAATGTATAATGTATAATTATACATTATAACACATAATTATTATGTATAATGTGTGCACACACACATTATTTGGCATTGATGGGCGTTCATTTCCCTCCAGCAGAGTAAGACAGAGAAGATGCAGCCTGAGTGGTTTCCCTTCTTTAAAAAAAAAAAATCTGTTGGTGAAAGCTGCTTTCTTGTGTAGCTTTAATTTGCATTTCTCTTACTGTGAGTGAGTTCGAGCATCTTTTCAGAGACTTAAAGCTGGTTGTATTTCTCTTTCCTTGAGTGGTTGGTGCACAATCTTTACCCATGTTTTTATTGGCTTATTGTTCTTTTATTCTTGTTATTATCGTGATCATTGTTGATTTAGAACCTCTAAATGTGATGGCACTTAGCCCTATATGAGTCATAAATATTTTTCCCAATTGGTCACTTATCTATTGACTTTTTTGAAGATAGTTTGCCATGCAGATAGTCTTTGTTATATAATCACATGTACCACTGTTTTATAGCTTTCTAGGTTGTTTTACACCAACAAAAGATTACTAAAATTCATTTCCTTATGGTTTCTTCTAGTATGTGCTTTTAAATTTTGTTTATTTATACATTTAGATACTGGACACATTTGAAACGTATACTAATCCAACTTCATTTTTTTCGCAGAGGGCAACCCCATATATTGAATAATTTCTCTTTCCTTCCTGGTTTGAAATGCTGCCTTTCGTGCACGTTACATTCCTATAACTTCTGCATTTGGGCCTATTTCTGGGATTTCTGTTCTGGTCCATGGATCTCTCACTTTATCTCCCCTATGTCTCTGGCCACTCCTTCTCAGCCTCCTTTTCTGGCCCCTCCTGCCTTCCCCTCCCCTCCTCTTTGTCGCAGCGTCCCCTCCTGTTCTATCAAGACACATTTTCCTTCTCTGTCCCACGCTGATTTCATCGGCTTCAGGGCTTCCATATCAGCTTGGGCTGAAACTAATGTGGCATTTGTATCTCTAGCCTGGCACCCTCTCCTGAACTACAGACTCATGGAGCCAGTGTCCTCTCAGGGGCTCCACTTGGAAGCTTAATCTGCATTTTGAAAATAGCACTTCCTAACCCAAACTCCTGCTGCTCCCCAGAACCTGCTGCCACCACAACATTCTCGGGAAACAGTAGCTCCGTTCTCTCTATAGCTCGAGTCAGAACTCCATGTCTTTGATGACTCCTCTCTCTCTCTCTTTTTTTTTTTTTTGAGACGGAGTTTCACTCTTGTCACCCAGGCTGGAGGGCAATGGCGTAGTCTCGGCTCACTGCAACCTCCACTTCCCAGGTTCAAGCAGTTCTCCTGCCTCAGCCTCCCGAGTAGCTGGGATTACAGGCACCTGCCACCATGCCTGGCTAATTTTTGTATTTTTAGTACAGACGGGGTTTCGCCACGTTGGCCAGGCTGGTCTAGAACTCCTGACCTCAGGTGATCAGCCAGTCTTAGGCTTCCAAAATGTTGGGATTACAGGCGTGAGCCACTGCACCCAGCCGACTCCTCTCTTCTTTGCGACATCCACGCCTATTAAGTCCTGTCAGCTCCATTCTCAAATAGACCCAGAGTTGAACCAGCTCCCCGTCCCATCATCTGTCTCTCCCCGGGCTATGGAAATAGCTCCTAATCCATCTTTCCATGGCATCCCTGGTTTCACCCCCTGACCCCAGGTCCACTCTCCTCTCATCAGCCAGAGCGATGCTCTTAAAATGTAAGTCTGATCATGTCCTCTTCTGTGCAAAACCTGTAGTGGTTCCCAAAGTCCCACAGAAGCCCCAAAAGCCTACCTGACATGGTCCCCAGCTAACTCTTGGATCTTTATCCTCTTCCATGAATCCACTCTTGCTGGGCACTCCGGTCTTCCTTCTGTTCCTTGAACACACAGCAGGACTCCTGTCTCTACCAATGCATCTTCTTTGAATAACTGTATATAAACCTATCGACTTAAACTTCTATAAGACTTACATAAGCTTTAGACTTATGTAGACATAGAAGTTGATCATATATGATACTTGGACATACATTTAAACATGTAAGAAAAATGAAGCTGGACACGGTGACTCACACCTGTAATCCCAGCTGTAATCTACTGAAAATAGAAAAATTAGCCCGGCTGGTGGTGCGCACCTGCAATCCCAGCTGAGGTTGAGGCATGAGGACCGCTTGAGTGTGGGAGGTGGAGGTTACAACGAGCTGAGATTGCACCACTGCACTCCAGCCTGGGTGACAGAGCAAGGCTCTGCTAAAAACAAAAAACAAAAACCTAAAAAGATAAGCAAAATTGAAATTGACGGTAGTCCTAAAATTTCCTCATATTCAGAGCTTATCTCTTCTGAATCTTATTTTGATTCTGACCATTGATGTTCTTGTTTTTCCAAACAACATTGTTCTCTGTGCCTTCAAGAGTGCTCGTTTGATGGTACAGCATTTTTTAAAAGAGTGCCCTACTATTGCCTCCAGGCCTTCTTCCAAGCTTCCAACAATCTTGGCTAGTGCTGTGTATATGGACAGGTGAGGACAACTGCGTCATGACTGTCACCTCGATGACAGGGATGTAAGACACACCTCGATTTCAGAGATGTGTAATTGTAAAAACAACAACAACAACAACAAACAGGAAACAGAATCAGTGAATTATGGTACTCTCTGGTTGGGCTAATTCCCTCTACTTACTCTTCTTTTCCACAATTTTTTCTAGTTATTTTTGCTTATTTTTCCTTTATGAGTAAAGTCAGGGAATGTTATTTGTATAAATAGATGACAAAAAATGGCAAATAAATAAACAATAATAGAAGGCAGAATCAGACCTAATTACTTGGTTAATTATTTCACGTACCAATTCTAAGTGCCTTTTGCCTCAGAGTGGAATTAACAGATACCAGGTAGTCCCCCTACCCTCATCCCATGCTCTTGGCCAATATTGCTAATTCATCAAGGTCCTATTTTTCACTGATACCAGTGGAGGCCTTAGACTCTTTCTCAGCGCAGCATTCCAAGTGGCCATTACCAGTTGATTAGAGTTGGTAAATGGAATTAAATTCTCCAAAGCCAACAGTCACCCAAGGCATGTGGATATGAAAAGTAGAGAAGTCTAAATCTGTTATCAGTTCTTCAACAATGCAGGATGCATCACTACCCTTCCTTTGGGACAAATCATATCCCTGTATCAACTGAAGGACATTAAAGGACTTCCCCATCACCACATATACACAGCTAGACCAACTGAGTTCAGAGCCCTGGACTACCCATAAGTCGAGTCATGCAAGACTCCTCTTTAGCAAAGCAGAAAGGCCAGCTATTTTTAGTTCTACAGTGTTCTCTTTTCCCAGCCTGAAGTGTTCAGCACCTCCGCTTAGGCTCCGATTCACATTGAAGAGTAAATGACTGCTAGCCCAATCAGACCCTCCCAGGAGCCCAACACCTTTTCATAAGCAGTGCTTCTGAATCATCTGGGCATCTTGTTGCAATGCAGACTGTGGTTGGGTAAGCCCGGAGTTGGGCTTGGTAATGCTGGTTCAAAGACCAGAGAAGCAAGGTGCTAAGTATATTTGTCAGCTCATAACAAAATACCACAGTCTGGTGGCTTAAGCAACAGAAATTTACTTCTCACAGTTATGGAGGCTAGAAGTCCAAGACCAAGGTGCCAACAAGGTAGTATTTATTATGATGAGGCCTCTCCTCTTCGCTTGTAGGCAGCCACCATCATGTTGTGCTCTCATATAGCCTCTTTCTTGTGCAAGTGAGGAGACAGAGTGAACTCTGGTCTCATAAGGACACGAATCCTATCAGATCACAGCCCCATCTTTAGAACCTCATTTAACCTTAATTACTTCCTTAGAGGCCCTATCTCCAATTACAGTCACCCTGGGGGTTAGGGCTTCAACATATGTATCCCAGTGGGAGGACACAGTCAGTCCATAACTAAGGAACAGAACACTGGGGAGAAAAATCCTACTTTGTTGGGACACTGGAAAATGCGAGTATTCTCTGGACACCTACACCAGCCTCTCCTCAACACCTGAAGCAACCAACCTGGAGGATTCATCAGTGACTAAGGCCAGCAATGTTGTGTTGCTGGCAGGAAAGATCCATTGTCTAATTATGAATCTCAGCATCCTAGAATTATGGGGAGAAGCCAGTTCTCAATTCGTTTTAACAGAGCTTCTCTCTGTAGCAGTTCCAGCCAAATAAGCCAACTCTGCAGGTTCCAGGCAAAGAAGGGTTTGTTATGGGCTATATTTAGTGCCCAGGTGGCAGGTGGGTATCTGCCATGCTGAGCCCAGCACTACATGCTCACCACTGCAGCATGTCAGGATGACTCCCAAGGGCTTTTGTGGCAACATGGAAGTTCCCATGGCCAGGTGCCTCCCCCTCTACCCTGGATGGCTTTGGAAAACCTGCCTCAGGTGTCACTGTGCCTTTTTATGGGCACCATGCACTGGACCTACTGGCTTTGTAAAGGCCTGCAGAAATGCTCTGGTTTGAATGTGTCTCCCAAAAGTCATATGTTGGAAACTTAATCCCCAATGGAGCAGTGTTGAGAGATAAGGCCTAAGGGGGATGTGTTTAGGTCACGAGGGTTTCTCATGAATGGATTAATGTTGATTATAAAAAGGGCTTGAGCTGGGTGAGGTAGCTCATGCCTGTAATCCCAGCACTTTGGGAGGCTGAGGCGGGCAGATCACTTGAGATCAGGAGTTCGAGACCAGCCTGGCCAACATGGTGAAACTCTATCTCTACTAAAAATACAAAAATTAGCCAGGCTGGTGGCAGACGCCTGTAATCCCAGCTGCTCAGGAGGCTGAGGCAGGAGAATTGCTTGAACCTGGGAGGCAGAGGTTGCAGTGAGCCAAGAACACGCCATTGCATTCCAGCCTGAGCGACAGAGCGAGACTCCATCTCAAAAAATAATAATAAAAAAATAAAAAATAAAAATAAATAGGCCGGGCACGGTGGCTCACGCCTGTAATCCCAGCACTTTGGGAAGCCGAGGCAGGCAGATCATGAGGTCAGGAGATCAAGACCATCCTGGCTAACACAGTGAAACCCTGTCTCTACTAAAAATACAAAGAATTAGCCAGGCGTGGTGGCGGGTGCCTGTAGTCCCAGCTACTCAGGAGGCTGAGGCAGGAGAATGGCGTGAACCTGGGAGGCAGAGCTTGCAGTGAGCCAAGATCGCGCCACTGCACTCCAGCCTGGGTGACAGAGCGAGACTCCATCTCAAAATAAATAAATAAATAAAATTTAAAAATAAATAAATAAATAAAAAGGGCTTGGGTCTAGGGGTTCACTCTCTTGCCTTCTCTTGACCTTCTGCTTTTCTCCATGGGATGGTGCAGAAAGAAGGCCCTTGCCAGATGACAGCCCCTCACTCTTGAACTTCCTAGCCTTCAGAAGCCCAGAGAAGATATATAGCCACTTAATCACTGTGCATTCATTCATCCAATAGTAATTGAGCACCTACTCTGCCCTAGGCATTGGGCTTAGCCTTGGCCACACAGCAGTGAGCAACAATGGATATTCTTTTTTTGTTTTTTTTTTTTTCTTTTTGAGACAGAGTTTCACTCTTGTTGCCTAGGCTGGAGTGCAATGACATGATCTTGGCTCACTGCAACGTCTACCTTCTGGGTTCAAGTGATTCTGCTACCTCAGCTTCCCAAGTAGCTGGGATTACAGGCCTGTGCCACCACACCTGGCTAATTTTGTATTTTTAATAGAGATGGGGTTTCACCATGTAGGTCAGGCTGGTCTTGAACTCCTGACCTCAAGTGATCCACCTGCCTTGGCCTCCCAAAGTGTTGGGATTACAGGCATGAGCCACCATGCCTGGCCTAACAATGGATATTCTTAACTGCCTCGTGGGGCACACAGAAGTCAGGCACAGCTGCTAAGCAGATGTTAACAGGACCACTTGGAACCAGTGGGAGTTGCTGAGAAGTAGAGGTGGGGTTATTGGTCACAGGAAGGGGTATGTCTTAGTTCATTTTGTGCTACTGTAACAGAATGTCTGAGACTGGGTAATTTATAAAGAACAGAGTTTTATTGTAATACAATTCTGGAGGCTGGGAAGTCCAAGGTTTAGGGGCTTACATCTGGCAAGTGCCTTCTTGCTGCATTATAACATAGCAGAAGGCATCACGTTGCGGGTGGGGAACATCCACTTCCAAGATGGTTCCTCACATGCCTGCCAAGTTAGTGCTGGTTGCTGCCTAGCGGCCTCAGTTCATCACCACAAGAACTCCACAGGGCTAAGTGTCCTCCTGACATGGTGGCTATATTCCTCCAGAGGAGGCAATCCAAGAGAGCACAAACTAGAAATCACAATGTCTCATATGACCTAGCCTTGGAATTCAATTCGCACTATGTCATTTCTGTAACGTCCTGTTGGTTACACAGATCGACTCTACTCAATGAGGGAGAGGCCTATACAGTGGTATGAGGACCATGAGGTGAGGATCACTGGGGGGCCATCCTAGAAGCTGGCTACCAAGGGCTCAGGTGTCATGCTCTGTATGTAAGTATGAATTCAGAGGAGGGAACAGTCTCTGGGATAACTAGGATTGGTTTAATGAAAGAGGTTGACTTGCTCTGTATCCTGAAGGGTAAGTAGCAACTGGAGAGTTGTCCGTGGATGAAGGGACATCAGTCCAGGAGGGAGCACAGCATGAGCAAAGGCATAGAGGCAGCAACGGGCATCGTGAATTGTGAATCAGAGAGGAGAGTGGAATGGCTGGAGCAGCAAGTGCACGTAGTAAAGTAAAGGTAATAACACAATGGAGTTGGGTGACATCAAAGTTAAGAGGGCTTTGGAAGCCAGGCAGTGGCGTTCAGTTTTGATGGGTTGTTAAGGATCAATGATGAGTGCTACAATGGTCATGATGATGAAAGTGGTGCTTCAGGAAGCATAATCTAGGGACAGCATATAGACACCTCAGCCTGGGGAGAGACTAAAGGCAGAGGCAGGAGCCTTGACCTTATGAGAAGCTGAATTAAGATACTGGAATTAAGAATGGAAAAGGAGTGGGGCGTGGTGGCTCATGCCTGTAATCCCAGCACTTCGGGAGGCCAAGGCGGGCTGGTCACTCAAGGCCAGGAATTCAAGACCAGCCTGGCCAACATGTTGAAATCCCATCTCTACTAAAACTACAAAAATCAGCTGAGCGTGGTGGTGGGTGCCTGTAGTTCCAGCAACTAGGGAGCCTGAGGCATGAGAATCGCTTCAACCTGGAAGGTGGAGGTTGCAGTGAGCTGAGATCATGTCTCTGCACTCCAGCGTTGGTGACAAAGTTAGACTCTGTCTCAAAAAGGAAAAAAAAAAAAAGAATGGAAAAGGAGGCAGAGTTTTAAGTGTTACTACAAATGAAGAATTGACACTACCCCCAATAGACTGGGACCCGGAGGCTGGGATAAGATGGATTGAAACTCACTTTCTCCATGGTCAAAATGGAGAAGTAGCACTTGCTGTGTTCACCTCCTGGAACTGAGCTGAGCATCACATGAGACAATGGCTGTGAAACCACTTGGATAGGAGAGAAGTTTTAAACACCAAAGGGATTATTGTTATATGAATGATCCACTTGTAGATAGTACTTATTTTAGGACTGAGGGAGGTAAGGTTTGGGGAAGAATAGGGCATATCTGTGAACATGTCTGCCCAGCTCCTCCTCCCTCTAACCTTCCAACCTGATGGATCTCAAACCTAACCCAAATCTTCCCCCCTTTCTTAGTCTTTGCCCACCTTTCTCCCAATGACCCAGCTTCAATCTGGGCACCTGACTCCAGGTATCTTAGGGATCTGAAATGTTCTTTTTCACTCTACTCTACTACAAGCACACAATAGTCAGAAGACTGTGCCAGGGAGTGTGTTTGCCCTGGCTAGCTCTGGCCAGTTACTGCTATTGGCTGCGCAGCTTGGGAGACTGGGTCATGTGGGGCCTGAAGCTGTACCAGAAATGGCCTAGTCAGGAGACACTGACCCAACTGGTGGGCTCTGACCTGCAGTGTCTTAATCTTCACATCTGTCTAATGTCTTCTGGCCCACTCAGTTCCTTGCCAGAAGTTAATCTGCAGTGAAAACAAAGCTGTCTCCTCTTCACTGTGCTCACCCTTCACTGTCCTGTGTTATGCTATAGACTGAATGTTTGTTTGTGTCCCCCACAAATTCACATGTTGAAACCTAATCCCCAAGGTGATGCTGTTGAGGTGAGGCCTTTGGGAGGTGATTAGGTCATGAGGGCAGAGCCCTCATGAATGAAATTGGTGGCCCTATAGAAGAGACCCCAGAGAGCTCCCTCACCTCCCTCCACCATGTGAGGACACAGTGCAAAGACAGCCGTCTATGAACTAGGTTACAGGCCCTCACCAGACACTGAATATGCTGGTGCCTTGATCTTGGACTTCGCAACCCCTAGAACTGTGAGAAATCAATTTTATTGTTTCTAAGCTACGCAGGCTATGGTATTCTGTTACAGCAGCCTGATTGGGCTGAGACCTGTTAACCATGATGAGATTCTGGATTTATACTGCCCTCGTCATTTCCAATACTTTCACAAACATTATCATGAGGGCGTGTATAGCAAAGGTTAGCACTGTTATGCATGGGTTGAAATCCCAGCTTCCCAACTTGCCAACCAATTACTTTGTTCTGCAGGCCTTGGTCTCCTCATCTATGAAATGGGATAGCAATAAGCCTTACCTCTGTGAGTAGCTGTGAGGATTGGCTGAGGCTCCCTGGGGTGCCTGGAGCGTCATGGCAATGGGGCAAGGCCCTCCACTCAAAGTGCCTGTAGGCTGGTTGGAGAGATGTGTGAAAAGAAAAAAGTTGGCTTTTTTGGGCTGCCTGGGCTTTTGTTAATAAATTTCCAGTGGGACGTTTCCGCACTTGCCTTTTTTTAGAGACATGAAGAGAGGAGAATTGAAAACATTTCCTATGTTGAAATGAAAGGCACTATTTAATCTTGTCACCATCTGCCTTGCTCCAGGCTGGGAGCCCACAGGCCCGGCTCCCTGTTTCCTAGCGACAGGGCCGCACACCTTTCTTGGTGCAGCAAAACGCACACCTTCCCCGGTGGAGAAAAACATTCCCTAGGCAACTGCAGGGAAGGCTCTTGCGCAGGGAACTGGGAAGGAGCTGCCCCAGACCACAAGTGTGGCCCAGCCTTCCCTGGGCATTTTTCTCCAACCAAACAGGACACCCTATTCTCCCTTCCCAGAGCCACACGGCAGCAGGGGCAGCCCTTAATTGATTTATGAAGTCCTTGAAGTGACCCTCAGTGCCCCAAGTCCCCTCTTCTTCCTCAGCAAAGGTTTTGGGGCTGCCATAACAAAATACCACAGATTAGGTGGCTCACAATGACAGAAACTTATTTTCTCTCAGCCGTGGAGACCAGAGGTTCAAAATTAAGGTGTCTGCAGGTCTGGTTCTTTCCATGCCCGTCTTCTAGCTCCTGGTGGCTCCACCAATCCTTGGGGCTCCCTAGCCTGAAGGTACATCGTTCCAGTCTCCTCCAGCATCACGTGCCTTTACTCTCTGTGTCTCCTGTCCTGTCTCTCTCTCTCTGTCTTTTTTTTTTCTTTTTTTGAGACAGTGTCTCGCCCTATCCCCCAGGCTGGAGTGCAGTGGTGTGATCTCGGCTCACTGCAACCTCTGCCTCCCGGGTTCAAGAGATTCTCCTGCCTCAGCCTCCCAAGTAGCTGGGATTACAGGCACATGCCACCATGCCCAGCTAATTTTTGTGTTTTTAGTAGAAATGGGGTTTTGCCATGTTGGACAGGCTGGTCTCAAGCTCCTGTCCTAAGGTGATCCACCCGCCTCAGCCTCACAAAGTGCTGGGATTACAGGTGTAAGCCACTGCACCCGTCTGTCATTGGATTTAGAACCCACTCAAATCCAGGCTGTTCCCACCTTGAGATCCTTACTGCATCTGCAGAGACCCTTTTTCTAAATGCAATCACATCCTGAGGTTCTGGATGGATATAATTTTTGGAAGGACCACGATTCAACCCACTGCAGGGGCTATCATTTTACCTGGACTCCTCCTGTCTGGGAGAAAAGATTTAATAAGCTACTGGGAGAGATAGTATGTGGGATACACCTTCATCCATGGCCAAGGGGTGTATATTTTGAAAGTGGGTCTCAGGACAGGGGAACACCCTAACCAAAGAGGACGTCACCCACTTGGTAGAGTATTAGGTATGGTGATATTTTCTGGCTGGTGCCTTCCTGGTTATCTTGCTGCTCATAGAGAACCAGCCATGCCCTGTGCAGCTGTGTAAACAGGAGAGGGTCACCAGCATGGTTCTCCTAGCGGGGAGGCTCCTGTGCCTCTGTCTGCTTCCTGCAGGGCTCTGTCGAAGCCCTTCTTCCTCTGGGGCAGGGTGCCGGTCACTTGAGTGCCCCACCGGTGGTTCTGGCCCACTTGGAATTGGGTGTGTAAGGGGCTCTGGAAAGGACTGCTGCTCTTGACCTTCCCATTTGCTGACAAGACAGCAGCCTGCAAATCCAAGTGGGTCCCCAGTTCCCCAAATATCCCTCGAACTGAGGGCTAAAATCTGGCCATCTGAAATCCATGTCTTTTTGTTCTTATTTTTATTTTTTAAAATGTCATTTGCAAAAACAAAACAAAACAAAACCCCGAAAACACCCCACAAAATGATCACATGTGTTTATTTTTATTTGAACAGGTATTACATTCTTATAGTTCCAGATTCAAAAGGAACAAAAGGATATTCTGTGAAAATTCTCCCTCCCACTCCTGTCTCTCAACCACCTGGTTTAGCTCTCCAGAAACCATCAATATTTCAGCTTTCAGTATTTTGTATTTTCCAGAGATATATGTACAGTCATATATTTTCTTTTCCCCTTCTTCTCTGCATAAATGACGGCTACTATACCTAGTTTTGTAACTTGCTGTTTTCACCTCACAATATTTTCGAGGGTCTTTCCATATCAGCCAAACACAGCCTGACCGTATTTGTATTAAGCTGCAGAAACATCCATTGATACTCCAGTTGATAATCTATTGCTGTGTGAGCATTACCCAATCCCCTACTGATGGATACATAGACTGTTTCCCTATGTTCCCTGCGGCAATGAATAACTATATATGCTCAGGTCATGCATGTGTGGGAATAAATCTATAAGGATAATTGCTAGAAGTGGCATATCTGGGCTTCCCCTCACTCTGCCACAGAGCTTTCAGGCCCTGGACTACATGGCACAGCTTCCAAGGACCCGGCTGGTTTATTTTAAGATGATACGTGCTTGATAGTGCATGAAGGTGGAAATGTGAAACCCACTTTGATGTGGTAGTTACCATTGCGGCGCATTAACGCTGATGTGATTCAAAAGACCATATAATTTTTATGCTGCTATTAAACCTGCCACAAGCTGAAGCCTTGCCTGGTGCAACGTCTGTGTCGAGGCACCTCAGGGTGGACTGGTGCTGGGGATGGCAAGCCTGGGTCCTAGCTCCAGCTCTGCTCCATGAGACAGGGCCAAGTCACTCACCCTTCCTGAGACAGTATGTTAATCCCTTGCAGAGCTTACTGCAAGCCATGCCCCTAGTAGCAATCACATTGCATTTATTAATAGAGCAGGGTGGACAGATCTGTGGGGCCTGGCCCTGCAGACCCAGAAGGTGGAGGAGAGCTTCTGTGGAGCTACCAGGTACAGGTGGAGAGGGCAGGTGTCTGTGAGGATTTTCTGCCTAGAGGGAGATCTTGGATATTGACAACGAACATTTTCCGGGTACTTTACAAAGTGCTTTCTCGTACACTTTCTCAGTTAATGTGAGCTTCCGTCAGAGTCTTCGTTTCAGCAGATTTAAGCAGAAAAAGTAATCTAGAAAGTATTTGGGGGTGTGGGTAGCTCACAGAATTGCCGTAAATTTGAAGCATGAAGCTCAGAAATCAGGTGGGAACCAAGGGAAGAGAAGGCAGCCAGAAGCACAAATCACTCCCCAGGAATGAGAAGGTGAGGACCACACAGCTTCAGACGCTGGATCTTACCATGGGCAGCCTGGCCACATCCCATGCTGGATACCTGTCAACGCCAGATGACCTGTCACCGCAAACTGTCATCCCGTTGCCCCCTCAGCCACCTCGTGGGCCTAAGGGGCCTCCTCTGTGCCTGCTTTTTTATATTACTCACTCCAGAATTAATAACCCTCCTGCCCAGATCCCCAAAGTAAGGCCTGGATCATAGCTGGCACCTTGACTATCAGGGAGGTGGAAAAAAGTGGGTGTCCTTTTCAGCCTACAATGTGCCCATAAAGAGTTCTAGAGAAGGAATCTTCAATCCTATGGAAGTTGGATTGGATGTAGGGCAGAAAAGGGCAACTGTCTACAACCAGCTTGCATGAACACCTTGGAGTCTGGGTTATTATAAACTTATCCTACTTATTGAAGGATGCTGGGGGAGGGGGCTTTATATGAATCAGGGCTACTGAGATCTTTATATCGGGACCTCTGTGCAGCTCTGTCCTGACAACGTCACTTATTGCTCACGATTGGCATACCATTAGGGGATTGTTGGCCATCCCCTCTTCCCTCCATTCTTTCCTATGGGGCTAAAGGCAGGGAGGTGGGTCTCAAGTGGATGTGAGACCTAGAGCACACTCCCACATCCACTTGAAACTCATAGCCCTTACACTGTCATAGTCGTCCCTTTAAACCATAAAATAATGCTCTGTTTGTTTGTCCTTTGCAAAATATTTGCTGGGAAACAAAGACCTTCAGTAGAAGCACAAGATTTTAAAGAGAGGAATGAAAGATGTAGCGAGGGGAAAAGAGCCAGGCTGGGAGGTGCACAGTTCACGCTGCATGGTTCAGCCTCAGTGCCGTGAGCTCTGTGCACGAGGACAGTGCTGAGCAAGGCATGCCTGTGTCCCCACTGGACAGCTGAAGAGACTCAGGCAGAGCATGGACAGACCTAGTTCAGAGCCTGGCTGCACATAGTAGGCCCTCAATGAGAGGTGATGATGATGGTGGTGGTGACGGCAGAGCGAGGACTCACTTTGTCCAACGACTACATATTACAGATGTCAGGTTCACGACTATGCCAAAGGTCATGTTGAGGTCCAGAAGGAGTGGGTGGATGAGCAGAAAGAACATTCAGGGGACTGTAGGCAGGTGAATGATTTTATTCAGCAGCAGCTCACATCAGCAGCTTTCTCACACTGTCTGCCTTGTCTGGGCTGCTTCAGCTGGCAGCTCCCACATACAGCTGTGTGACCGGCTCTCCCCTGCCTTCAGGGTCAGCAGCTTAACTCTTTCACTCTCTGGGCACTAGGGGGCCAAGCTGTGTCCTGGCTTTCCCCGTCCGTCTCCAAAAACGGACATCTCTGGCTCTGTCTCTTTCTCTGGGCACCAGCGCACCTGCACAGGGTCAACAGGGCAGTTGTACCTTTTACAGACAATAGTGGCATAGAGCCAAGTGATGACGTTCCCACGTTATAGCTACATGGCTGTGATAACAAGTGGAGTTATACGCCTGCGGTCTATGCTGAGTCACGTGGGATGTAAACATCCTACCTTGGCCTAACCTTGACCAAAGCACAGCCATGTTCCTTACAACAGATAAGGAAGCCAAGACACAGAGCGAGGGCCAGCGAGCTTTCCGGGGTGATCAGTAGGAAGGGGCAAGAAAGGGTTAAATCGTGGCCCAACACGCTTGCCACTGCAGCTAGATGCTGACACAGGTGATGGTAACAAGGCCCTAGAACTCTAACGGGAAGATGAGTCATCGGGGGGGGGGTCATTAAAATGCAGGCTCTGATTCAGTAGGCCTGGGGGCATTTCCAACCACACCTGGGGGCTGCTGGTCCCAGGCTGCACTTTGAGGAGCTGGGCTCTAGCAGCAGTTTGCCTCCCTGGGAGCACATTAGAATCACTTGGGGAGATTTCACAAATTACTGATGCTTGAGACCCGAGATTCTAATTTAATTTGAGGTGGTTACAGGGTCAGAGGTCGTTTTTAAAGGTTCTCAAGTGTGTCTTATGTACAGTCAAGTTGAGAAGGGCTGTGTGAGTGGCTTGAAAACCATTGGTCGCCTGTGAAGAGGGCTTTTGAGAGCACCTGCAAGGACCGCCTCTCCTTCCTTCCAGCTGCTGCTTTGCTTGTGGGGCAAAGGCTCTCAGTCCGCAGTTCCAGCTAAGTTTAAATATGCAAATACCTCCGAAATGGCAAAGGTGAGGGCTTCTCTGAAGCGTGGCTCCTCACAGCAGGGCCTTCCACAATGAAGGGAAAGTGTACACAAGTGGGCTAGAGCAAGGAGGTAGCCTCCACGACTGCACACTTCTGCTGCTGGCCAAGTGACCCCCAGTTTAGGAGATATGACGTTTGGTGAGCACACGTCAGGACTGACCTGATTGAGGTTTGATACCAGAAGGCTGGAGAAGGGGTGCTGGCACAGAAAAGATGCAACGAAGGAGACTCCCCAGGTAGTCCTGTCTCTGGTTCCTTGAGTTCTACCTTTCCCTCAAGGGCCTCTCTCTCCAGCCACTGCTGCCAGCATGACATTCTCCCAGGGGGCCTGGTTTCCCTTTAAGGTTGTGGCCTTAAAGTGATAATCCCACCCCAGCACACCTACAGCAGGCTGTAATTATCAAGGGGGTTGACATACCACTCAAATCAAAGGCAGAACCAAAAGAAGTAAGTACTCCAAAGGAAAGGACATGGACTGAAGGGCTCTGGTGGTCGGAGGAGGTAGGGAAATACACTATTCTATGTCTTCTTGGAAATTGACAAGGCCCATTAGCAGATTCAGGTTCTGGGAAGTCCTGTGGGAAGTAAACCCAATGAGCTTTGTTCACACTAGTGTCGCCGAGTTCATTTGGCCACGGAACCCTCTTATGGCAGAATAACTCTTTATGTCTGCAAGGCCTGCTTTGGAATTGTGGATCTACTTTCCTGGAGGCTCAGCAACAAGACTGCTGCCCAAATGCCTCCGATCTGGAGGTGCAGGTCTGGCTGGAGGCTGAGGTGTGGCCTTCATCACCTCTCAGCAGCCCTGCAGCCCAGAGAGCCCTCTGTGCCCTTCTTGGGGGACTCAAAAAAGTATAGGGCGCAGGAATGGAGCGTCCACTCCACCGCTCTTATATCTGACTGAGGTGTTAAGAGTATGAGCTGTGTCATCAGGGACCAGGCTTCAAGTCCTGGCTGTACTGCTTACTAGCTGTGTGGCCTTGGACAAACTTAACTCCTCTGGGCCTCTGTTCCCTCACTGGTAAAAAAGGAATCGCTCCTACCTCAGAGTGTTGTTGTGAGAACCAATGAGACAGCTTATATAAAGTACTTAGCACACTGCCTAGCAGATAACAGTTCATAAAATGTTTTTCTAAAATGTTTTGTTTGACCAAAGTAGTTGGCATGAAAAAAAAAACTTTTGTTGTGCCAGTCTCTCCCCATGCAATCCCACCTGTCCTTGGAGGCCAACGCCAGTGCGTCTCCCAGGAAAGCCTTTCTTGACTCCCTGACCCTCACGGAGTGGACCCTTCTCTGTGCATTTGACCATGCTCTGCCTTGCTCCTGGGCCATCTCCCTGAGGGTGAGGGGCCATGCTAGAGGAAGTCTAGGCTGCATAAATGCCGAAACAGTGGTGGATCTAGCACATGAAGAGTTGAGAGCCTGGGAACTAGGGGAGGTGTCCCTCCTTCTTGAACTGTGGGGCTGAAGGGGAACTGTCAGCCTTGAGTTTGCCTCTGAGGTAGCCCCTTTCTTGCTATGAAGAAACCTGTTGTGGTCATTTGACTCATTCTCTGTGTATGCAGCCCTGCATACTTTGGTGTTATTCCTGTTGCAAAAGTCCCGATACTTTTCTCCGTCACTGATGTTTTGTTTTGAGACAGGGTCTTGCTCTGTTGCCCAGGCTGGAGTGCAATGGCACAATTAGCTCATTGCAGCCTTGACCTCCTGGGTTCAAGCTATCCTCCCACCTCAGCCTCCCAAGTAGCTGGTACTACAGGCGCACTCCATCATGCCTGGCTAACATATTTATATTCTGTTTGTTTGTTTGTTTTTTAGAGACAGGGTCTCACTCTATTGCCCAGGCTGATCTCGCACTCCTAGGCTCAAGCAATTCTCCTGCCTTGGCCTCCCAAAGTGATGGGATTACAGGTATGAGCCACTGCACCTGGCCTGTCAGTAATTTGATTATTTTTTAAGATCAACTGGATGACCAGGTGCTCTCAGAGACTACATTTTTGTAGCCTGAAGTCAGTATTTATGGTTTCCGTATAAGGAGGCTTTGGAGAGACACTAAAAGACAAAAGTCAAAGCCCTGAATGCTGACTGCTGTGCACTGCCTGACGCCCCTGCACCACTGAGCGGGTGTGGAGGATGCAGGGTCTCCCTCTGAGATCCTGGCAGGAAGGGAAGCTTGCCTGAGTCTTGTCTTGCCAGGGACTCTGCTCTTTCTGGACAATTTCTCAGAGCTCTAGACCCCTTCTCTGGAGGAAGACCTTCATTACCACCCCAGCCCACCCATACCCCATCCCAGGGTGAATGGAGGCTGGAGCTGGTTTCTTCTTCCTCTGACAGTGTCAGCTGGGTCCCTGCTGCAGTGAGTACTGGAGCTGAGCCCAGTGGGGTCCAGGTGTGGTCTGAGGAGCCATGGAGGCACAGCAAAGTCATCTCCACATTCCACCCAGCCCCTTGTGGAGCAAGGCAGCTCTGCTCCCACCAGGCAATCAGGCAAAGATTCACTAAGTGGGATCCAGCAACTCAGCCACACCCAGAGGCTTCCATGGCTCCTATATTCCACAGGGCTGCCAGGGCACCAGGGGAGAAGGGGAATCCTGATCTGAGACCTGGCCAAGCTGTGTCATCTACTGCCTGTGTCCAGACAACATAAACTGTCTGAGTCCTTAGGCAGGGTCTTTTCTGAATGACGGTTCATCCCACTGAAGTCACTCCTGAGTGAGTCTCAGAATCATGAACAGAGGAATTGTGAAACCTGGTGACTCCCAGGGAGGTCAAATGTTTTGCCCCAAAGCCTCAGCTCGTTAAGGGAACTAGTGGGGTTGGAACTCAAGTCTCCCAAACATTTGGGTCTCTCCCTCTCACTGCCGCGGACTGTTGATGACCAGAAAGGAGACACTGTTTCCACACGGCCCCCACTTGAGAGCCCACACACAGGCAGGCATTCGTGTTAGCATAGCCGCCTCCCCTCCAGACCTGGAGTCCACATGTTAGGTATGAATACCCACATATGTGCACATGTGCACATTTCTTTCTTCTCTGCTTTCAAACAGCAGAGTTTGAGAAATGGAAACCAAGGAACTGCTTTGGTTCTTGATTTTCACTCTGTCCTCCTACCCAGCCTCCTACCCGGCCTCTACCCTCCTACCTGGGCCTGCAGTAACTGCTGCTGGTAACTTGGGGATTCCCAGAAGGGAAGGGGTTGGAGCTTGTATGTACCTTCTTCCCAGGGGAGAGGGGAGGGGTGATGTAGGCAACTTAGAGGAAAGTAAATGACTTGGGGAAAGATGGATGAGCCTAAGAAGAGTAGGTGACAGCCAGTGACAAAGTCTGTCTTGGTATGGTGTCTACCCCCTGTCTCCTGTCCTGTGACATGGGCCAGTATTCCCCTGGTTGATGAGATTCCTGGGGAGGAGACTCATGACCATGGTGTTCTGGTTGGAGGATCTGTCTTTTGGCCGATAAGGGGAGCTCAGAGAACGCCTCTGCCTGCATCTGCTGTCTCCCACGTGCCCTTGGTTGCAAGCAATCAACATACCAAAGTGGCATATTTTGGGGTGGCATTTCCTTTCCTAAACTCCCTCAAACCCAACTCCACCGTCTCCCCCTCCTGCCTGCCTGCTCCCTCTACCCTGATAAAATGATGATGCATTTAGAAGATGAACGATTGCCTGGACCCAAGTGGAACTGCAGAGGACACCCCTACCCAGACCTCCAGTCCCAGCCTGACGTCAGAGGGGATCCGGTCAGAGAGACCTAGTGCCGAGAGGAGCAGAGAGCCCCGAGGGAAGGCTCCAGGGCCCAGGCAAAGCCTTTTTGGCACTACCCCTGCAACACACATGGGTGCCCTGAGGCTGATGGCATTGTCCTCTAAGAGCCAGGTAGATCCCTTCCAGCATCTTGATTGGTGGCTGTCCTCAAGGGGTAACTTTGTAGCCTAGAGCAAGGCCAGGTTGTGATAGTCCTGAAACTTCACCATTAGTGCTTCTAGAGGCACATCTTCACCCCAGACTGTAAATGCACACCCATAGTCAGACAAAATAAGGAGTGTGCCCTGAGGAGACCCACACATGTTGGTAGCCTTTGCCTTGAGGCCCTGGCCATATCCCATGGGGCTGGCAACTCGGTGTACGGCTGCAAATGGGGAGGATTCAGCTTGGGTCAGGCAGAAGAGCATTTTTTTTTTTTTTTTTTTGAGACGAAGTCTTGCTCTGTCCCCCAGGCTGGAGTGCAGTGGTGGGATCTCAGCTCACTGTAATCTCCACCTCCTGCCTCCACCTCTAATTCTTGTCCTTCAGCCTCCTGAGTGGCTGGAATTACAGGTGTGCGCCACCACGCCCGGCTAATTTTTGTATTTCTAGTAGAGACGGGGTTTCACCATGTTGGCCAGGCTGGTCTCTAACTCCCAACCTCAGGTAATCCACCCGCCACAGCGCTGGCCAGGAAGAATATCATTTGATTGTACAGGGTTCTGTCCAGCAAGGCATGCCTCTAGATTTGGGGTGGGGGTAAATGTTCAGTGGATCCAAGAGCCTCAGTGTGGGGAGGTGATGCAGACCCCATCCCCCATTTAACGATTTCCCTAGGGCTAACCCCACGCACAACCCAGAGCATCAGATTTATATCTCAGAAGTTCAACTTTTACTGTACCTCACCACACGTGGCTTGCAGGTCATACATCATTGCCTTCTGTTCTGTTTCCCTTTGAAAAGGTCTATCTTTTCGCTTGGCTGGGATAACTGTCTCCTTATTTTTGTCAACTCCTGGAACTTTTTTTCCTGTGGCTCTAACTTTGCCGTTGTGGCCTGACACAGAAATGTTTCATCTTGAAGGTCTAGAAAAAGCAATGTTTTCTTCTAGCATAACTTGATTCTGTAATCTTGGCTTTTCCTGATATGTCGGAATTGTTCCATGTAACCAGGGGACTTCTCATGCTGTTACTAAGAGCTATTATGCCCTTCCTCAAGGTACTAGTTTTCTTGTTTACATTCCTTAATGTAGTGTATACACATAGCCCTAGACACACTCTGCTTGTGTCTAATTAAATTCAAGTACCTTTTTCATCAGGTTTGACTTCCCAGTTAGCTAAACAGTCTTCCCATAAGGAGAAGCAGTCACAGTACAGGCGGTTCTTCTTTACCTTTTTGGTAACTGGCCTAAAAAACACACACACAGTTTTTCCATTTTATCAAGATAATTCCAGCATTGTCTTTATTAGGTTGAGTACTTAGAAAAGCTGACCTGTAAAAGGGTTAAGGTTTTTACATCCATGTAACTTTCTGTATTGTTTTTAAGGTCTTTTGATGATCACTCTGGTTAAACAAATAAGTATTGTTTTATAATGACCTGTGATTCTGTTTTTATCAAGTGTTTGGAAACTTTTGACATCTTTGATAGGTTTCCCCAGCATCAAAATACTAAATTAAGTCTTTTTGGCCTAGAATTAACTTTGGCATTTTCAAGTTAGGCCCCTGGAAATCTTCAAAGAATGTATCTCTCATCCTGTAGAGATATTAAATGATTAGACTTATTTGGTAAATTGTATGGAATACAGATTATTTTTTCTTTTTCTTTTTCTTTTTTTTTTTTGAGACAAGGTGTCATTCTGTCACCCAGGCTGGAGTGCAATGCCACGATCTCGGCTCACTGCAACCTCTGCCTCCTGGACTCAAGCGATCCTCCTACCTCAACCTCCCAAGTAGCTGGGACCACAGACTCATGCCACCATGCCTGGCTAAGGTAAATTGTATGGGAGGAAATTGTCAAATGATAATTGATGCTAGATCTTCTTTCAGTTACATTTATTGATATAAATGTTCCCCAAATTATATAATGTTATAAAAATCTAAAATGTTATCAGTCATAATTTTGTTATGTTAAATCTTTTCTAAAGTTATATTTGTATAGGTATGTTATTAATGTGAATATTCTAATGATTATATTAAATTTATCAAAGTCTTGACGATCCTGATGTGATATGGTCAGTCATAATTCTGGTTGTTATCTTAAAATGCTGCACATAATAGAAATAATTAAATTTCTTTGTCAGTTGAACACTTTCATAGATTTAACCATGGCTATTTTAAGTTGTCGTCATCCACAGCTATTTTATTTTATTTTATTTTATTTTATTTTATTTTATTTTATTTTATTTTATTTTATTTTATTTTTTGAGACAGAGTCTCACTGTTACCTAGGCTGGAGTACAGTGGCACAATCTCGGCTCACTGAAGCCTCTGCCTTCTAGATTCAAGAGATTCTTGTGCCTCAGCCTCCCGCGTAGCTAGGATTAGAGGCACGTGCCACCATGCCTGGCTAATTTTTGTATTTTTGGTAGAGACATGGTTTCACCATGTTTGCCAGGCCAGTCTCAAACTAGCCTCAAGTCATCTACCTGCCTTGGCTTCCCAAAGTTCTGGGATTACAGGACAGGTATGAGCCACCATGCCTGGCCTGTCATTCATGCTATTGTTTTAAATTCTTCTCTAAAAGCATTTGCAGTGATCTATAGTCCTAAATTGATTTTCATGAAGAATACTCTAATGGGTATTCCTGAATACAGATTTCTGATAACTTTAACATCAATGGACTAAAGAAAAACTTTCAGAACGCCCGGGCATGGTGGCTCACGCCTGTAATCCCAGCACTTTGGGAGGCCAAGGAGGGTGGATCACCTGAGGTCAGGAGTTCAAGACCAGCCTGGCCAACATGGTGAAACCCTGCCTTACTAAAAGAAATACAAAAAAAATTAGCCAGGTGTGGTGGCACGCACCTGTAAATCTCAGGAGGCTGAGGCAGAAGAATCACTTGAACTTAGGAGGTGGAGGTTGCAGTGAGCCAAGATCGCGCCACTGCACTCCAGCCTGGGCGACAGAGTGAGACTCTGTCTCACACACACACACACACACACACACACACACAAAATCGAGAGGATATTTCCTGTCATAGTTGAAGTGTGCACTGGCTTTAAGTTCCCTGCCTCTAGACCCTATTTTCCTGCCTCACCTCCTCCAACTTTCCATCCACCCCTGCCAAACTCTTTTCTTTCCTATTCCAGACCCTCAGTCACTTGAGCTTTTGGCTCCACTGATCTCAAGGGACTGAGGGTCCCCCAGGTCAACTCTCTGAAGCTGAAAAGGAAAAGGGTTAATTAGAAATAACTGGATATTTTATCCACTCAGATGGTCTTTGGAGACATTCAGACAGCTGCTAGAGTCTCCTCAGTAATTGCCTAAAATTTAGTCCACAGCCTCCATATGACCTCTGATAATAAGCAAATAACACCAAAACTCCTTCTGGGAGAAAATATATCCTTTCTCCGTGCCTTTAATATGTAAATTTTCTACCCTGTCTTCTCTAGGACCTAAGCAGCATCTTTTTGAGATGCAAATTTTGGGGAGAAGATGCTCAGAAGAAGGTGGGGGAGGGGAGAAAGCTATTTAGAAACCAACTGGCATTTTTAAAAATTTCAAGTCTTTACCACAAGTAGTAAAAAGCTTTATCCATCTGAGAGAGTAATCTTAACTTATTCCATCTGCCAGAAACATAATTTAGATCCAATTACTCTTTTATAAACTAGGGAGTTTTATGTTACGGTACCTGGCACATGGCTAAAATTTTTAAATAAAAACTTGAAGATTTCTGTTTGCATCTATCTGTTTATGTATATCTGTGTATGTATAGTATGCATATGTGGTGTTTTCTCTACCTCTGGATGGTACTGCCAAATACCAAACTCGTATTGAGTGCTCTTATGTTCATGGCAATAAAGTTATTTGTACAAATTCAATTAAAATCTGTTCTCCTTTTAACAAGATACAATTGGTAAAAGGCCTTCACTGGGATGTCATAGTTGAGAATGATGTGCATAGAATCAGATTTGACTAGATAAGTTTTAAGAAGCTAAGGTTAAATTTGTGGACTCAATAAAACCCCTTGGAAAAAAAAAATCCTGGTACTTTGCATGCAGGGTTCTTTTACATGATTCCCTTACAGGTGAGTAAGGCAAGTCACTTCCGGTCAGATCCAGGAACCTCAGGATAATTTGGGGACCTCGATAAGAGAGGAATTCACCCAGATCTATATGTATTACAGGGAAAATCTGACGGTAAGTCTATAACTTGGCTTCCTAGCCTAGAGTGACTTTTAAAATTATACTCTAAGATTCCTTATGAGAAGTTCTAGCAAAGCAGATTTTAAAAGAGCATATATGATCAATCTATTCTTTCTGTGCTTCTGTAAATAAGTAGGCCAAATACAATGATTCTAAACTGACTTTTGCAAACAAATTAGTCTTACTGTGATTATCTGTGATTGAAATAGGGGTTACTTTAGAGAGAAAAATTATGTTTCAAGAGAGAATTACACTGCATCGTTATTAGATTTGTTAAATCAAGTTTAGCCTAAAGCTGCCTTATTACATATTTCAATACACTTGGTCTCTACCAGAGAGCTCCCCCTTTTTCCTCTAACCATTGGCAACTCAAAACCCAAAATCCAATCTCATGACTTTTGAGTTTATAGTAGGGTGAGAAAACGGTATGTGCTATCTTACCAGGCAACACCAGAATCCTGCTTAGAAAGGAAATTGTCTTGGTTTAGGAAAATACTGTTACAACCATCTGGTTATGAGAAGGTAGGCCCCGAGGCAGGACCTGGAAGGAAGAAGCTGTAGAAAGTGAGGGCTGAATTTCTTTTCACAAGACATGGCAGAATGGGATGGGGCTGGGGGAAGCATTTGCTCATGAAAGGGGAAGGGCAGAGAGACCCAGTGACATGGCAGAAGCAGGTTGGCAGATGCACAGTAGAGACTTTTAAACACAAGCTGTCTACGTTTTAAGATGTTTGTGTAAATTTCCTCCACTTCTTTCAGTACTTCAGTAAAGTTTTCTAAGGCCAAAATAGCCTTTATTTTTATGTATTTATTTATTTTTGAGATGAAGTCTTGCTCTGTTGCCCAGGTTGGAGTGCAGTGGCACGATCTTGGCTCACTGCAACCTTCACCTCCCAGGTTCAAGCGATTCTACTGCCTCAGCCTCCTGAGTTGCTGGGATTACGGGCGCATGCCACCATGCCCGGCTAATGTTTGTATTTTTAGTAGACAAGGGGTTTCACCATGTTGGCCAGGCTGGTCTTGAACTCCTGACCTTAGGTGATCCACCCACCTTGGCCTCCCAAAGTGCTGGGATTACAGGCATGAGCCACCATGCCCGGCCCAAAAGAGCCTTTGGTGTGTGCCTTTTTACTTTTGCTTTTGCCTTTATTTGTTTTAAGATAAGCCAAGGAGAGGGGCCAAGTTCTGTGGCTGGCACAGGGCAGGGTGAGCACATTTGGGATGAAGAGATGCCTTATAAACTGCATCTGTTTCGGGGAGCCTGGAACCTGAGGTGAGTACGACACTCAGTGTTTCTCTAAGTGCTTTTCTGAACACTTTGCTCATAACTTCGTTTAATCCTCACAACAATCCAATGAGGTATAGGTCATTAACCTCGTTTTACAGATGAGGAACCCGAGGCACAGAGAGGTTACCTAACTTGCCCAAGTTCACACAGATGGTGAATTAGCATTCCAACCCAGGCAGCCTGACTCCACAGTCCCTATTCTACTCACTGAGCCACACTGCCCCCTATCCTCAGCCGGTCTGCAGTGAGATTATAAAGTCTGCCTTCTTGCCAAGAATGCAAAGAAAACTCTGGACAGGAATGGGAGTTCAAGGAGTTCTTATTGAACTCTGATGGGGACAGGGTGACCCCAGGTCACACTTGGGCTGTCCCTTGTCATTCCATTGGTCCGTGCCCTCTTCCCAACTCGGCTGGCTCCTGGAGGGTACTATCGGTACAATGTGCCTTTACCAAATAATATCATACCCCACATTTGTAGTGGGATTTATACTTTGTCTATGGCCTTTCCCATATATGATCTAATTTAATTCACACAATGATAGACAGAAATCATTGTCTCTATTTACAGATGAGGAAATTGAGGCTTAGAGAAGCCGCATGGCTTGCCTGCATCATATAGCTGGTAAGTGACAGAATTCTGAGCTGGAACATAAGAATTTTTTTCTTTCTGTTCCTCTGTGCTCCTCAGTAGTTTAACTTATTTTAAAACAGTACCACATCCCCCTCCCCTCAAGAAACTACTGTCTAATTTTCTTTCCATTTTGAAAGCACAGGCCCCCTTTGCAAATGGTCTTTTTTTTTTTTTTTTTTTTTTGAGACGGAGTCTCGCTCTGTCACCCAGGCTGGAGTGCAGTGGCACAATCTCGGCTCACTGCAAGCTCCGCCTCCCGGGTTCACGCCATTCTCCTGCCTCAGCCTCCCGAGTAGCTGGGACTACAGGTGTCTGCCACCACACTCAGCTAATTTTTTGTATTTTTAGTAGAGATGGGGTTTCGCCATGTTAGCCAGGATGGTCTGGATCTCCTGACCTTGTGATCCACCCACCTCGGCCTCCCAAAGTGCTGGGATTACAGGCGTGAGCCAGCGCACCCGGCCTGCAAATGGTCCTGAGCTGGAAATACACAGTATCAGGATTATTTCCTCAGCTTCAGGGCAAGACTCCTTGGGATTCAGCATTAACCACTAATCTTGGGTTTGTCCTTCCTGAAAAAGACTCTGGTCACGGGATAATTGTTGCACGTTCATCCCCAAGGCCATTTTTATATAAGTGCAGAGTTGACACTCAAGCTCTCGCTGTTCTGATTAACATTGCTCCTTGCAAAGAAAGAAAAATGGCCTTCGATTAACTTCTGCTCCAGCTCAGAGACAGCCCAGTCCAATCAAAAGCCACTTTAGCTAAGGGAGAAAGGGGTGGCACAGAGCAGCCATCTCCCTGATCCTAATTGATTTTTTCCTTCCAATTTCTCCTTTATTTAAGAACCTCTTCCTCAGAAATGATAGACTGATGGCATTGTCTTGTATCCAGGGACCTTCTCAGCAAATGCATCCAAGGCTTTGAACAAAGGGGCAGCTGTCCATCTAAATGCTGCAGGCTTTCACAATCATGAGGTGTAGGAAATACTACCCAAAAATATGGCATCTTGGAAACAGAAAAAAGCAGAAGGAGAAAGGTCACTCTCACCTTCCCCTGCCCTTCTTGCCTGAAGACTTTCATGTGACAATTGTCCTACCCTATACCCAGAGGAAAGGAATGTCACACAGAGATGCCACAAAGCACCTGAGCAAACAGATCTTGCTGAGTTCCCCCCAGTTTATTCCCATTAGGTCATGTCCTTCTGTCTTCCCATCATGCTTCTGTATGACTGTCTATTCTTCAGACCTAAGCATAAATATTCACAGATTTCCTTGTTTCATTGGGTCTTCATTTCTGAAGATTCTTGTGTCACATAAAACTTGTATTAAGCAAATGTTTTATGCTTTTCTCTTATTAATCTATCTTTTGTTAGAGGGGTTTCAGCTATGAATCTATCTATGAATGAGGAAAATATATTACTTTTTCTCCCTTACAAAAAGGCACCCACTCCCAAGAAACTAGAATCAGGCCAGTCGCGGTGGCTCATGCCTGTAATCCCAGCACTTTGGGAGGCCAAGGCAGGTGGATCACTTGAGGTCAGGAGTTTGAGACCAGCCTGGCCAACATGGTGAAACCCTGTCTCTACTAAAAATACAAAAAATTAGCCAGGCGTAGTGGCCCACACCTGTAATCCCAGCTACTTAGGAGGCTGAGGCAGGAGAATCACTTGAACTCGGGAGGTGGAGGTTGCAGTGAGCCAAGATCTGCCACTGCACTCTAGCCTGGGCAACAGAGCAAGACTCCGTCTCAAAAAAATAAAATCAAGCATTTCTTGAGTACCCAGGGCATGCTTCAAGCCATACTTGATGCCAGGGAAGGCAAAGACATGGTCCCTGCCCTTGAGGAGCTCACAGGCAAGTATAAGGGGAGTGTAGCGGGGATGCAGCTAATACACAGGAAGAATTGCAAGGAAAACAGTCTGGAGATCAGAGAAGAGAGTTAATGATGGCTGTGCTGCTACTGGGGAGGCTTTTGGGAGGAGTAAAACTTCATTTGAGCCTTGAAGCTCTCATTCATTCAACATGAGCTTCCAGAACATGCCAGGCCCTGGGGAAATAGCAGCAAAGGGAACAGATAAAAATTCCTGCCATCCTGGTGTGGAGAGGGACAATAAGAAAACTATAGAGCAAATTGGAAGACATTGAGTGTGGAGAAGTGAAGCAAGGCACGACTTGGGGTCAGGAAGAGGTTGCAGTTTTAGAAGAGGTATCCAAAGAAAGCCTCACTGCGAAAACAAGTTTTGAGGCCAGGCGCGGTGGCTCATGCCTATAATCCCAGTACTTTGGGAGGCCGAAGCAGGCAGATCACGAGGTCAGGAGTTTGAGACCAGCCTGGCCAGCATGGTGAAACCCCGTCTCTACTAAAATACAAAAAATTAGCCAGGCATGGTGGTGTGTGCCTGTAGTCCCAGCTACTCAGGAGGCTGAGGCAGGAGGACTGCTTGAACCTGGCAGGCAGAGGTTGCAGTGAGCTGAGATCACACCACTGCCCTCCAGCCTGGGTGACAGAGCGAGACTCCATCTAAAACAAAACAACAACAACAACAACAAAAAAAAAAAAAAAAAAAAACAGAAAACAAGCTTTATGTCAAAGTCTGAGGGAGGTAAGGGAGCAGGCCTTGCGGATATGTTCTAGGACGAAGCAACAGAAAGGTCAAAGGAGATGAGCTGGTGTGTGCCTGGAGTTTCTGAGAAATGGCAAAGTTAGAGGATGGACTCTCTCCTGGCCAGGGGCTATGAGGAGGGGAGGATCTGTTTGTTTTTTCAAAGGAGTTCCTCTGGGAGCAATACCGGAAGCATCTGGAAACCTCCACTTCAGCTACCTGGGTGTGTGGGCAGCAGAGTTGGCTAGAAGGTGGGTGTGGGGGAGGAGGGGCAAAATTATGCAGTGGTCTCAGCAGCCACTTTGCTCTTCAAGGGACACTGTGTAAGAGTCAGGAGCAGAGGAGAAGACAAGATCAGACTTTGGTTTTAAAGGGATTACTCTGTGTTACAAACAGACTAGAGGGGGCCATGATGAAAGCAGGCAGAAACATTGTTACCAAGCAGTGGGCTTACTGCCTGGCATGCATAGAAAGCCAATGCTGCCAGGTGTGGTGGCTCACGCCTGTAATCCCAGCACTTTGGGAGGCCAAGGCGGGTGGATCATGAGGTCAGGAGATTAAGACCATCCTGGCTAACACAGTGAAACCCCGTCTCTACTAAAAGTACAAAAAAAATTAGCCGGGTGTGGTGGCGGGCTCCTGTAGTCCCAGCTACTCAGGAGGCTGAGGCAGGAGAATGGCGTGAACCCGGGAGGTGGAGCTTGCAATGAGCTGAGATCGCACCACTGCACTCCAGCCTGGGCGACAGAGCAAGACTCCGTCTCGGAAAAAAAAAAATAGAATTTGCAGGAGTTCTAGAACAGTATGGGCAACATAGCGAGACACTGTCTCTACAAAATAAATAAATAAATAAGCTGGGCATGGTAGCACAGAGCTGTAGTCCCAGCTACTTGAGAAACTGAGACGGGAGGATCCCTTGAGCCCAGGAGGTCAAGGCTGCAATGAGGTATGATGGCACCACTGCACTGTAGCCTGGGTGAAGCAAAACTCCATCCCAAAATATAAATAAATAAATAAATAATTAAAGCCAATGCTATGGCACTGGCTTCTCAGAAAAGAAAGGCTTTAGTGCAAGGTGGACCAGCAAGGAGACAGGAGACGCAGCTCAAATGTGTCTCTGCGATTTGAGGTCTGGGGAAAGCTTTAAGGAGCTGATGTGCAAGGGAAAATATTATAGACGTTGGGTTGGCAGGGTCTGATTGGAGAGCTTCAAATGTGATCATTTATGGTAAGGTATGTGGAGGCAGATTTCAGCATCAGATTTTCCTGGCCAATGGACCCTCACTTCTGAAAGAGTTTTGGTGTTCAGGTTCTGGTCATATATTTCTGGTTCCATAGGAAGAAACCATTGGTTCTAAGTGTCGTTAGAGGTCAAAGCTTTTTCTATTGTGCATGCCCAAGCTACATCACTTGCAGTTTGGGCTGTGTTATACCTAAAAGATAACTAGACTGCAGTTACATTAAGCACAAGAGAGTTGGTAAGTGCATGCTTAATTTAAAAGAAACTGCCAAACCATGTTCCAAAGTGACTGCACATTTTGCATTCCCAACAGCAATGTGTGAGGGGCCATTTGTTCCACTGTAGGGACTGAGGGAAAGCTTCTCCTTCATCCTCTGAAGGTTTGCTGAAAAGCAACTGACAAAAGACAAATGAATAGAAGAAAAGACAGACAAAATTTAATGTCCATAGCACAGGGAAATTGCAAGAGAATGATGACTCAATAACCCAATGGGGTACAGAGGCATATGTACCCTTTTTGATAGAGTAAGGGGAGGTAAGAGAAATGTGGCAATTTTGGGGATAGTACATGATAGTTAGAGGAATGTAATGGCCTTGGAGAACATATAATGGCCGAGGACTAAGTTTATTGGGCCCGCAAAGCAGACAATAGTTTGTGACAAAAATCTGTTCAGGTGTGTTGACAGACTTCAGTCTCTCTTCCTGAGATGTGAGTTAAATTAATGAAAACTCAGGGAAGAAACCAGAAGTAATAGTTTTCTTCTTTGGCAGGTTCAGACTTTAGGTAGATAAGGGAATAGCAGAGTAAAGCTTCTTCCACCATCTGCTGGTCTCCAAGGGCCTTTAATTCATTAATTGTTGAGAGAGGACCTCACTCTGGCACCCAGGCTGGAGTGCAGTGGTGCTGTCTTGGCTCACTGCAACCTTGACCTTCTGGGCTCCAGTGATCCTCCCACCTCAGCCTCCTAAGAAGCTGGGAGTACAGGCACGTGCCACAATGCCCAGCCAACTTTTTGTGTATATATATATATATATATATATATATATATATATATATATATATATTTTTTTTTTTTTTTTTTTGATAGAGACAGGGTTTTGCCATGTTGCCCAGCCTGATCTCAAACTCCTGAGCTCAAGCGATCAGCCCACCTCAGCCTCCCAAAGTGCTGACATTATAGCCACACGCGCAGCCATTAATATAAAGTAATCTGCAATACTACGGTGCCATATTTTGGGATGAAATTCCCTAGTCTCCTTCATTTCCCCAGTCTGAAACTTCCCTAGAAGTTTTGTACACTATAAGTTGAGTTATGGTTGTGGAGAGAGAAATCAGGTTAGTAACTGAGTGGTAAAATATCCAATTAAACCAGTCTCTCATTTCTGGGAATAGGCCAGTCCAATTAAACAGTTGTGTCTCATTTTAGAAAATGGAGTTGCAGATGGGATCTCAAAGCTAGGCCTCTATATATGACGCAGGCAAATATATCCTTAATAGGAGGCATTTTTATGGAAACAGAAGAAAAACAAAGGCCAATGTCTGGAGTGGTCTACGAACTAGTCCCTCTAGAGTCTGGAAGACAGTTAGGTCAGAAGACCAGTAGCTAGCTGACAGATTTTTTCTAGATTACAGTTGGCATGTAAATTTTCTTCAAATATAAGCTGTTGCATTGATTCTTTTTCAAAACCAAGTTTATTAGCTTAGGCTTGTAAGGCCTCATGAAAAAGACAGTTTTAATTTCAGTGAGTCCAAGTCAGAAAATTGGGATAAAAATTTGGAAAAGTTAGTTTGTAGACTTATAGCCAGGAAAATATTCAGGGTTCAGTACAAATTGTAGGCAAATAATGCAAATTCAAAAACAATGAACAGGGCTGGACTCTTACAACAGGTACACTATAGTTTTCTTCTGAAACATATTTTTCTCCTCTCCAGTTGTCATTTCTACCAAATCATAGTAAGATCAATTTCTTTGCAAAATAAGTTTAGTCTTTGGCCTGATTACATACATAAGTTTAGCAAGAATAGTGATTTATCTTATAGGCTCTTTTTTTTTTTTTTGAGATGGAGTCTCACTCTCTCGCATAGGCTGGAGTGCAGTGGCGCGATCTCAGCTCACTGCAACCTCCATCTCCTGGGTTCAAGCGATTGTCCTGCCTCGGCCTCCCTAGTAGCTGGGACTACAGGTGTGTTCCACCAGGCCCAGATAATTTTTGTGTTTTTAGTAGAGACGGGGTTTTGCCATGTTGGCCAGGCTGCTCCCAAACTTCTGACCTCAGGTGATCCACTCGCATCAGCCTCCCAAAGTGTTGGGATTACAGGTGTGAGCCACCATGCCTGGCCAATATAGGCTGTTTTTAAAAGCTTTGCTGGAACTTTTCATAAGGAATCTCAGATTAGACTTTTTAAAGCCTCTCAAGGCTACGAAGCCAAGCCAAGGATTTGACTCATCCTTAGACTATGTCTGTAACACCTGTACAAACTGGATTAATTTCTCTCTTCTTGAGATCCCCAAAATATCCTGAAGTTCCTAGGCCTGTCAGAAAGTGGCATTCTTTACTTACCACAGGGCAACCATGTGAACCATGTATTTAAGGTACTAGGCCAGTTTTTCCAGGAACTTCTATTGGCTTCATAATGCCAACCTCAATTTTTTAAAGCTGTTTGGTCATATCTGAAAATATGACATTCCAGTCAAAGCTTCAGTAAAAAAGAACAAAAACAAACAACAGAATGTCTCCAATCGTGTTGTTAGAAGAACAGATTATTGAACTTATACAAATAAATTTTTATAGTAAACTATATTGCCTTGTACTTACTATATTGCCATAAAATATGAATACTCACAAATAGTTTCCAAATTCTGAAAAAATCAGGCATAAAGAAACATCCGGCCGGGCGCGGTGGCTCACGCCTGTAATCCCAGCACTTTGGGAGGCCGAGGCGGGCGGATCACGAGGTCAGGAGATCGAGACCATCCCGGCTAAAACGGTGAAACCTCGTCTCTACTAAAAATACAAAAAATTAGCCGGGCGTAGTGGCGGGCGCCTGTAGTCCCAGCTACTTGGGAGGCTGAGGCAGGAGAATGGCGTTAACCCGGGAGGCGGAGCTTGCAGTGAGCCGAGATCCCGCCACTGCACTCCAGCCTGGGCGACAGAGCGAGACTCTGTCTCAAAAAAAAAAAAAAAAAGAAACATCCATGTTTCAATTTTGTTCATAAAAGTATACTTTATATGGCTGGGCACGGTGGCTCACCCCTGTAATCCCAGCACTTTGGGAGGCCGAGGCAGGCGGATAACGAGGTCAGGAGATCGAGACCATCCTGACTAACACAGTGAAACCCCTTCGTTCGGGCATGGTGGCAGATGCCTGTAGTCCCAGCTACTCGGGAGGCTGAGGCAGGAGAATGGTGTGAACCCGGGAGGCGGAGCTTGCAGTGAGCCAAGATCGTACCACTACACTCCAGCCTGGGCAGCAGAGCAAGATTCTGTCTCAAAAAAAAAAAAAAAAAAAAAAAAAAAAAAGAACAAGTATACTTTATATTATTCCTGTAAAGCTTAAGAGGAAAAAAAAAAGTTTCCTTAACTCCGGAAAACAAAAAGAACAAAACATAAAAAGAATCAGCAATGTTTCAAACAAAAAAGTCATTAAAAATCATTTTAGTCCTTCATCATTTCAGTCCCATGTGATTAATTCTTTTACTTCTTCTTCTTCTTTTTTCCTTTTTTTTTTTCGAGACGGAGTCTTGCTCTGTCACCCAGGCTGGAGTGCAGTAGTGCGACCTTGGTTCACTGCAACCTCTGCCTCCCGGGTTCAAGCAATTCTCCTGCCTCAGCCTCCCAAGTAGCTCGGATTACAGGCGCCTGCCACCACCACACCAAGCTAAGTTTTGTATTTTCAGTAGACATGGGGTTTCACCATGTTGGCTAAATTGGTCTCCAACTCCTGACCTCGTGATCCGCCCGCCTCGGCCTCTCAAAGTGCTGGGATTACAGGCGTGAGCCACCATGCCCAGGCTTCTTCTTGTTTTAAATAGAGACAGGGTCTCACTATGTTGCCCAGGCTGTCTCAAATACCTGAGCTCAAGTGATCCTCCCTTCTCGGCCTGCCAAAGAGCTGGGGTTACAGGCATGAGCCACTGTGCTCAGCTGCATGTAATTAATTCTTGTTCTATTTGTGGTTAGGTTAGTCTAAGCTTTATGAGTCCAGTTTTGTGGGGGTTTTTTTCATTAGCGTTATGGAAATTTTCACCCAGTTTAATGATAGGATCTCAAAGTTGTCAGAAACCTGTATTTGTCAGCATTCTTTCCATCCTTTCCGTGAACCTCCTTGAAGAAGCAATACTTAAGGATTTGTAAAGAGTTTTCAGGGGGGAAAAAAAGCATCCAAATAAAGCTTGTTGTCTATTTAACTGTGGACAACAAGATTTTAAATGCTCATGGTTAAAGATATGATAAAAATTCATAATAATAATCATGCAATTGATGAGGAAATTTGGCTATTTCTGTAGCAAACAACAATTTAACATTAGAATTATGACTGATGGTACGTACTAAAACATAGATTTCTAGGAATCTCATATGCTTTTGGAACACACATTAATAACACACCTGTACAAGGATACTCACACCTGTACAAGGATACTCACACCTGTACAAGGATTATTTATTTGACAGTGCTTCTTGTATGATGCAGATTGTACTTCCCAGCCTCCCTTGCATCGGGGGGGAAGTGAGGCACCAAATTCTAGCCAATGAGATGAGGTATTTGAGCCAATAGCCAATGAGGTAGTTGAGAGCTGTTCCCAAAGCCTGCTTTACAGGGCTGCTAGCTCGTCCTCTTTGACCTTTCTCAATGTCCTCTCCATCTGGCTTGTTCCACGGAACATGAAAACCACCTTAGACCACACCCTAAAGATGACAGATGCCAGAGCTAGAAGGACCCTGAGCGCCTGGCACCATGGAGTGCTCTAGCAGCCCCCGGACTGCCAACCTCCCAACTTCTTGAGAGAGAAAGGGACATAATTTCTCGTTGGTTTATGCCATCACTGTTTGCTGTGTTGTTGTTGTTGTTGTTACTCTCATCTGAACTATTGTTGAACATCATCTGAACTGATATGGGGAGTGGTTGCCTAACAGATAACCAACAGTGTCTGCTGTTAAGAGCTTCTTGGAGGCCAGGCATGACGGCTCATCCCTGTAATCCCAACTCTCTGGGAGGCTGAGGTAGGAGGATCACTTGAGGCCGGGATTTGAAGACCAGCCTGGACAACATAGTGAGACTCCATCTCTACAAAAAAATTCTAAAAAAAAGTTAGCTAGGCACGGTGGTATACGCTTTCAGTCCCAGCTACTCAGGAGGTTGAGGAGCGAGGATCACCAGAGCCCAGCAGATCGAGGCTGCAGTGAGCCATGATTGTGTTGCTGCACTCCAGCCTGGGTGACAGAGTGAGACCCTGTCTGGAAAAAAAAAAAAAAAGAGCTTCTTGGAAGAGGGCACATAACTTAGCCTCCAGATGAGTAGGATATAGAGAATCAGGGACCAGAACAGTGAACATTCTAGAGTGAGGCAGGATAAGAAGTGAGCCTGGCTTAGAGGCCCAGATTGCAGAGGGTTAGTGGGGCCAGATTGTAGGAAGACTTTGACCATTCCATTGAGACGTGTGCTGGTCCTTCTAAGCCAGGAGAATCTGGACTATTTTGAATGGCCCCTGGAGAAAGCTCATCCCTGTGTTTAACTTAAATGTACCATGTTTCAGTTTGAATCTCTCTTGCCTTATTCACAGTGGATCAAGCCTGGCTTCACCACAGGAAAGCTGAGCCTCTATGTTCCCTTCAACATTATTAAATGTCACCCTCTATCACCACACAGACAGGAAAAGCCCATTTCTTAAAATGATTAAAGCCTCAGTCTTAACCTGTCACATCTAGTACTCAAGATATGGGATTGTCATCCCAAACATCCAAATCCCAGACCAGACTGAAGGAACTGGCAAGGGCAGGAGCCCATCTCCTTCCTTAGCACCTGGCCAAGGCCTGGCCAGAGCTGGGCTCTTCCTTGTTGAGCAACGCCTTCCTCCCTTCCATCTCCCTTCACTCTGCACCAGAGGAGCCAGGAACTAGACCCAACCCCCTCCGGCAGCTGAGCCTAGCTGGACACATGGCAGAACTGTCCAGAGGGGAGTTCATGTCCTGTCCTCCCTCCTGCTTCTCAGAAGCCTCCCTGATATCAATTATCTGAGAGGCAAGACCATAAACCACTGGAACAGCCAGTCCCAGAGTCAAGAGAACATCTTCACTCTTCTGAGCTGCCCAGGCCCCCAGGCCCAGCTGCCAAGGATTTTCTGCACCTTGAAGTGCAAAACAAACAAGTGTTACTGTTTTCATGTGAACTACCTCAATGCACTCTGCTGGCCTTGCACTGGGGCTTTGTAGGTGTATGACTGGGGGAAAAAAGACAGAGCTTTTTCCCTGAGGTCAATCAATGTGCTCTGGACACTGGCCAAGGATGCCTGGTAGCTGGTTCTGTTCAGTTGCAGGGAGGCAGTGAGGGCAGATGGGGAAGAAGGAAGGAGGGTGGGATGGGGGTGCTATTCTCCACCTAGGGATCTGCAGGTCACTGCCCTGAGCACCATTCCCAGCCTTTTCCCACCAAGGACACCTGGGAAGATTTTATCTAGAAGGCAAACTGGATTTTTTTCTAATAATCAATTTGCTTCCAAGTTTTCCTTACCTAGAAGCCATTCTAGTCACCAAGCCAGCTTCAGGTGAGTATGAAATGAACAAGGTTGTTACACAGGTGATGTAATTCCAGCTCAAAGTAAAGAGGCTGGGGCTTCAGTTCGCAGGACAGCCTCATCCTGGGGAATGTTAAGATTTCATTTAGGCTTTATGGAATACTGAAAGTATCTATCTGGTGGGAAATAAAAATAAAATCCTCAGTCCCCCAACCGAATGAACGAACCCCCTCTTGGCCAAGGAGATGGCAGAGAAACCTTGAAAACTGAGTTCCTGGCCATGGCAGCATGGGGGGCTGGACACGCCTCGTTATACCCCCTCCCTCACTACTGCCATTAGGCTTTCTTCCCTAAGGGTTCAACAGAAACCAGCCCTTTTGAAAGACTCACTCCACTGCTGATTTCAACCAGCCACATGACTGCCCTCTCTTTTGCAGTTTCCACGCAATGGGCCAGAATTCCTTCCTGATAAGAGACCACTAACCACAAAGTGGTGTTGGCCATCTATGGACGCTGCAGACAGGGTTTTCGTGTCCTCTGCTTCACCTTTTGACATCAGAAAGTGGAAAACTCCACCCTGAGATCATGCTAACCCTACTGTTTTTTGTACATGTGACCCATGAAGGGGCATGAAGCTCAGTTATGCATGTGTAGGTTTCTCCATTCATAAATGTTCATCACTCCTCTTGTAGCTTATTAAATATGTATATTCAACCACCCTGCTCAGCATAAATTTCTGCTCCCTTTACCCCTCCCTTAAAGTGCCTGTTTCTGGCTTCTGGCCAGAGGCTACAGTTCCCAGCCCATCAGAATGGCCACCCTGCATGCTGCAGCTCTTTATAAGAAACAAAGCTCTGCTT
This sequence comes from Homo sapiens, assembly GCF_000001405.40. Lineage (NCBI taxonomy): Eukaryota > Metazoa > Chordata > Mammalia > Primates > Hominidae > Homo > Homo sapiens. The sequence goes on from NC_000002.12 coordinate 47,676,847, forward strand.
TCCAAATTTATGAACCTTGTCATTCTTCAGTGGACACCGGCAACATCCCCTCCATTCCCACCCTGACTCTTGCCTAGGTTGAGAACCGGGGCCTTAACTCCAAGAAATGACTTTAGGCCAGGTGCATTAGCTCACACCTGTAATCCCAGGACTTTGGGAGGCCCAGACAGGAGGATTGCTTGAACCCAGAAGTTCAAGATGAGCCTGGGCAACATGGTGAAACCCTGTCTCTACAAAAAAAAAATCCAAAAAATTAGCTGGGTGTGGTGGTGTGCACCTGTGGTCCCAGCTACTTGGGAGGCTGAGGTGGGAGAATCACTTGAGCCTGGGCAAGAGAGTGAGAACTTGTCTCAAAAAAAAAAAAAAAAAAAAGAAAGAAAAAGAAAGAAAAGAAAAGAAAAGAAAAAAAAGAAATGACTTTGTACTGCAGCCCTTTGAGCAAGTGTTTCAGTCTGTCATTCAGAGCATCCCAGGGTACCCCGATCATCTGCAGTGTCTCAGGGTGAGTCCTGACCTAGGGTGTCACATTCCTAGAAATTCCAGCAAGCTCTTCCTACACCCAATGGATAGTGGGAAAAGCAGGGTATGTGTTTGCAGTGGAGTGTGGAAAGGGGGAGGGGGCTTTGGTATCTTGAGAAAGCTAATTTCATAACTAATTAAATCAGAAAAGATGTGGAAAATCCTAGCACCAATTTCCAATCCTCTTCACAACATTCCTCATACCTTCAGATGGCACAAAGTGTTGTTTTATACAAAGAGGAGAATAGTAGGTGTTCTGAGACTTTCTCCATCTCTGAGAGGTACTAAGTATGCTTGGGTTTCAAGTTCTTCTCCCTCCCTTACTTACTGTGTGATCTTGGGCACATTACTCAGCCTCTCAGGACCTTATTTACTTACCTGAAAAACAGTGTTGTTCTGAACATCAAATGAAAAATTCACATAGAGCATTTAGTGTCTGTGACATATAATAAGCATTCAAGGCATGGTAACTCTTACTATCTCATTTATCACAAATAATATTCTCTGCCTTTATTATCCTCTCCTCCCACCCCCATCTCCTCCCAAGAGGCTGACATGTGACTCCTGGTCTGCCAGGAGCAATGCCTTCCCTGCTGGAGCTCCCGGAGGGCAGGGAGATGTCCCCTCTTTCCTCTGTGCCACCCATCCCCATTTCTCCACACCATGCCAGTGCTGGACTCAACTTGATGAGGACTCCCTGACCGCTGATGTATTATCTAACAGCATCAAACTTGGGAGATTTTCCTGCAGGAACCCTTGAATCTGTTGTCAGTTTGAAGGAGGCAAGCAATTCCAACTGAGAAAAGTCACCCAGGGAAAGGGTGTAAAGGGGGCAAGACTTTTGGGAGGGCATCACATCTCCATCTGGTGCTTCATTTCCTAGGCCTGAAATTCATTGCTTGTGTACCCAGAAGTGATCAGTCTCTACAGATCATCTCACATAGCCAAGCTCACAAAGATTGACAGGTGAGACAAGCACATGGAAAGCCAAATGGTCACCAGAGGTTGCTTGGTGGGTGTTAGACTCTGGGTAGGTAAAGAGTGTTTGATGATCCTAATGGCTGAAATCAGCAGAGAGCTCAATATAAGGCCTCTATATTGCAGCATTCCAGGGGGTGCCATTCTCATGGTTGATGATGAAAAGAGAGCCCCTTCCTGTGGAGTTGTTCAGTGCACACAGCCCTTCCCAGACCCCAGTCCTGAGAAAACAAGAAATTCAAAATCTAAGCTGTTGGAAGAATAAATTATTGTGAGCTTTAAAGAATGATTAAAAGCCTGAGTCCCATGACAGGCAGCTATAACCTAGGCAGTTGCAAACTTTATTTTCTCTGATTATGGATTAAGCCTTCTTCCTTGCCTACATTGTTTTGTAAAATGCTGTAAATGGCTGAAGGGTGCCAGGGAAGACCCCTTTTCTCTTACTGTTGACTTTCTTTTCTTTTCCTTTCTTTCTTCCTTTTTTTTTTTTTTTTTTTTTGGTTGACTTTCATTATCAATCTCCCTCTTACCTTTCTCACACAAAGACTTCATAGCTACCACATTTTAAGATGGAATGTTAAATATACCCTTTTGAGTTGGAAAGAAAATGAAAACTAGATGTAAAAAAAAAAAAAAAGAAAGAAAACAGGCCATAGTGAGGGAAACCATACTGTAACTAACTAGTTAGTTCATTGTAACTCTTAAGCCAACCTTGCATTGAAAACATTGTAATCCTATTAAACTTCTTTGTTGCAGTGGCTCACGCCTGTAATCCCAGCACTTTGGGAGGATGAGGCAGGAGGATCATCTGAATTCAGGAGTTCGAGACCAGCCTGGCCAACATGGTGAAACCCCGTTTCTACTAAAAATACAAAAATTAGCCTGGTGTGGTGGTGGGTACCTGTAATCCCAGCTACTGGGGAGGCTGAGACATGAGAATCTCTTGAACCTGGGAGGCGAAGGTTTCAGTGAGCTGAGATCGCGCCACTGCACTTCAGCCTAGGTGACAGAGCAAGACCCTGTCTCAAAAAAAAAAAAAAAAAATGCTCTTCATTGAATACTCCTGATATGTCAAGGAAGATGCAACCTGAGAACTGAGCGAAACTTAGCAACATGGAGGGCGTTGGCAAGCTCAAAATTCAGTGGAGGGGGTATAAACCTGATTGGAAGGTTCAAAAGAAAATGGACGGAGAGGAATCAATGAGAAAAATGGGGTAGCAGTTGAAGGGGGATATGGATCAAGAGAGAAAAGCAACTTTTTTTAGCTGAGAAATTATATTTATAATATTTGTTAGAACATATTATTTTCATAATATTTGTATGTTATGGAGAGTGATCCAGTAAAGAAGAAAGTATGCTGATGTAGGGAGGAGGAACCATTGCTGAGTTCTTGAATTGATGGGCAGAGCAGGGTCTCAGGCACAAGTGGAAAGGGAAGATTAACTTTATGAAAACGGAGGCAGTTCATCTATAGTAATAGCCAGGAAGGCAGAGGTCATGGCACTGATGCAGGTAGGTGGGTAACTGAAGTGATGAGAGAGTCTGAAGATGTTCTTACTTCAATTTTCTTGGCAAAATAGAAAGGTATGTACATACATGCATGTTCATGTATGTTTATGTAAGCAAACACCAGGAGTCTAGTCTATAGTAGCATCTGGCTACTTAGGTGAGCATGACAGTGAGGAGAGAGATCCATAAAGTGACTGCCTACAGAGCTGGCTGCACTCCAGGAATCAGCCATCAAAGACGGGGAAGGGTCCGACCAGGCAGGACAGAACACTTTCAGTGGTGATCCTGCATGGGAGGGACAGCAGCAAGCAACCCTTCTCTGTGAGGACTGACCCCTGGGAGTGAGTGGGCTGTGGAACTCATCGCAAAAGGGTGGGATCTTCAGGAGAACTCTGAAATATCAGTTTGAATATTAAAAGAGAAGTGTCCTTATTTTGTTACCCAAAATGACAAATCAGAATATCTTGGTTATACTTATTTCCATATTCTCTGGGTATTTTGAAGATAACTGAAGTATGTACTTAACACCTTAGCAAGTACCTGGGTTACGGTAAGTGTCTGGTAACTCACAGCCATTGTGGTGATGATAATATCATTGGATGCCCATTCATCCACAATGGTTGATCCTGGGGGTGAGGGACTGTCTTATTTTCCATCATAGCATAGTCCCTGACACTTGAAAGGAAAGCAACATTTGTTAAATTGATAAACAAAAATGATTGAATCCCTGTGATCTACAGTGGTCTGGGAACGCATCATAGAGGAAGTAAGCTGGACCTTAAAAAATTAATTTTCCTGCTTTCTATTTCCATATGTTATCTACTCTAGGGTGAGGGTTCAACCCTTTGGGTTTCATTTACTTTGTTTATTTTTTATTTATTTAGTTTTTGAGACTGAGTCTCACTCTTTCACCCAGGCTGGAGTGCAGTGGCACGATCTAGGCTCACTGCAACCTCCACCTCCTGGGTTCAAGCAATTCTTCTGCCTCAGCCTCCCGAGTAGCTGGGATTACAGATGTCCACCACCACACTTGGTTAATTTTTTGTATTTTTAGTAGAGATGGGGTTTCACCATGTTGGCCAGGCTGGTCTCAAACTCCTGACCTCAGGTGATCCGCCCGCCTTGGCTTCCCAAAGTGGTATTACAGACATGAGCCACTGTGCCCAGCCAGGTTTCATTTACGTTAGTTGTAAAGTAGTGATCCTTGCTCCTGAGATTGGGGCCATCTGAAGGCATATGTCCTTAGAGGTCTCTGAGGGCTTTCTGAAGGAAGCAGTGGATGCATCTCTCAGCTCCAGGTCTGATGTTCCCTGAACAACACTTGTGAACATTTACTGTGGTTTTGGGGATCGCTACCTGGGTGTTGACAGCAGCTGTACGTCGGGGCCTCAGCCCTAAATGTTCGGTTGTTACTTCAAATCCATCAAAATGTCAGGGTTTTCAGGAAAGCCACTGAGATGCCATTTCAAAGGCTTCAGTGGGAATGTGCCTTTCTTTCACTTGCCAAACTGTTAAAGCATTAGCTTGTTCAAGTTGCAAGGCCCTTAAAACCATCCATGGATTTCATGGTGTGTTTCTGGTGGTTGGTGTCAGTCCTATATTCTCCTGTTACTGTATTGCTGCTCCCCACTTTCCACCCTTACAAGCCACCACAATCTGTACCAGCAGCTCAAAATGTATGTCATCACTTGAGAGATGACAGGGCTGTGAGGTTCTTACAAATCATCTAGGCCTCATTCTCTCCATCTGTTATCACCCGATGGGTTTGTCCTGCCCACTGCACAGATGAAACCAATTCACAGAGACCATAGCATTTCAGTAAAGAGTTTAATTAATGTAAGGCCACCAAGTGGCAGGACTGGAATTATTACTCAAATCAGTCTCCCCAAGAACTCAGAGGCCAGAGATTTTATGGAAAATTTTGTGGCCATAGGGCTAGGGAATGCTGCTGATTGGCTGGAAATTAAATATCAGAGAAGTGAGGAAAATGGTCCCCATATGTTGCATCTGCCTCTGGGTGGGGGCCACAGGACCAGTTGAGTTATGAGTCACAGGTCCAGGTGTGGTCAGTCTGTTACCAGAATGCAAAAGTCTGGAAAACATCTCAAAAGACCAATTTTAGGACCAGGCATGGTGGCTCACACCTGTAATCCCAGCACTTTGACTGCTTGAGGCCAGGAGGATCGCTTGAGGCCAGGAGGATCGCTTGAGGCCAGGAGTTTGAGACCAGCCTGGGCAATACTGCAAAACTCCTCTTCACCAAAAGAAAAAATAAAAATAAAAATAAGCTGGGTGCAGATCTGCAAGTCTGTAGTCCTAGCTACTCGGGAGGCTGAGGCAGGAAGATCACTTGAGCCCAGGAGTTCGAAGCTGCAGTGAGCTATGATGGTGACACTGTACTCCAGCCTGGGAGATGGAGCAAGACCATGTCTCTTAAAGAGAGAGAGAAAGAGAGAGAGAGGAAGAAAATCAGAGCTAGATGATAGAGCAGTAAAAACAGATTGTATCTAGGACTATTACAATGCAGGAAAGATACCTCAGTATAGAACTGGGCTGAATTCCAAATACAACATGAACAACTGGAGATTTATAGCTAAAGAGCAGAGTAGGAGGTCAGTGGATCAAAAATTACTAAGAGAAAATAACAAGAGTCAAGGGAGGCTGGGCGCGGTGGCTCACGCCTGTAATCACAGCACTTTGGGAGGCCGAGGCAGGCAGATCACCTGAGTTTGAGACCAGCCTGGCCAACATGGTGAAACCCCGTCCCTACTAAAAAAATAAAAATTAGCTGGGCGTGGTGACGGGCACCTGTAATCCCAGCTACTCAGGAGGCTGAGGCAGGAGAATGGTTTGAATCTGAGAGGCAGAGGCTGCAGTGATTGCACCATTGCACTCCAGCCTGGGTGACAAGAGGGAAATTCTGTATCAAAAAAAAAAAAAAGAGTCAAGGGGATTCTGGTTAAAAAGACCTTACAGGATTCTTGATGGAGACCGACCAGGGTGACCAGATGTCACCTGGGGAGTGGTGGAGAATGGGAAATGTGGTCAGATATGGAGGGTAGGGGTTCTGGCTAAACCAATTTAGCAGGACTCTTGCTAAAACTGGGCAAGGCAAAGATGGACAGGGAAGCCCAATGGTTGAAGACTAGTTGAGAAGACAGCTCAGAAGAGCCTGACTAGCCCAAGCACGGTGGCTCACGCCTGTAATCTCAGCACTTGGGGAGGCCAAGGCGGGCAGATCACCTGAGCTCAGGAGTTCGAGACCAGCCTGGCCAACACGGTGAAACCCCATCTCTACTAAAAATACAAAATATTAGCTGGGCATGGTGGCGCATGCCTGTAGTCCGAGCTACTCGGGAGGCTGAGGCAGGAGAATTGCTTGAACCCGGCAGGTGGAGGTTGCAGTGAGCCAAGATCGTGCCATTGCCCTCCAGCCTGGGTGACAAAGCCAAAGCCAGACTCCATCTCAAAAAAAAAAAAAAAAAAAAAAAAGAGCCTGACTGACTAAAGTTTGGTCAAGTAGAAAGTCTTTGTTAAGGTAGAGGGGAGGGAAGTGAGTAAGGCTGTAAAAGGACAAGATGAGGCATCCTTGTGGTGATGAACTTGCTCTGCATCTTGACTGTATCAAGGTCAAACCTGGTTGTGATCATGCATTACAGTTGTGTGAAATGTTATTGTTAGAAGAAACTGAGTAAAGGATACACAGGGTCTCTATTATTTCTTATAAGTGCATGTGAATCTATAATTACCTCAAATTATGAAGTTACTTAAAAGCAGCATTTGAGAAGTTGGGTATTTATAGGCAATTTAATAAAGAAACATTAAAATAAGATTGCATATATATTTTATATATATATATGTTAATACCCTATAGAACAGTAAATTGAAAGCTTTGGGGTTATCTTTTATTGTATACATAAATCACATGCATTTCTGTAACACTCAAATCTTCAGGTTAATATGCTACTTCACAGAATCTGAGCCGTTAATAGTAAATAGCAAAACCAAACAAAGGCATACCATATTCACCTTAATAAAATAATGCTTAAAAGTACAGGTAGTGAATAGAAAAAAAAAACACCAAAAAAAAAAAGCATTTAAAAAACCCCAAGCAGGCCGGGCGCGATGGCTCACGCGTGTAATCCCAACACTTTGGGAGGCCAAGGCAGGTGGATCACAAGGTCAGGAGATTGAGACCATCCTGGCTAACACAGTGAAACCCCGTCTCTACTAAAAATACAAAAAAAAAATTAGCCAGGCGTGGTGGCAGGCGCCTGTAGGCCCATCTACTCTGGAGGCTGAGGCAGGAGAATGACATGAACCCAGGAGGCGGAGCTTGCAGTGAGCCAAGATTGTGCCATTGCACTCCAGCCTGGGCAACAGAGTGAGACTCTATCTCAAAAAAATAAAAAATAAATAAAATAAATAAAAAACCCCAAACAACAAAAACAGTAAAGACAGTAATCTTGGCCATATTTAGAGGTTTCAAATATATATATATATATTTGCCTTTTTTAGTTTTTCTTTATATATATATATATTTGCCTTTTTTTAGTTTTTCTTTTTTAAAATTTTATATATATAAAATTATATGTCATATATAAAATTATATATAAACAGCAAATATACTTTGGATTCTGTGAAATTTCAGGCTTCTAGGGCTGCCCACCTCTCCTCACATGGCCTAGTTCTTGTAGAGATATCCCAGATCCCAAGATGTTCAACACTCCCCTACTCCCCTCCATTTCCCACAGCCCCTGGGTTCTCACCCTATCTTCACCTATAGGTAATCCATCTCAGTTAAGATTTAGCAGGTGGTAGGGGTGAGTACCAATAGTTCTTCCCTCTGAACACATCTTTTATGCTCAGGAAAAAGAACAAGTATTTTTCTCTTCACTTAGTCTCTCAAAAGGAAGGTAATAACCAAGCCAGCGAGATCCAATGCATTGCTCAACTTGCCTAGAGAAGATTGTCTGCCCCGAAAGCATCCCCCAAAAACCATGTGAGGAAGTCCACTGGGTGCTCTGCCCTGCCTGCAAGACCCTGGGCATCCCCCCAACTTCCTCCTGGCCTTGCCCAAGCACCATCAGCTCTCCAGAGTATCCACGTCAGCCTGGCACCATCCACCAGAGTTTCAGCTCTGGGACACAGCAGCAAAGGCCCAGCCTTGAAACCAAAGAGAATCCATTAGGGAAATTAATGTGTCCAATAACTGCTGCCTCTATTTTTATTAGAACAAACTTGCTCAGGAATGGGGAATCTGTCCCTGTGGACAGCTTTTCTGGACAAGCATACTGTCTCTATCTTGTTTCTGAGATTAAAGTGGCCTCTTTATTAGAAAAGTGGTGATTTGGCCGAGCATGGTGGCTCACGCATGTAATCCTAGCACATTGGGAGGCCGAGGCGGGTGGATCATGAGGTCAGGAGATCGAGACAATCCTGGCCAATACGGTGAAACCCCGTCTCTACTAAAAATACAAAAATTAGCTGGGCGTGGTGGCAGGCGCCTGTAGTCCCAGCTACTCGGGAGGCTGAGGTAGGAGAATGGCTTGAATCCGGGAGGCGGAGGTTGCAGTGAGCCGAGATTGCGCCCTGCATTCCAACCTGGGCAACAGAGCTAGACTCTGTCTCAAAAAAAAAAAAAAAAAAAAGAAAGAAAAGTGGTGCTTCCAGCAGAGGTTTCCTTCTTCCAGCACCACTGACAGGCTCCAGTTACCCCACATCTGACCCTCTCAGACATTGGGAGGAGGAGACAGCGTGAATGGGAGGCTCAAGGGCTAGTCTCCTGCAGGGTGAGTCCTGAGCCACTGACCTGGGCTCGGTGCACTCAGGGCCACAGCCTCCTCCCTATATTGGGTTCAGGGTTTACAGTAGGTGCTCACTAAAGAATGCGTATTCAGATTAATCTGACCCCTGGTATTTTCTTTCACACTCAGCTTCTCTCAGCCTCTCCTTCTGCATTGTCCTCCCAGAATGATTAAGCCATTCTCTTTTGAGGGTTCTATTGCTGGTCACTGTTGAAAGATTTTTTTAAAGGTAAAATCATGATACTCATACAAACATAAAATAAACAGTTGTCAAATATTTTATTTAACTCATTAATTAATGAGAGAAGCAGTAGGATGGTAGAAATGATTCAAAGGAGAAGTCAAAGAACACGCATACACATAGGCAAATGGAATACTAAAATGAATTTCCAAAAACAAGCAAAATTGGTCAATGTCTGTATGTATTCCGCTGGGCAAAGTTCATTGGCATTTCTATGGACAAGGATCACTTGCAGTACTCTCAGGTCAGAAAATGAAACACTTACAGAACCTGGAAGAGTACCTGGCACAGGACATAGGACATCCGGAAATTTCTCCATATTCCAACGTCTTTCACAATTTTTTCTGACACCTTCAATTGAAAACAGGCCAGAAACCACATGGCCACCGGGACATTATCAAGCTTCTACCACCCTCACAAGCTGGTCTCTGGTTCTTTTCCTCATGGGCTCTCCAGCTGCCCTAGTCATAACAGCAGGAATTAGAGCAAAACCTTGGGCTGCTGCGGTGGCTAATGCCTGTAATCCCAGCACTTTGGGAGGCTAAGGCTGGAGGACCTCTTGAGCCCAGGTGTTCAAGACCAGCCTGGGCAATATAGTGAGAACCTGTGTCTAAATTTAAAAAAATTTTTTTTTTGAGACAGTCTTGCTCTGTCACCCAGGCTGGAGTGCAGTGGCATGATCTGGGCTTACTGCAACCTCCGTCTCCTGAGTTCAAGTGATTCTTCTCTCTCAGGAACCCCCAACCCCCGCCGCCATCATGCCCAGCTAATTTTTTGTGTTTTTAGTACAGATGGGGCTTCACCATTTTGGCCAGGCTGGTCTTGAAGTCCTGAGCTCAGGTGATCTGCCCGTCTTGGCCTCCCAAAGTGCTAGGATTACCGACACCACTGCACCTGGCCAAAAACATTTTTTTTTTATTTAAAAAAAGGCAAAACCTTCTCAGCTCCTTCTGCTCCCTTGCTGGACCTCCATAGGTTGTAGTCATATCTCAGTTATAGCCCCTTGTATTTCCTTACACTGTTATCTGTTTTCTTGTTCCTCCACCCACTCGACTATGAGCTCTTGTGGGACATGACCCCTGGTTTTGTTTGTTTGTTTGTTTGTTTAACACAAGGTCTCACTCTGTCACCCAGACTAGAGTGCAGTGATGCGATCATGGCTCACTGCAGCCTCAACCTCCTGAGCTCAGGTGATCCTCCCACCTCAGCCTCCCGAGTAGCTGGGGACTACATGTGCACGCCATCATGCCCAGCTAATTTTTAAATTTTTTGTAGAGACAGGATCTCACTATGTTGCCCTGCCTCTCCTTCTGTATGGTCCTCCCCAAATGATTAAGCCATTCTCTTTGTGGGATTCTATTGCTGGTCGCTGCTGAAAGATTTTTTTTAAAGGTAAAATGATGATACTCATACAAATATAAAACAAACAGATGTCAAAGATTTTATTTAACTCATTAATTAATGGTTGTGAACTCCTGGACTCAAGCAAACATTCCACCTTGGCCTCCCAAAGTGCTGGGATTACAGGCATAAGCCCACACCCATCCAAAACCCATGTCTTATTGTCTTTGGCCAGAATGAATAAATGTATCAGTCTGAGTCCCATCAAGAGAGAAAAAAAACAGTAGTTCAAATAGAAAAAGTTTAATATAAAGAATTATTAACCATAGGCTGGGCACGATGGCTTATGCCTGTAATCCTGGTACTTTGGGAGGCCGAGGCAGGTGGATCACCTGAGGTCAGGAGTTCGAGACCAGCCTGGCCAACATGGTGAAACCCCGTCTCTACTAAAAATACAAAAATTAGCTGGGCATGGTGGTAGGCGCCTGTAGTCTCAGCTGCTCAGGGGGGCTGAGGCAGGAGAATCGCTTGAACCCGAGAAGGGAAGGTTGCAGTGAGCTGAGATTGCACCATTGCACTCCAGCCTGGGGGACAAGAGTGAGACTTCGTCTCAAAAAAAAAACACAAAAAACAAAAAACAAAGAATTACTAACCATAACATGGAATTAGACAGAGTAACCAGAGGTGGGGTAGTAAGAAATAAAAAGAATAAAAAAGAATATAGGAATAGCAGATATAATTGATGTGATAATGGCAGATTAATATTCTTAGGCCTCTGAGCCCAAGCCTGTGCTTATACATCCAGATGGCCTGAGGCAACTGGAGAATCACAAAAGAAGTGAAAATGGCCGGTTCCTGCCTTAACTGATGACATTACCTTATGAAATTCCTTCTCTTGGCTCAGAAGCTCCCCCACTGAGCACCTTGAGACCCCCTTTGACTATAATTTTCCACTACCTACCCAAATCCTATAAAACTGCCCCATCCCTAAGTCCCTTTGCTGACTCTCTTTTTGGACTCAGCCCACCTGCACCCAGGTGATTAAAAAGCTTTATTGCTCACACAAAGCCTGTTTGGTGGTCTCTTTACATGGATGTGCATGACAAATATAATATAAAAAGCCACCACCCCAGGGCTGAGATGTAGTACTTACCCTTGGGCTGAGATATAGGCCTTGCTGGAGAAGCATGGCTGTGACTCACTAAATATCAGAGACCTCACTGAGGTGCCATGCCAGTGGAACATGCTAGAAATCTGTCTTCTGGGGTGCTGGGGAGAAGGCTGTTCACAGGGAAGTAACTCAGTGCAGACAGTTCGCTACAAAACCATCAGAATTGGATACAGGGGAAAGCTACTGTACTAGGTGCTGCTGATTACACATTGCAAGAGACAGATACTGAGGAATCCAGCTGTGCTGCTGGAGTCTGGAGAAGCTTCAAGCACTGAAGGAGCTGTGCTGGAGAAGCCACCCTTGCTGCTGGCGTGAGGCACTGGGAAACCACATCCACCGCAGAAGCCTGGTGCTGGGGCAGGCCTCGCACACCGCAGGGGCCTGCAGAGCTGGCAATGGAACCAGGAAGCAAAACCCTTTTCCTCCTGCACTCATTCTTCCCTGGCCTCTACTGACAATTAAGTGCCAGATGGCAAAGGAACAAAATAAAGAAATACTTAAAAGGCCCAGATACGTTTTCACAGAGCAGGCAAAAAAGAATGGCTTTGGAGCTGACAGGCAAAATACCAATAACCAGCACAGACTTCCGGTTCCATTCCTCAGTACATCCACCAATTCCACCCTGCAGGCCAAGCTCATCCAACCCACCTTATTTTGTTGTTCATGTTCTGTTTTGTTTTGTTTTAGGCTTTTAGCAACCTGAAGCCATGGTTTTTAGTTTCTGTCTCTAGTGAAAAGCAGAAAAGAGAGATAAAGAAGGGGCTTTGTTAGCCCAGCCAGAAACAGAAACTAAGAACCCATGGCTGTGTTCTCTCTCGGACACCCCTGTTTAGGCCATTTCCTGCTACTGATTACCTGTTGAATGAAGAATGAATGGCCAGGTGTGGTGGCTCACTATAATCTCAGCACTTTGGGAGGCCAATGTGTGCAGAGGAAGCGGGGGCAGGAGTAGGGGAAATCACTTGAGGTCAGGAGTTTGAGACCAGCCTGGCCAACATGATAAAACCCTGTCTCTACTAAAAATACAAAAATTAGTCAGCCATGGTGGTGGGCGCCTGTAATCCCAGCTACTCAGGAAGCTGAGGCAGGAGAATCGCTTGAACCCAGGAGGCCGAGGTTGCAGTGAGCTGAGATCGCACCACTGCACTCCAGCCTGGGCAACAGAGCGAGACTCTGTCTCAAAAAATAAAAATAAAAAAAATAAATAAAGAATAAATGATGAAGAGTTAAGGGAAGAGCAGTGGTCTGGAAGGATCAGTTATTTGGACGCCTCCTCATCAGAAGTGAGTCATTTACATCTCAGAGACTGTCTAGGCTGAGCGACTTCCTTTGTTTTTGAGTGCCCACCTCTGCAGAGGAAATGCCTCTTTGGGAGCATTTCCCATGCTATAGGGGAGGGACTTCCAAACTGAATTACTCTCCTTTTCCTCAGCCAAAACGCATCTTCATGCCTCATATTTTTTCTTTTCAAAAATACATCCTACTTTTCTTACCAAATATGCACATAGAGGTGTTTTTGCTTATTTTTTTAAATAATGCTATTTTTCAATGTGGCACAGGACATGTTTGCTAACCAAATATCATTCATTCCTCTATAGTAAGTGAACAATAGATAAGTATATACTTATGTGAGGCAATTAATGCTTCAGTATATCTCCTTGTTTGGAAATAATCTATGAATGCAATGAATATCCATCATTTAACTTAGCAAAACTCTAAGGGTGAAAGATACCAAAGAGAGTTGTAGAATTATTATAATTCTCATCATTTTTTGAGACAGGGTCTTGCTCTGTCACCAAGGGTGGAGTGCAGTGGCACGATTACAGCTCACTGCAGTCTTGACCTTCCATGCTCAAGTGATCCTCCTATCACAGCCTCCTGAGTAGCTGGGACCACAGGTGCATGACACCACGCCCAGCTAACTAATTTGTTTGTAGACACAGGTTCCAACTGTGTTGCCCAGGCAGTCTCAAACTCCTGGGCTCAAGCAATCCTCCCACCTTGGCCTCCTAAAGTGCTGGAGTTACAAGCATGAGGTATGAGCCACCATGCTCAGCCTGGAGAATTATTTTTAAATAAACATATTACAAAACATAATGATTGGTGAAAAGATAAACAGATGTGAGATAGAAGCTTATAAATTAACTCAGCTGTTTTTAAACAATCTTGCTTGGATTAATCATAAAAATTCCATGAGACATAAACAGCTAGCCATCATCTTAAATTATTTTCTTGCTGATAAATTTTTTTTTCTGGGGCGTTCCTGAGTTTATTTGGGGCACACCCGGGCGAGGGCCCTGCACCTAGAAGAAGGTGTTGGGCCTCTTGGTGGTGAAGCGTGGCTTGTGCTGACGGCGCAGGACCCGGTGGGGCAGCGGGAACTTGATCTTGGAGTCGTGGAACTGCTTGACAGCCGGCCGGCGGCACTTGCTGGCCGCGATCTCCTCCACCTTCATGATCTGAATGGAGTGGGCCCGGCCGCCGTGCCGGGCGCTCATGTCTCGGTAGCACCGGGTGACAGCGCCTGCGGTGGTCAGGTCCCGGTATTCCCGGTACATGTTGTGGGTGCCGCTCCGGGAGTCATAGCGCAGCCAGATCCCGAAGTTCTTCACCCGCAAGGGGAACTTCTCAAACACCTGCCCACAGTAGACAATCTCCCCTGAAGACTTCTTCATCTTCTTTAACTGAGATACGAAGTACCAGAAGCGGGACTTGGCGACGACATGATTAGGCGCAAAGATTCGCATGCGGTAGAGGGGTGGTGTGTGGCATTTGGGGGTGGGCAGGCAGCGACCCACTACTTTGTACTCTCGTAGTGTGCCCGAGGCCTTCATGGCGTGCTCTCCGCGTTCGCCGCCACCCGCAAAAGGAGACTTGCTGATAAATTTTGTAACATAAAAACAACAGGAACGGCTGGGCGCGGTGGCTCACGCTTATAATCCCAGCACTTCAGGAGGCTGAGGCGGGTGTATCACCTGAGGTCAAGAGTTTGAGACCAGCCTGGCCAACATGATAAAACCCCGTCTCTGCTAAAAATATAAAATTAGACAGGCGTGGTGGCTTGTGCCTGTAATCCCAGCTACTCAGGAGACTGAGGCAGGAGAATTGCTTGAACCTGGGAGACGGAGGTTGCGGTGAGCTGAGATCGCACCACTGCACTCCAGCCTGGGCAACAAAAGTGAAACTGTCTCAAAAAAAAAAAAAAAAAAGAAAGAAAGAAAGAAAAGATGTGATTGACAAAAAAAAAAAAAAAATTTGGTTATTTCTGTGACGTACAAAAATTTAACATAATAATCATTATAATTGATAACATTTACTAAGACATATCAGAATTTTAGGAATCTCACACAATTTTGGAACACATATTAACAACACATTTATACAAATAGAACTCAGAGAAAGTTAAACGCCATTTCTTACTTGACAATGCTTCCTGTGTGACATTTACATACAAAATAAACTTAGTGTGTCTCTCTTGAACTTCCAGCGGCTCTTTTTGGAACTTGAAATTTAATTTTAGGAAGTTTGTTAAATATGAAAGGTTTAAAACATTTTATCAAAATAGGATCACAGGTCACTGTAAAATAATAATCATTCATTGAGCCAAAGTGATAATTCAAAGATTTCAAAAAGCAAAAACTTTACTCTTTGATAGAGAAGAGTCTCATTTTCCCAACAATCAAAAGACCTAATAAAGACAGCATGAGGCAAACAAAGTCTGTCTCTCCCTCTCCCCTCATTTTTTTCAGTATACTTAAAAGTAAACAAAAATCTATTATTACCCCTTATTAATACTAGATGAAAATCTTTTTCAAAATTCTACCTTTGCATCAGTGTATTATTAATGGCAAAGCTAATTTTAACAAAACCTTATAACAAATTCACCCAAATTCAATCAGTTTGACCATACACAATAAGAGTTCCATAAACCTTTTAGAACCTCTTATAATTTTTTTCATTCTCTTTCTTTTAGCTTTTTATATGCATTCCATTTTATCTATCATTCCTTTTATTTCTTAAATTTCTTTTTATTTATGTATTTATTTATGTATTGAGACTGAGTCTCTCTCTCTCTGTCACTCAGACTAGAGTGCAGTGGTGCAATCTCAGCTCACTGCTGCCTCAGCCTTCTGGGCTCAGGTGATCCTCCCATCTCAGCCTCCTGAGTAGCTGGGACTATAGGCATGTGGCACCATGCCTGGCTCATTTTCTGTAGAGAGGGGGTTTTGTCATGTTGCCCATGGCTGGATATCTGTTGTTTTTTTTTCCTTGGTTTTTTTTTTTTTTTTGAGATGGAGTCTTGCTCTGTCGCCCAGGCTGGAGTACAGTGGTGTGATCTCAGCTCGCTGCAACCTCTGCCTCCCGGGTTCAATTGATTCTCCTGCCTCAGCCTCCCTAGCAGCTGGGATTACAGGTGCCCAACACCAAGCCCAGCTAATTTGTGTATTTTTAGTAGAGATGGGGTTTTGCCATATTGGCTGGGCTGGTCTCGAAATCTTTATCTCAGTTAATCCACCAACCTCAGCCTCCCAAAGTGCTGGGATTACAGGCGTGAGCCACCACACCTGACCCTAATTTTTTTATCTTTTTGAGACAGGGTCTCACTCTGTTGCCCAGGCTGAGTGCAGTGATGTCATCACAGTTCACTGCAGCCTTGACCTCCCAGGTTCAATTGATCCTCCCACCTCAGCCTTCCAAGTAGCTGGGACTACAGGCATGCACCACCAAGCCCAGCTAAAAATATGTATTATTTAATTTGTCTCAGCAAAACTCTAAGGGTATAGAGTTACCAAAAAGATTTTAGAAACTTTTTTTTAACTCTTTCTTTCTCTCTCTGTATAGGAGACAGGGGTCTCACTTTGCTGTCTAAGCTGGACTAAAACTCCTGGAATCAAATGATCCTCCCACCTCAGCCTCTTGAGTAGCTGAAACTACAGGCGTATGCCACCACGCTTGCCTCTGAGAAACCTTTTTAAGAAAACACATTATAAAACATAACTATTATTAAAAGTTCATTGTAGGCCAGGCAAGGTGGTTCATGCCTATAATCCCAACACATTGGGAAGCTAAGGCAGGAGGATTGCTTGAGCCCCGGAGGTTGAGGCTGCAGTAAGGTATGTTCATACCACTGCACTCCAGCCTGGGCAACAAAGCAAGACCTTGTCTCAAAAAAAGAAAGTCCATTTGTAAACTTTTATCTCATTGACATTTATTTATTCTTAACAATTGTGTTTGAAAAATTGTATGAGACATGAAACAAATCTAGTCATTATCTCAAGTTAAATTTTTTATTAACTATTTTTATATGTTAGGCAAGTATCAAAAAAGCAAGAACTTTGAAGTTAAATACATGTATAGTTTGCTGATAAGTCAAAAGACATAGTTCTTTTTTTTATTAAACCAACAATATTAAACTAGTCCTTGGCCAGGCGCAGTGGCTCACGCCTGTAATCCCAACACTTTGGAAGGCTGAGGCGGATGGATCACCTGAGGTTAGGAATTTGAGACCAGCCTGGCCAACATGGTGAAACCCTGTGTCTACTAAAAATACAAAAAATTAGCTGGGCGTGGCGGTGCACCCCTGTAATCCCAGCTACTCTGGAGGCTGAGGCAGGAGAATTCCTTGAACCCAGAAGGTGAAGGTTGCAGTGAGCACTGCACTCCAGTCTGGGTGACAGAGCAAGACTTGGTCTAAAAAAAAAATTAAATATAAACCAAAAGACTGCTAAAGTCACATTAACTGGTGTCTTGTGAAAGGGTCATATATACAAAGTGACCCTGATAAGCAGAAGGAGCCAGGAAACTGAAGAAGAAGGGAGACAAGTCCAGCTTGTCATCATAGAGGTGATTTTATTGGGGAACTTACAGACAGAAGTGTGGTGTTGGGCAACCACAAGACAGATCGACCAGGAGTGGTGGCTCACACCTGTAATTCCAGAACTTTGGGAGGCCAAGATGGGTGGATCGCTTGAGCCCAGGAGTCCAAGCCTGGGCAACAGAGCGAGACTCCATGTCAAAAAAAAAAAGAGGGAAGAGGGCCAACAGAGCATTTGCAGTTTTTAGGGCCCAGTAATAATATATGAAAGGCAGGCACAGCGGGAAAACAGAACATCTAGATCTTTAAAAATCAATTCCGGACGGGCGCGGTGGCTCACGCCTGTAATCCCACACTTTGGGAGGCCGAGGTGGGTGGATCACGAGGTCAGGAGTTCAAGACCAGCCTGGCCAAGATGGTGAAACCCTGTCTCTACTAACAATACAACAATTAGTCGGGCGCAGTGGCAGGAGCCTGTAATCCTAGCTACTCGGGAGGCTGAGGCAGGAGAATCGCTTAAACCCAGGGGGCGGAGGTTGCAGTGAGCTGACATCTCCCCACTGCACTCCAGCCTGGGCAACAGAGTGATACTCTGTCTCAAAAAAAAAAAAAAAGAAAAGAAAAAAAAAATCAAAGATTCCACTTTTACACTGAAACCCAAGACCCTAAAAAGAGGAAAATACCACAGGAGGCTGCACAACACTTCCACAGTGCACCTCACTACAAAGATATTCCCCCGAAGCTGGTGGGTGACCCACTGCCAATCAGCCCACTTTGTGACCAGCCCACCTCCCATGGGAATCTTGTCCGTTGGTGGTGAGTGCTCTTACAGCCTCTAAGTGTTCAAACCATGCCTTTCTTAAGTAAACGTGCAAAGAAGAAAGTAGCCCCCTGCAGTAATAACCATTCATTGAAACTGTTATCGGCCACCTCTAAAACTGCAGCTTTCATCAGCAACTAGCCAGCCATCACACACACAAAGGTCAAGTTCTTTCTCACACTACAGCTTACTCCCTGGTACCCTCAAAAGCCAAGGAGAGAGGGGGCCCAGAAGAGGGTTGCCCTTTTCACACTTGAATGCAAAGGGTTTTATAAGAAACCTATGAGGGCTAGGCATCTCATTTGCATAAGATGTGAATTTTTGGTAGCTCCACTCCATCATCCTAATGTGCACCTGGGCCCTTAGCTTGAGTTACTCCAGATTGCTTTATTCCCCTTACTGCGCATGTGTCAGGGGACGGAATTTTGCATTGCAGGCATGTCTGCAAGGGCAAGTCACCTGTGTAGCCTTTCTTATCTATGCGGCAGTGGGCATGTCTTAGGGAAGCCCCTCTGTATGAGTTCCCTTATCTGTGCCTGCAGCATGCAGCATGATTTTTTTTTTTTTTTTTTTTTTTGAGACAGAGTCTCACTCTGTCGCCCAGGCTGGAGTGCAGTGGCGTGGTCTCGGCTCACCGCAAACTCCGCCTCCTGGGTTCACACCATTCTCCTGCCTCAATCTCCCAAGTAGCTGGGACTACAGGCACCCACCACCACGCCCAGCTAATTTTTTTTTTTTTTGTATTTTTTAGTAGAGATGGGGTTTCGCCATGTTAGCCAGGATGGTCTGGATCTCCTGACCTCGTGATCCGCCCGCCTGTGCCTCCCAAAGTGTTGGGATTACAGGCGTGAGCCACTGTGCCCAGCCTCCAGCATGATTTTTTTAGGCCGTTCTTTTGTTTGAAAGAATTCAACTAAGGATCCACTCTGCCTGCCTGACCGGTTTCTTCCTTTCTTCTCTCTCATCGGGTCCCGAGTTCCCATGACTGCAGCTTCCAGAAGAGCAGAGCTTTGGTATCCTACTCACAGCGCCAAAACTGCAGGGGCCAAGGTAAAACTTGCCCTTTACCCTCTGAAGGTTTGCTGAAAAATCAACTAACAATAGCAGATTTATTGGCGAAAAGGAATACAAATTTATTAGCGTGCATATGGGAGAGAACCACAGAGTGATTATCCCTACCATGCAATGGGGTTCTGAAGCTTGTATGTCATCTTGAGGTTCCAGAAAGAATGGGGGCTTTGGTTGTGGCAAAACAGGTTCTGGGAGGGGGAGGAGGCCTGACTAGCAAAGGTGGTCTTGTTATGCAGATGAAACCTCACAGGTAGCAGTCCTCAGAATAGATGATAAATGTTTCTTTTGAAACCACCTTTGCAAAAATTCTAACAGTGAGAAGATTATGACAGTGAAAGAGATCTGACCTAACCAACCCCATCTTGCCTCTAACCTTCAAACTGCCCTTAATCATTCCTGGACTTAGACCAACCTAACTTTGGGAGACATTTAGTTTATAGTTTAAATGATAATAACCCTTACCCAAAACTAAATCACCTTTGTAAAGCTAATGAGAGACTACCAGGTTAGGAGGATGTGAGCAGGCTGAATTCTAAGGTGTAAACATAAACAATTACCAGCCATTATGCTGGAGGTCATAAGATTTGCAACTCTCCCAGTTACTCCTGCAGATAACATCACTATTACTTTTAATCGCAAAAACTGCAATTATTTTGCACCAACCTAATAGAACCTAAGATTGGTCTTTTGTTGTTGTTTTGTTTTTGTTTTTGAGACAGAGTTTCGCTCATGTTGCCCAGGCTGGAGTGCAATGGTGCGATCTCGGCTCACCACAACCTCCGCCTTCCAGGTTCAAGTCATTTTCCTGCCTCAGCCTCCCAAGTAGCTGGGATTACAGGCATGTGCCACCATGCCCGGCTAATTTTGTATTTTTAGTAGGCTAATACTAATTTTAGTATTTTGGTCAGGCTGGTCTCGAATTCCTGACCTCAGGTGATCCTCCCACCTTGGCCTCCCAAAGTGCTGGGATTACAGGTATGGGCCACTGCGCACAGCCAAGATTGGTCTTTTGAGATATCTTTTCAGGTTTTTGCATTTCTGACTAACGATGAACCAATGGCTCCACTGAGACCTGCTGATCTCTGCCACCTGGTCATGTGGCCCCACCCAGAAATAGGCTCCCTGGCCTGCCAAACTATCCTTAAAAACCCTAACCTCTGAATTTTTCAGGGAGATTGATTTGAGTAATAATTCAGTCTTCCACGTGGCGTGGCCAGCCTTGTATCTATTAAACTCTTTCTTTATTGCAATGCTGTGGTCTCAGTGAATTGGTTTTGCCTGTGCAGTGGGCAGGACGAACCCATCAGGTGGTTACACTTTCAGACTTTTAAAGGTGTCAGACTGAAACTGTTGTACTTGAGCGAGTTAGAGAAAACGCCACACTTGTAGACGAATTAAGAGTCTGTTTATTTAGCCAGCGGCCAAGAGACGGCTAACGCTCAAAGTTCTTTAGACCCCAAAGAAGGAGCTAAATTTTCTTTTATACTTTGGTTTAGAAGGGGAGGGGGGGGTCTAGTTAAAACAATTTTACAGAAGTAAAGTAGGCAAAAAAGTTAAAAGGATAAATGGTTACAGGAAAGTAAACAGTTCCAGGTGCAGGGGCTTTAAGACTATTACAAGGTGATAGACGCGGGGCTTTGGGCGTTATTAATCGGGCGTTATTAATGGGACGAATTCCTGGGAACTGCGGATATAGCTCACCACAGCATCTTATCAGTTCATTGCATTCTTGGATGTGCTGGGAGTCAGCTTGCACAGGTTAAGTCCTTGAGGAAGGGGCTGCCAGTGAAAGAGCCAAGATGGAGTCTGCCTGGCTCTCTTAGCTAAGGGAGAGTCAATTCAGGTGGAAACAAGGCTAGGTGATTAAAGGAAAGGGAGAGTCTAAAAACAGGGTTAGTAAAAACAAGGTTAGGCATTACAAAACTGCCTTTGCAAAAATCATAACTGAGGAAATTATGACAGTGAAAAAGGTCAGACCTCACTGATTCCACATTGCTTCTAGCCTCTAAGCTGTCTGTTCATTCCTGGGTGTAGGCTGAGCTAGTCTTGGGAAGGAATTTAGTTTATAGTTTAAACTCTGAACCAACAAAATTGACAATAGCACTTTCTGGAAAAAAACCCTTGCTTGCGTGGAGACCAGTCTGTCTTTGTAGGACTAACTTTCATGCACGTCCGTGTGAAGAGACCACTAAACAGGCTTTGTGTGAGCAATAATGCTTTTAATTACCTGGGTGCAGGCGGGCTGAGTCCGAAAAGACAGTCAGCGAAGGGAGATGGGGTGGGGCCGTTTTATAGGATTTGGGTAGGTAAAGGAAAAAGGGGGGTTGTTCTCTGGCGGGCTGGAGTGGGGGTCACAAGGTACTCAGTGGGGGGGCTTTTGAGCCAGGATGAGCCAGGAGAAGGAATTTCACAAGACAATGTCATCAGTTAAGGCAGGAGCAGGCCATTTTCACTTCTTTTGTGGTGGAATGTCATCAGTTAAGGCAGGAACCGGCCATCTGGATGTGTACGTGCAGGTCTCAGGGGATATGATGGCTTGGCTTGGGCTCAGAGGCCTGACATAATTAGCCACAAGATTAGAAATTATGATTTAGGAGCCATGCAGTCTCTGGCTGGAAGAGTCTCAACCTCCCCAAATTGCTTCTGGGAATAAGATCACTGTTGCAAAACCTAAGATCAGTGTTTGAGATATTTTGCAGACCCTGCATTCCAATGCAGCAGATGACACCACTCAGACTGCTAATCTGGCTCAACCAGTCCTGTGATCCCATCCAGGAACAGAAGTCAGCAAGAACTCACTTCAACCCCCTGTAATTTTATCTTCAATCCGACCAATCAACACTCCCTACTTCCTGAGCCCATACCTGCCAAATAATCCTTAAAAACGCTGATCCCTGAATGCTCAGGGAGACTGATTTGAGTAATAATAAAACTCCAGTCTTCCACACAGACGGCTGTGCATGAATTACTCTTTCACCATTGCAATTCCGCTGTCTTGATAAATTCGCTCTGTCTAGGCAGTGAACAAGGTGAACCCACTGGGTGGTTACAAGACTCTCAGTTAATCTTTCCTAGATTCAGAGAAGGGAAGGCTTTAGAGGAAAGAGAAAATGCAGAGAAAAATGGCTGCATTAACGCAGATTTTCTCTACAGATGCAAATCTTCCGCACAAAAGACAGCTTTGCAGGGCTGCTTCTGTTTGCAGGCCCTCTGAACAGCCATCTCAAAACATGTCAAAGAAGTATATCTTGGGGTGAGATATTTTAATTTCCTTCCTATACATGGGAAATAGCCCAGAGAAAATGTGTAACTCTCCAAGAGGTAGCTTAGAATTCAGGCTTATATTGCATCTTCAGCTAAAAATCAAAGGAAAAAAGTATGGGGGATGCTGGTTATAAGGATATGACCAGGAAAAGCATGGTAAACAAAATTAAAGTTTATCATGCAGATTTAATTTGGTGCCTTCTCCATTGAAAAGAGTTTCCTATGATTTAGTTACCCTTCTCTTCCTGGTGCAGAGAGGGAGACACCCTTACAAATGGAGATTTTCTTTATAGATGTAAATTTCCCTTACAAAAGGGTAACTTCTACTCTGTTTTTAGAGCTTCTCCTGTGTCTGCTGTTTCTCAAAATAATCAGCTCAAAATAGCCTTTATGCCAAAGAGGCATATTTTGGGGTGGCACATTCTGGTCTCCTACACTACCCATTTAAATATTGTCCTTTACCTCCCATTATAGCCTTCATTTTTTGTATTAAATATATTTACTTTTATGGAGATAGTAGATGGTATAAATTTTCTGTTTTTACTTGACAGAGTAAACCTTGCCAACCTTACTGAGAAAGTATACTTCTCAAAAAGTTAAAAAAACATGAATCTCATGCAAATAAAAAAATGAGCACATGTCACATGTTTAGTTAACTCATTAATGAAGGAACCAGCAAAATGGTAAGGCTAGTTCAAAGAGAATTAAAGAGAGTGAAGCCTTTATAGCGGCTAAAGGAAAGAATGTTTGCAAAAGTTTGCCAATTTAGATACAAAACTGGATAATTTTTTTTCTTTTTGAAACTGAGTCTCACTATGTCACCCAGGCTGAAGTGCAGTGGTGCAATCTCGGCTCACTGCAAACTCTGCCTCCTGGGTTCAAGCGATTCTCCTGCATCAACCTCCCAAGTAGCTGAGATTACAGGCACCCACTACCATGCCCAGCTGATTTTTGTATTTTTAGTAGAGATGGGTTTTCACCATCTTTGCTAGGCTGGTCTCAAACTACCAATCTCAGGTGATCCACCGCCCCCTCTGCCTCCCAAAGTGCTGGGATTATAGGCATGAGACACTGTGCCAGTGAAAACTGGCTTATAGTCTACATTAACTGTCACCTTTGGGATTGTCTTCTCTAAAGGACAGAAATAATCAGCATCTGTATAGGACAAAATTAATTTAAATTCCTACTCGTTTTCTACCAGCTAGTCTTCTAGTTAAATACTGTACTCAATAGATTAGCAATTCAAACGAAGGCACATACCCCTAGCCGATCAGATAATCCTTGGGTATGTTTACTAGACAAAGCCCAGTAGCACCCTGAGAAGAAAGGTAGTAATCCCTTTTCCCTATTTCCAAGTTTTGGAAATCTTTCCTTAATGTGCTTTTGGTCACCTAATGGTATTGAGTTTTCTTTGTATCTTTCTTTGTTTGTTTTATTTTTAAATTTTACTGATCCACCCCAAAACTTTAGAACTATTCACTCTAGGAAATGTTTTACATAAGATTTTATTGAAGAAAAATAAAAGTAGCTGGGCATGGTGGTACATACCTGTAATCCTAGTTATTTGGGAAGCTGAGGCAGGAGGATAACTTGAGCCCAGGAGTTTGAGACCAGACTGAACAATAGAGGGACCATGCCTAAAAAAAAAAAAAAAAAAAAGGGAGAGGGAAGAAACATCAAATAAAAATGTTTACAAGAGGCATTTTCTTTTTTTTCCTTTTTTTGAGACAAGGTCTCGCTCTGTCACCCAGGCTGGAGTGCAGTGGCGTGACGCCAGCTCACTGCAACCTCCGCTTTCTGGGTTCCATGCCCGGCTAATTTTTTTGTATTTTTTTTTTTTTAGTAGAGATAGGGTTTCACCAGGTTGGCCAGGCCAGTCTTGAACTCCTGGCCTCAAGTGATCCACCCACCTCAGCCTCCCAAATTGCTGGAATTACAGGCGTGAGCCACCATGCCTGGCCTTCAAGAGGCATTTTCTACTCATTCAATATGAAAAATAGCTTTATTGTATCTCTTGGAAACAGTATATGTTCTCACAACTTTTATAACCTCCCTTGTAGAGTAGAGAAATATTAATGGCAAAATTGACTCTCTTTTTAATCGCTGAACCTATTTAAGAAGGACTTTCTAGGCCGGGTGCGGTGGCTCACGCCTGTAATCCCAGCACTTTGGGAGGCCGAGGCAGGCGGATCATGAGGTCAGGAGATCGAGACCGTCCTGGCTAACATGGTGAAACCCCGTCTCTACTAAAAATACAAAAAATTAGCCGGGCGTGGTGGTGGGCGTCTATAGGCCCAGCTATTCTGGAGGCTGAGGCAGGAGAATGGCATTAACCCAGGAGGCAGAGCTTGCAGTGAGCCGAGATGGCGCCACTGCACTCCAGCCTGGGTGACAGAGCGATACTCCGTCTCAAAAAAAAAAAAAAAAGACTTTCTAGTCTTCTTCCTGGATTGAGATCTCCAGGCCCCAGTTTATCCTGCTAAGGCAGCTCATACTGACTTAGACACTGACTTAAGGGATTTACTGGCAAAACCTCAAAAGAAATGGGGCCCCAGAGGGTCATGATGGGGTAATATTTGGGGGCCAGTGGGAGAAGGGCCCAGAAAAGAAGGCAGGGTTTGGGGCATTGTAATTCTGCAGAGACCCATGCCAAAAGTCCAAGAGTGCTCAGGTGAGATCCTTAAGATAGTAGGGGTAAACTTAACTTTTGAAAACATGGAGCTTTCAAAGCAGCCTATTGGGCTTAGAGAATTTAAAAGGAAAGCATTTCCCTTAAGGACCTAGTCCTTTCTAGATAACTGAGGGCAGGGGATAATATGTCACAGGAGTCCGTCCTCTGCCTCCAAGTCATTATGGGTCCAAGTGGCTGTTATGCTAATGGCACAGTCTACCAAATAAATGTTTTTTCCCTCGTGAATGGCATATATGCCTTCTGAAAATAATGCTTCTATCCATAAGAGTGGCTAATGGTGGGGATTTTAGATACTACATCAAACCAGTGGTACTGATGTTACTGGATGGTATAGTGGGTGGCCTATCACTACCAGTTCCTGTTGTAGCAGACCAAAATGCCACCCCAAAACATGACTGTAGGAGACCAGAATATGCCACCCCAAAATGCGTCTCTTTGACATAAGGACTATTTACAGCTGATATTTTTGAGAAACAGCAGACACAGGAAAAGGTCTGAAAACAGTAAAAATTGCTCTTTTGTAAGGGAAATTTACATCTATAAAGGAAATCTCCATTTATAATGCTGTCTCCTCTCTGTACCAGGAAGAGAAAGATGACTAAATCACAGGAAATTCTTATTGTAACTGAGGAGCTTAGTGGCTTAGCCTCAAACTTTTTTTTCGGCTGGGCACAGAGGCTCACACCTGTAATCCCAGCACTTTGGGAGGCTGAGGCGGGTGGGTCACCTGATGTCAGGAGTTTGAGACCAGTCTGGCCAACATGGTGAAACCCCATCTCTACTAAAAATACAAAAATTAGCTAGGCGTGGTGGTGGGCGCCTGTAGTGCCAGCTACTTCTCCAGCTACTGAGGCAGGAGAATCGCTTGAACCCAAGAGGCAGAGGTTGCAGTGAGCCGAGCATGCCACTGCACTCCAGCCTGGGCAACAGAGTGAGACTCCACGTCAGGAAAAAAAAAAAAAAGTTTTTGTCAAAGATAAACATCAAAACATTCCTCAAAATCAAACTCTGTCTTAAAAAAAAAAAAAAGACAACTTTTTTTTCTTTAAAACTTTTTTTCCAGCCAGGCGTAGTGGCTTATGCCTGTAATCTCAGCACTTTGGGAGGCCGAGGTGGGCAGATCACTTGAGGTCAGGAGTTCAAGACCAGCCTGGCCAACATGGTGAAACCTGTCTCTACTAAAAATACAAAAACTAGCCAGGCTTGGTGGTGCATGCCTGTAATCCCAGCTACTTGGGAGGCTGAGGCAGAAGAATCACTTGAAACCAGGAGACGAAGTTTGCAGCAAGCCAAGATGGTGCCACTGCACTCCAGCCTGGGCAACAGAGCGAGACTCTGTCTCAAAAAAATAAATAAATAAGAAATAAAACATTTTTTTCTTTTTCCATTTGCTCTTCTCCCTGCCCTACCCAGTTTCAAGATGTAGTTCTGAGATAAACTTTACAGCCTCGGAATGTTCCACACTCACTTATCTGGTCATATATTTGCTTCAACGCTTCAGGGGTCAGATCTTGATATGGACCTGACATCTCCAGAAGTCTCACTCTAACAAAAGATGACTTCAAGGCTGGAACCTATTCCTGGCTACTAGATTGACTGTGATTAATTTATAACCTGGTAGGACCCACGATGGCACCAACCCCTTCACCAGAAGGAACAATAATTCAAGATGAGCCATGGGAGCAAATCACACAGCATGGCAGCTCCCAGTCCTCCTGCCTCTTCTGCATTCCAGACCTGCTCTTTAAAAACCTGGGCATTCCCTCCACAAATTGAAGAGTGGAATTTTTTTTCACCTGCTCTTCCTCTTGCTGGCACAGATCATAAAGTCTTGCTCTCTTTCTATCACATCTCATTATTATTTTGGCTTCTTTCTACAAGCAAGGAGCAGCAGGCCCTTTTACATTACCATTAGTGAAGGCACTTGAGTTAAATCCGCACAACGAATCTTACTCTTGCCTGTAATCCCAGCACTTTGGAAAGCCAAGGCGGGTGGATCACCTGAGGTCAGGAGTTCGAGACCAGCCTGGCCAATGTGGTAAAACCTATCTCTACTAAAAATACAAAAAATTGGCCAGGTGTGGTGGTGGGGGCCTGTAATCCCAGCTACTCAAGAGGCTGAGGCAGGAGAATAGTTTGAACCCGGGAGGCGGAAGTTGCAGTGACCCGAGATCATACCACTGCACTGTAGCCTGGGCAACAAGAGCAAAACTCTGTCTCAAAAAAAAAAACCAAATCGTACTCTTGTTTACCATACTTTTCCTGGTCATCTTCCCATAACCAGTCATCAACAGATGATAGTACTTAAGCTTGAATTCTAAATCACCTCTAAATCAATCTAAATGAAATGAGATTTCATCATTTTTCTGGGTGTCTCCCATGTGTACATGATATGTACATGTTAATAAACTTCTGTTTGTTTTTCTTTTATTAGTCTGTCTTTTGTTACAGAAGGCTCCAGCTAAAAACTTGGAAAGGGTAAAGGAAATATTTTTGTCCTACATTATGCTGTCCAGTAAGATAGCCACTCACCACATGTGGCTGTTGAGTGCTTGGAACGTGGCCAGTACAAAATATACAAAGTGTAAAATACACATCAGATTTCAAAGCCTTACTGTGAAAAAAAAGTAAAATATCTCATCAATAACTTTATATTGATCATATGTTAAAATGACATTTTGGATATACTGAGCTAAATATCATTATTTTTTATTTTTATTTTTTTTGAGACGGAGTTTTACTCTGTCTCCCAGGCTGGAGTGCAATGGTGCAATCTCGGCTCACTGCAACCTCTGCCTCCTGGGTTCAAGTGATTCTCCTGCCTCAGCCTCCCAAGTAGCTGGGATTACAGGCACCTGCCACTGTGCCCAGGTAATTTTTTTTTTGTACTTTTTAGTAGAGTCAGGGTTTCACCATGTTGGCTAGGCTGGTCTCGAACACATGACCTCAGGTGATCCACCCACCTTGGCCTCCCAGAGTGCTAGGATTCCAGGCATGAGCCACCAGCCAATATATTATTAAAAATAATTTCTTGCTGGGCATGTTGGCTTATGCCTGTAAGTAATCCCAGCATTTTGGGAGACTGAGGTGGGCAAATCACCTGAGGTCAGGAGTTTGAGACCAGCCTGGCCCACATAGTGAAACCCTGAATCTACTAAAAATACAAAAAATTAGCTGGGTTTGGTGGTGCGTGCCTGTAATCTCAGCTACTTGGGAGGCTAAGGCAGGAGAATTGCTTGAATCTGGGAGACAGAGGTTGCGGTGGGCCAAGATAGCGCCACTGCACTCCAGCCTTAGCAACAAGAGCACAACTCCATCTCAAAATAATAATAATAATTTCTTGGCTCCAAGTCTCAGCTCCCGCACCACCTGACACTGTCAGATCCTCAGGCCATGGCCAACACTGAGAGCATCATTATCAATCCGAGTGCTGTTCAGCACAGCCTGGTGGGTGAAATCATCAAATACTCTGAGCAGAAGGGATTCTACCTGGTGACCATGAAGTTCCTTCGGGCCTCTGAGAAACCCCTGAAGTAGCACTACACTAACCTGAAAGACCACCCATTCTTCCCGGACCTTTCTGAGCACAAGGTCCATTTTGTGGATGGATTGTCTTTCCCCCTTAGGTCTGAGTGCTCAAGCAGATCGTGGCGTATTCATTAGTGTATCCCAGTGCCTGGCACATATTAGGCGCTCAATATAAGTGAAGTACATGAACTCAGGGCAGGTTGTGGCCATGGTCCTGGAGGGGCTGAATGTGGCAAAGACAGGGCTAAGGATGCTTGGGGAGACCAATTCATTGGGCTCTATGCTAGAGACTATTATTCGCAGGGACTTCTGCGCTAAAATAGGCGGGAACGTCATTGGTGGCAGTGATTCATTACAAAGTGCTGGCAAAGAAATGGCTTAAAGAAGAAGAACTGGTTGACTACAAATCTCGTGCCTATGACTAGATCTATGAATAAAAGGAGGTCAAAGCAGCAGTCTGCCTCGACGCCGTTCCTGGGTCCCTAGACACAGCTCTTCATCCCATTGACTTGGAGGCAATAGGATGAATCCTTCTTTACTAATAAAGCCTTTGGAAACTGGAGGCAAAACTTACTTTGTTTCTTTCTACTTTTAAAAATGTGTGTACTGGAAATGTTAAAATGACACAAGTGGCTGGCATTACCTTCCTGTTGGACAGTGCTGGACCACTATCATCTGCTGGCTTCCCACAGCTCTTAAGGTGCAGCAACTCCCAAGCCTGTCATTCCTCCCACCTGCCTTGACAGCCTCATCTGGCACTCATTTGTAGGATGGATGTCTGTTGTCCCAGGTAGTGGTTACTCCATTCATCTCCATCCATGCTCTGTGCAATCAGTGATACGGGAACACACTGTGGAACTGGGGAATCAGGGACTTGGAATTTAATCCCAACATTGCCACTAACTTGCTATGGGACCAGGCAAGTCCCTTAACCAACCCCCACCCAACCCTGCTGTTTTACCTTCCCCACTTTAATTATATAGCCTGAGTGAGACCAACTCCAATATCCCTTCCTGCTCTAGAGGTTCTGTTTTTCCCTTTTTTTTTTTTTTTTTTTTTTGACAAAGTCTTGCTCTGTTATCCAGGTTGGAGAGCAGTGGTGCCATCTCAGCTGACTGCAACCTCTGCCTCCTGGGCTCAAGCAATTTTCCTGCCTCAGCCTCCCAAGTAGCTGGGACCACAGGCATGTGCCACCACACCTAGCTAATTTTTGTATTTGTTGTAAAGATGGGGTTTCACCATGTTGCCCAGGCTAGTCTTGAACTCCTGAGCTCAAGCAATGTGCCTACCTCCATGAGCCACCACACCCGGCCTAGAGGTTCTGTTTCTTTACAGGAGCCTCGGGCCATGTACGTTCTGCTTGGGGATAAAAGGAGAAAAAGGAACTCTTAAAATTATTGTTGGGGCTGGGCTCAGTAGCTCACACCTGTAATCCCAACCCTTTGGAGGCTGAGGCGGGCATATCATCTGAGGTCAGGAGTTCAAGACCAGCCTGGCCAACATGGTGAAATCCGCCTCTACTAAAAATACAAAAATAAGCCAGGCATGGTGGCGGGCACCTGCAATTCCAGCTACTTGGGAGGCTGAAGCACAAGAACCACTTCAACTTGGGAGCCAGGAGTTGCAGTGTGCTGAGATTGCTCTGTTACAGTGAGCCAAGATCATGTCACTGCACCCCAGCCTGGGTGACAGAGCAAGAGACTCTGTCTCAAAAAAAAAAAAAAAGTTATTCTTGGCTGGCCACGGTGGCTCGTGCTTATAATCCCAGCACTTTGAGGAGCCAAGGTGGGAGGATCACTTTAGCCCAGGAGTTTGAGACAAGCCTGGACGATATAGCAAGACCCCGTCTCTACTTTGTATTATATAATTTTTAAAAATAAAAATAATAAAATTATGATTGTTATTTGGCGACCTGTATCCTTTGTCTAGATAAGCAACTGGAGGAGGTACACCAGGCCTGTCTTTTTGACCCTGGGCCCGAATGGTGACTTTTAAGCTTGCTGCATTTCACCCAGGCAAAGTAGGTTCTGCTGCCAGGCTTTTGCCCCCATCAGTCCCTCTCTATCAACATTCATTCAGCCAACTTATATTGAGTGCCTAATATGTGTGAGGCACTGGGATACACTGATGAATACACCACGATCTGCTTGAGCACTCAGACCTGAGGGGCAAAGACAGTCCATCCACAGACAACCGTAATGCAAGGTGTACCTTGTGCTCAGGAAGCTGTTCCTGCTAAGGGGGCTGGGGGTCAGGGAAGGTTTCCTGGGGGAGGGCCACCTGTGCTGTGTTTCGTGGGGTAGGTGGGAGTTAGCCAGCTGAAGAGAAGTGGGAGAGGGAAGGCATTCCAGGCAGTGGGAACAGCTTGAGCAAAGACACAGAAGCAAGGCACAGCTTGGTGTGGGCCGGAATTCTAAGTCCTCTAGTGTTGTTGGAGCTTAAAATTCAGTGGTAGGAGAGGAAGCTGGAGAGGTGGGCAGGAGGCTCTGCTTCAGGGCAGCACTTAGAATTCCTGAGGACATCCAGGCCCACTGCCTGGTTCATTTTCCCTACCTCTTGCCTTCTTTTTTCCTGGTTTAGGAAAGATACAAAATTCTTGTGTGCAGCCTCTTTTGGACTCCAGCTCTTGTTCTCTCGCTGAATCCCACCGCCACCCCTTCAAGTCATCGGCTGTGATTCACCTGTGGGTTTCTGAAGGCTAGAAGCTTCCACAATGAGCCAGGAAACAAGTTCTGATTGGCTGGGAACAGACCTCTGCTCCAAGATTCAGGGCTGGCAGTATTCCTTCTGTTCTGGTGGCTCGATCTTCATTGCTTTCCTCTGGACTTGTAAGTTATTCCAACAAACCCCAGCTGCTCTGCAGTGAAATGTTCCAAATAATTAATATTTCTGCAGGAATTACCTTGTAAAAGATATGTGCTTTTAAGTATTTGGTTATTGTGCAAATGTTTTTGACTACCTTTTGTGGCCAATTTTCTCCTTCAGCGGGCTCATGTATAATTTTAGATAAAAGTACAAGGAAATTATGATTCCATAATCATAAGTCTACTTTCAGCAATACACGTATCTTCAGAGAATCTCAGCCTCCCTGCAGCATCCTCCTGGTGCACAGAAAAACTGCTGAATTCTGGCAAGATACTCAAAGGATTCTGACGGGTGACCATCTCAGGCCGGAGATATGCCCAACCAACTGGAAAAGCAGAGACAGCCATGGACAGATCTGCTGACGCTAAAGTTTATAGACAGCTGAGGTGCAACCCATATAATCACCCAGATGTTATTAGGCCATGATCATTCTGTAGTAAGCTACCTCCCTTCTGTGTTTCCTCTCACCTGACAGCCTATTGTGGGCACTTTCAAGGCCCCACTGTGTCCAAATCACACCACCACCAAAGCTCACAGAAGCACGCTGGTAGATTTCTCCTCTTTGGTGGTTTCCCATGACCAGCCAAGGGAAATACCCAACAATCATTCTCAGTGTGCACAGATTTACCTTCAGCTTTTTTGGTTATATTGTCATTATTATTTTCTTTGTCCAGTGGGAGAGTTAAGGGGCCTGCTATGGACTGAACTCTGTCCCCCTCAAATTCATATGTTGAAGCCCCAACCTTCAACATGACTATATTTGAAAACAGTCCCTTTATGGAGGTAAAGTTAAATGAGATCATAAGAGTGGGGCCCTTGTTCGATAGAACTGGTGTCCTTACAAGAAGAGGAAGAGGCTGAGTGCAGTGGCTCAAGCCTATAATCCCAGCACTTTGGGAAGCTGAGGCAGGAGGTACGCTTGGGCCCAGGAGTTCAAGACCAGCTTGGGCAACATAACAAGACCCTATCTCTACAGAAAAAAATTAAAAATTAACCAGGTGTGATGGCATGTGCTTGTGGTACCAGCTACTCAGGAGGCTGAGATGGGTGGATGGCTTGAGCCTGGGAGGTCAAGGTTGCAGTGAGCTGTGATAGCACTGCACTCCAGCCTGGGTAACAGAGCAAGACCCTGTCCCTCCCCACACCACCCCAACTCCCCCCAAAAAGGAAGAGATACCAGAGTGCACTCTCTCGATCTCTCTCTCTCTCTTCCACGTGAGGACACAGAAGAAAAAAAAAAAAGCCCATCTGCAAGGCAGGAAGACGGCCTTCAACAGCAACGAAATCAGTCAGCACCTTGGTTTGGACTGCTTGGTCTCCAGAACGAGGGAAAATAAATTAAAATAAATGTCTGTAGAATTAAGCCACCCAGTCTATGATGTTTCACGACAGCAGCCCAAGCAGATGAATACAGGGCTATTCATTCATTCCCCACTTATTGAGCATCTTCTATGAGGCATTCTGATGGTTAATTTTAGGTGTCAACTTGACTGGGCTGAGGGATGCCCAGATGACTGGTAAAACATTATTTCTGGATGTGTCTGTAGGTATTTCTGTGAAAGATGAGCATTTAATCAGTAGACTAAGTAAAGATCTGTCCTCACTAATGAGATTAGGCATCATCCAATTCATAGGGAGCCTAAATAAGACAAAAAGTTGGCGAAAAAGTGAATTTGCTCTCTTGTCTGGGGCTCAGACATCCATCTTCTCCTGCCCTTGGATAATGGAGCTCCTGGCTCTTGGGACTTACACCAGGCCCAATAGATGAGAAGCCCCATCCTTCCCCACTGTCTTTATATCCCCAAACTCCTGGCTAGTGTGCAACAGTGTGGCATGGACTACTCTATTCCTTGCTTTAACAATTGAGTTTACTGCAGAGGTGTAAAATATTCATGCTGAGAAAGGCCTGGGAAGCTTCAGTGAATGCTTCCCAGCAGTCTGGCTGTGCCAGAGGCTTGAAGTCAGGGAGAAAATGAACTGCCTCCTCCTCCTTCTGTGAAGCAGTGCTGGGAGAAGCACATAGTTCTCAAGAGAACACAGTGGCCTGAGCATGCTCTGAGCAGTGGTTCCCAAAGGAGGGTTTAGGAAAAAGCCGAGTCGGGACCCTGGGGAGAGACTGTGGCCCCTACTAGAGGGGTCTTCCGAGGCCACGTTTCTATGATGACCTGGAGAATCCAGGAGATCAGTGGGAAGGGAGCTGCCTCCAGAGGGATTCACCTGCCACCTGAACCAGAAGGAGGCAAAGATGAAGCAGTGGGGAGGCCCTTCTTGGCTGGTAAATCCTCCTGGGTCAGGCACTTGTAGGAGCAGCCCTGTGGGATGGAATTGAACTCATTACTTTTACAACATGCCAAGGACAGGGCCAGGTGCTGGAGATACAACCAAGAATAAAATGCAGCACCTGTTCTCCACAGTTAAGTTAAAAGCACAGACTCGAACAGACAAAATACAACTTGGCTTAGTAGTGGAAGAGCACACTGCACCAAACTGGTTGTCCAGCAAGAGGGGACTGAATTAATAATCTGTGATCTGTCTATACCGAGTAATACCAAGAAACTGTTGAAAAAAATAAGGCATTGCTTATTTTATGATCTGAAATGATGCACAAGAAATATGAAGTAGAAAAGCAATGGGAGCTTCCAGGTAGCTGAATTCCTAGAGGGTGGCAAGCCAGAGAGGGCGAGGAAGCTCTGCACCTCTTCCCTCATACGTGCCCTGTGCATTTCGTCATCTAAATCTTTAAGGACAAAGCAAAAAAACTGCCTGACTTCTTGGCTGACAATTTGGGCTGGATACTGGTTTCTTCCTATTATAATAATTATTGCTTTATAAATTCAGGTATATAAGGCCGGGCGCAGTGGTTCACACCCATAATCCCAGCACTTTGGGAGGCTGAGGCAGGTGGATCACTTGAGCTCAGGAGTTAGAGACCAGCCTGGCCAACATGGCAAAACCCCATCTCTACAAGAAATACAAAAATTAGCTGGGCATGGTGACACGCACCTGTAGTCCCAGCTACTTGGGAGGCTGAGGTGGGAGAATTGCTTGAGCCCAGGAGGTTGAGGTTGCACTAAGTTGAGATTGTGCCACAGCACTCCAGCCTGGGCAACACAGTGAAACCCTGTCTCAAAAAAAAAAAAAAAAAAAAATTTCAGGTATATTAAAAAAAACCTAGGCCTGATGTGGTGGCTCACGCATGTAATCCCAGCACTTTGGGAGGCTGAGCCCAAAGGCTGAGCACTTTGGGAGAATAGCTTGAGCCCAGGAGTTCAAGACCAGCCTGGGCAACATAGTGAGACCCTGTCTCTACAAAAGAAAAAATTTTTTTAATTAGCTGGGCATGGTGGTAAGCACATGTGGTCCCAGTTAGTCAGGAAGCTGAGGTGGGAGGATGGTTTGAGCCCAGGAGGTCAAGGATGTAGTGAGACATGATTGTGCCACTGTACTCCAGCCTAGGTGACAGAGCAAGACCCTATCTCAAAAAATAAATAAATACATATATATATATATATAAAATAAAAATTTTAAAATGAGAAAATCTAAAAAGCAAAGCATAAAAACAATATACACAACAGTTTCTAGGATGGAAAAGTTCACTGGGTTGCCCAGGTCAAAACTTATCTATAGCAGCCGGGCACGGTGGCTCACACCTGTAATCCCAGCACTTTGGGAGGCCAAGGCAGGCAGATCACAAGGTCAGGAGTTTGAGACCAGCCTTGCCAACATGGTGAAACCCCATCTCTACTAAAAATATAAAAATTAGCTGGGCGTGGTGGTGTGTGCCTGTAATCCCAGCTATTGGGGAGGCTGAGGCAGGAGAATGGCTTATACCCAGGAGGTGGGTGAACCAAGATCGTGCCACTGCACTCCAGCCTGGGTGAAAGAGTAAGAATCCATCTCAAAAACAAAACAAAACTAATCTACAATTGGTGGGCAAATAGGAAGCACTTGCCTCCAGGGTGCAGGTGGGCCAAGGTTAGTGGGTGGGAGTACAGAGGGAATCAAGGCATTAGGAACCAACTTAGCAGCAGGACATGTGATGCCTAGGTTGCATGGTATCCATGTTAGGAGGGTCATGGGGAACAACTATTTGGGGTGCAGGTGGGCCGGGGCTAGTAGATGGATACACAGAGGGAATCAGGACACCATGAGCCCACTGGCTGGCAGAGCAGCCTGAGGCCTAGGATGCATGGCATCCACTTTGGAAGGACTGCAGTGAGGTGGTTACCAGGCTGGAGCCAGCAAGCTCACTGAGGAACTTTGTGCATTGGACACGTGGTTGTCAGTCATGCAACAAGAGCAAACAAACATACGGGCAAAAATGGAAGCACTGGAGGCCAGCAGGGTGGCACACGCCTATAATCTCAGTGACTCGGGAGGCTGAAGCAGGAGGATCACTCAAGGCCAGGAGTTTGAGACCTGCCCAAACAACACAGTGGGATTCTGTCTCTAAAGTAAAAAGTAAAAAAAAGCCGGGCACGGTGGCTCATGCCTATAATCGCAGCACTTTGGGAGGCCGAGGCAGGTGTTCAAGAGGTCAGGAGTTCAAGACCAGCCTGACCAACATGATGAAACCCCATCTCTACTAAAAATACAAAATTAGCCAGATGTGGTGGCACATGCTTGTAATCCCAGCTACTCGGGAGGCTGAAGGCTGAGGCTGGAGACTCGCTGGAACCCGAGAAGCAGAGATTGCAGTGAGACAAGATCACGCCATTGCATTCCAGCCTGGGCAACAAGAGCAAAACTCCATCTCAAAAAAAAAAAAAGGTTAAAAAAAATATATAGCCAGGCATAGGGGTGCATGCCTGTAGTCCTAGCTACCAAGGAGGCTGAGGCAGGAGAATCCCTTGAGCCTAGAAGCTTAAGGTTGCAGTAAGCTATGACTGGACGACTGCACTCTAACCTGGGTGACAGAGCAAGACCCTATCTCTAAGTGAAAAAAAAAAAAAAAAAAAAAAAAGAAGCACTGGAACCAGGAGAAAGCCAATTTTTCCTACAAAGTCCCTCTAGCCTCCTCTTCTAACAAAAACTAACACTGTTGTCATTGCAAAAGAGAAATGCTTAAAAGATCCAGTTCATTATCACAGAGGCAGATTATGAAAGGTTGATTTAGCACTTAGACACAATAAATTGATACCTAAGTAGCACAGCAGTCAAGGACTTTAAAATAGCTATTATGGCTGGGCATGGTGGCTCACACCTGTAATCCCAGCACTTTGGGACGCCGAGGCCAGCTGATCGCCTGAGGTCAGGAGTTCAAGGCCAGCCTGGCCAACATAGTGAAACCCCATCTCTACCAAAAAATACAAAAATTAGCCAGGCATGGTGGCGCGCACCTGTAGTCCCAGCTACTTGGGAGGCTGAGGCACAAGAATCGCTTAAACCTGGAAGGGGGAGGTTGCAGTGAGTCCAGCCTGGGTGACAGAGTGAGACTCTGTCTCAAAAAAAGAAAAAGAAAAAGAAAAAAAACAGCTATTATGAATATTTTCAGAGATGTAAAGGAAAAGGCAATTACAATGACTAAGCAAATGGAGAATCTTAGCAGAGAAATGAAAACTATAAAAAAGGACCAAAGAGAGTTAGGTTTCTAGATGGGAATAGTTAGTTGATTTTTGACAAAGGATTCAGAGCAATTCAATAAGGAAATAAAAGTTTTCAACACTTTGTACTGAAACAACTGGACAAACATATGGGGAAAAAATGGACTTACCACCACATATAGAAATTAATTTAAGATGGTTCATGAATGTAGACAGAAAAGCTTAAAACTATAAAGCTTCTAGAATAAAATATAGGAGAATATCATAATCTTGGGCTAGACAAATATTTCTTACACTCAGAAAGGAGTAACCAGGCCAGGTGTGGTGGCTCACACCTGTGGTCCCTGTACTTTGGGAGGCCAAGTTGGGAGGATTGCTAGAACCCAGGAGTTCAAGACCAGCCTGGGCAACATACTGAGATCCCATCTCATTTTAAAAAAGGGACGGTGGGGAGTAACCATAAAGAAAGTTGATAAATTTGATTTCATCAAAATTAAAAACTTCAGTTCATCAAAAGACATCAAGAAAATGAAAAGAGCTGGGCATGGTGGCTCACACCTGTAATCTCAACACATTGGGAAGCCAAGGCAGGAGGATCACATAAGGCCAGGAGTTTGAGACCAACCTGGGTAACATAGTGAGAGCCTCGTCTCTATAGAAACTTTTTTTTTTTTTTTTTTTTTTTTTTTTAAGACAGAATCTCACTCTCTTGCCCAGGCTGGAATGCAGTGGCAAGATGTCGACTCAACACAACCTCTGCTTCCCGGGTTCAAGCAATTCTCCTGCCTCAGCCTCCCAAGTAGCTGGGATTACGGGGGCCCACCACCATGCCCAGCTAATTTTTGTATTTTTAGTAGAGATGGGGTTTCACCATCTTGGCCAGACTGGTCTTGAACTCCTGACCTCATGATCCACCCGCCTTGGCCTCCCAACGTGCTGGGATTACAGGCGTGAGCCACCGTGCCCAGCTGAAAATTTTTTTTAAATTAGCCAGCAGTGGTGGTATGTGCCTGTAGTTCTAGCTACTTGGGAGGCTGAGGTGGGAGGATTGCTTGAGCTCAGGAGTTTGAGGCTGCAGTGAGCTATGATCACACCATCACACTCCAACCCGGGTGACAGAGTAGGACCTTGTCTCTAAAACTAAATAAATTAATTTAAATTAAAATTTAAAAAATTTTTTAAAAGAAAATGGAAACATAAGCCATAGGCTAGGATGTGCCTATATCCCATGCCATATTTGTAACTCATATTTCTGACAAATAACTTGTATCCAGATTATGTAAAGAATTCATACAGCAATTTTAAAGAAACAACACAATAAAAATAGTGAAAAGACTTGAAC
This sequence comes from Homo sapiens, assembly GCF_000001405.40. NCBI lineage: Eukaryota > Metazoa > Chordata > Mammalia > Primates > Hominidae > Homo > Homo sapiens. Next base: position 47,715,353 of record NC_000002.12, read on the forward strand.
AGACACTTCACAAAGAAAGTGGGCTGGGCATGATGACACATGTCTGTAATCCCAGCACTTTCGGAGGCTAAGGTGGGCTGATAGCTTGAGCTCAAGAGTTCAAGACCAGCCTGGGCAACGTGGTGAAACCTTGTCTCTACAAAAAAATACAAAAATTAGGCAAAGTGGCACACACCTGTAATCCCAGCTACTCAGGGCTGAGGCACGAGAATCGCTTGAACCGAGGAGGCAAAGGTTGCAGTGAGCCTAGATTGTGCCATTGCACTCTGTCCTGGGCAACACAGTCTCAAAAAAAAAGGGATATGCAAATGACCAGTAAGTGCATGAAAAGGTATACGTTACTCCTCAGACAAATAAACATTAAAACCGCAATGAACTATATACCATTTTGCACCGCTATAATGACTAAAATTCAAAAGACAGACGATAACAAATGTTAGCAAAGATGTACAGCAGTTGGAATTCTCATTAAATGCTCATAAAAATGTAAAATGATACAACCACTTTGGAAAACAGTTTGGCAATTTCTTATAAAGTTAGGCAGTTAAACATACACCTACTCTATGACCTAGCATTTCCACTTTTAAGTATTTACCAAGATAAATGAAACTATCCACAAAAATACTTGTGTCCAAATGTTCATAGTAACCTTATTTCTACTAGACCAAACTGGGAAACAACCCAACTGTCCTTAAACAGATGAATTGTGATAAAAATTGTGATATATCCATACTATGATGTCTAACTCAACATTAAAATGGAAAAAAAATTTGGCCAGGCCCAATGGCTTGTGCTACTTGGCCAAGAAAGTTCTATATCTTGATTGAAGTTGTGGGCAGCACGCCATCCAGGTGCCGAGGCAAGAGACCCAGGGCATGAGCTGTTCCAGTATAATAAAATATATGAAACAACAAGAGTTATACTAGATCTGAGTTATACTAGATCTAGATCTAGACGTGATTATATATGAATATCATTAATCATTAGTTTGTAGCAATTACTCTTTATTCCAATATTTTAATAATCCTTGCTCTATAATCATAACTTAGGAAAAACCAGGCCATACAGAGATAGGAGCTGAGGGGACATAGTGAGAAGTGACCAGAAGACAAGAGTGTGAGCCTTCCGTTATGCCCGGACACGGCCACCAGAGGCCTCCTTGGCCTAGCGGTAATGCCAGCATCTGGGAAGACACCCATTGCCAAGCAGACTGTGGTCTAGCAGTAGCGTCAGTGCCAAGGAAAAACACCCACTACTTAGCAGACCAGGAAAGGGAGTCTCCCTTTCCCCGGGGGAGTTTAGAGAAGACTCTACTCCTCCACCTCTTGTGGAGGGCCTGACATCAGTCAGGCCCACCCGCAGTTATCCGGAGGCCTAACCGTCTCCCTGTGATGCTGTGCTTCAGTGGTCATGCTCTTAGTCCGCTTTCATGTTCCATCCTGTACACCTGGCTCTACCTTTTAGATAGCAGTAGCAAAATTAGTGAAAGTACTAAAAGTCTCTGATATGCAGAAATAATGGTGTAAGCTGTCTCTCCCTCTCTCTCTCTCTGTCTCTCTGCCTCGGATGCCTGGCAGGGAAGGGCCCCCTGTCCAGTGGACACGTGACCCACGTGAGCTTACTTATCATTGGAGATGGCTCACACTCCTTACCCTGCCCCTTTGTCTTGTATCCAATAAATATCAGTGCAGCCTGGCATTCGGGGCCACTACCGGTCTCTGCGTCTTGGTGGTAGTGGTCCCCTGGGCCCAGCTGTCTTGTCTTTTATCTTTTTATCTTGTGTCTGTATTTTTACAATCTCTCATTTCTGCACATGGGGAGAAAAACCCACCGACCCTTTGGGTCTGGACCCTACAGAGGTGATGGTTAGATGGGAATATGCATTTGTCATAACTCATTAAGGGCCAGGCACAGTGGCTCACAGCTGTGATCCTGGCACTTTGGGAGTCTGAGGTGGGATCACTTGAGGCCAGGAGTTCCAGATCAGCCTGGGAAACAAAGTGAGACCCCTTGTCCCTAAAAAAAAATTTAAAAATTAGCTAGGCAAGGTGGTACACGCCTGTGGTCCCAACAACTCAAAAGGCTAAGGTGGGAGGATGACTTGAGCCTAGGAGTTCAAGGCTATAGTGAGCCATGATTGCACCACTGCACTCCAGCCTGAGTGACAGAGCAAGATCCTGTCTCCAAAGAGAAAAAAAACCAACTCATTGAGCTATCTAGTTTAAATATGCAGTTTATTGTTTGTAAATTATATCTGAATAAATTTTACTTTATTTATTTTTAGAGACAGGGTCTCACTCTGTCACCCAGGCTGGAGTGCAGTGGTACCATCACGGCTGCCTGCATGCAGCCTTGCCCTCCTGGGCTCAAGCCATTCTCTTACCTCAGCCTCCCAAGTTGCTGGGACCACAGGCATCCACCACCATGCCCAGCTAATTTTTAAATTATCTGTAGAGATGAGGTTGCACTATGTTGCCCAGGCTGATCTCAAACTCCTGGCCTCAAGCAATTCTCCCACCTCGGCCCCCCAAAGTACTGAGATTATAGATGTGAGCCACTGAGCCTGCCTAAATTTGACTTCATAAAAAGAATTATTTGGCAACCACTAGATGCCAGGTTTGTAAGCTGAGAAGAAAGAATGAACAAAGAGGAAATAGTTGAAGATATAGGAGAAAAGGGATAGCAGACAAGGTCCCTGAGAAAGCGAGAAGGAAGGAAACTCAGAGCCCAGACGGAGGAGTTTGCCATGGCTGATGCAGTGAACTCTGAGGCACAAGGGAAGGCAGGCAATGGGAGAGGGAGCTGACTAGAAACAGGTAGAAGGGGCTGGGCATGATGGTTCATGCCTGTAATCCCAGCACTCTGGGCAGCTGAGATGAGAAGATTGCTTGAGGCCAGGAGTTCAACACCAGCCTGAGCAACATAGTGAGACCTCATCTCTATTTAATTTAATGTATATATGACCGTCAGGCCATGCCATAGCCCCGCTGAGCCTGGCGACCTTGGATCTTCAATCTCCCCAAGAATGGAATTTCTCCAGCATTGCTCAGTAACCTGGAGGAGGAGGCAGAGAGTCCAGAGTTTGGGGAGTTGAGGTCGGGCATGGTGGCTCATGCCTGTAACCCCAGCACTTTGGGAGGCCAAGGCGGATCAGCTGAGGTCAGGAGTTTGAGACAAGCCTGGGCCAACATGGTAAAACCCCGTCTCTACTAAGAATACAAAAATTAGCTGGACATGGTGGCAGGCGCCTGTAGTCCCAGCTACTCAGGAGGCTGAGGCAGGAGAATTGCTTGAACCCAGGAGGTGGAGGTTTCAGTGAGCTGAGATCATGCCACTGCACTCCAGCCTGGGCAACAGAGCAAGACTCCATCTCAAAAAAAAAAAAAAAAAAAAAAAAAAGTTTGGGGAGTTTAAAGCAGGTGGCATGAAAGAAAAAAATGGTTAGAGTTGGAGGCATTGACAGGTAACTTGGAAGACACAGCCTTCGGAGGGCTCAGCTGGGTGGGGAAGGAAGTGAAGCCAGGAGGAGCATAGGTAAAGAAAAGGGAAAGCTTGAGGGGCAGGTGGAACAAGTAAGAGTCTGGGGGTAGGAGATGGTGGTTAGGCTGGATTTGGAACTGAAATTCTCTTTAGCTTCTGTCTGCTCCTCTTTAGCTCACAGACAAAGCATTTAAGATTTCTTTGACAACCTGCGTTTCAGTAAATTCCACATATTTGTTGAAAGCCTATTGTATAGGAATCTGAACTGTCTTGTAAAGGGAAGTTTGTGTAGGTTGTTTCTGCCTAGTAGAAGATAAATTCTCCTGCAGCTGTATTCATACAGCTCTGTATCCTCCCACTTCAGCAGCAAACGTCACACTGCATCTTTAAGTCGATAACCTAAATATATATCTCACACCCTTTAGTCCACAGTTTCACTTTTAAGAATTTATTCTTATGAGTGTGTTTGCATATGTGTGCAACGACTTCGATACAAGAGTATTCATTTGAATACCATTTGTAATAGCAGTCCTAGGAGGGCTGACATCACTGAGAGGCTGGTTTAATAAATAATGGCACTTCTGTGCAATGGCATGCCATTGCATTCATCACAACAACAGGAAAATGATTTGGGTACTGATATGAACTTATTTTAAAAATGTATTACTTAGCCTGGGCACCATAGGGAGACTATGTCTCATTCATATATATTAGAGACTCCTGTAGTCCCAACAGCTTGATAGGCTGAGGTGAGAGGATCGCTTGAGCCCAGGAGGTTGAGGTTATAGTGAGCTATGATACCCACTGCATTCTAGCTTGGGCTTCAGAGTGATAACCTGTATCAAAAAAAAAAAAAAAAAAAAAGGAAAGAAAAAAGAAATGTATTGCTTACAGTGAAAATGAAAATAGGGCACAGAACAGGGGCAATGGTGTTTTATCTTTTCTATAAAAATAAAAAACACATATACACTTAGGAACTGGTGTCACTCCTGAGGCAGGATAGGGAGGAGGGACCTTTACAATTTTATGTGATTTTACCCTTAAAATTTGAGGAGAAAGTGAGAGAGAGAGGAAGAGAGACTTCACTTGTTAGTTTCTGGAGGGACAGGGAAAAGTACGACCTACAAAATGAAGCTCTAATGGTGGAATTTCAGGACTTGAACCCCCCGGCATCCCTCAGTAGTCACTATGCTGCTGACCTCTATCCAGCACCTCCCAGAGCTGATAGAAGATATGTCGCTGGCTCTAAACGACTGGACTTAAGAGGCCAGGCCTCTGGAAAGGGGGATGCATAAAGCATCTATGTACAAACACCTCACCAATCCATCACTGAGCTACTCAGCAACCTCACCAGAACATAGCTGAGAATCAAAACTTTTGGTTTTCTTGAGACAGGGTTTCACTCTATTGCTCAGGCTGGAGTGCAGTGGTGCAAGCACGACTCACTGCAGCCTTGACCTCCCAGGGTTAAGCAATCCTCCCACCCCACCCTCCCAGTAGCTGGCACCACAAGCATGTGCCACCAGACCCAGCTAATTTTTTTTCTTTTCTCTTTTTTGAGATGAGTTCTCACCATGTTGTCCAGGCTGGTCTTGAACTCCTGGCTTCAAGTGATCCTCCTGCCTCAGCCTCCCAGATTACTGGGATTACAGGTATGAGCCACTGCACTCTGCCCAGAACTTTTTTTTCTACTGACTCTGAAGTGTTACCATAGATGATACTGAAACTCATACATTTCCTTGCTCCTCAGTCAGAGCCCATGTTCCCCTTCTGGGGATCCACTTGGCCCTCCAGAATAAGTGTGAAGATTATTTTAAACCGAAGACACTAGAGATACAGCAGATGCAGAAAGAAGCCTTTTTGGAACTTCCTTTATTTCACTAAAAGGAAGAGCCTTCTGGGAGTAAAGTTGCCATAAATCTCCTCTCCAGAGGAGCTCACTCCCAGGAAGAACACCAACCACTCATGTAGACAAACATAAACATCAGCAACAAACTCCCATCTCTTCCATTTGTTTCTCTAAAAGTCCATTTGTCTTTCCTCAAATGTCCATGTGTCTTTCCCATAGAAGCCTTTCTCTCGCTCTCTTTTCCTTATTAGGTTGAGATCAATGAGCTTCTTTATCTGAACGTTCCTGCATGCATATAAATAAAACTTGTTTTCTTTTTCTTTTTTTTTTTTTTTTTTGAGACTGAGTCTCGCTCTGTCGCCCAGGCTGGAGTGTAGTGGCGCGATCTCAGCTCACTGCAACCTTTGAACCTACCGGGTTCAAGCAATTCTCTGCCTCAGCCTCCCTAGTAGCTGGGATTATAGGCGCCCGCCACCACGCCTGGCTAATTTTTTTGTATTTTTAGTAGAGGCGGGGTTTCATCATGTTGGCCAGCCTAGTCTTGAACTCCTGACCTCGTGATTCACCTACCTCGGCCTCCCAAAGTGCTGTGATTACAGGTGTGAGCCACCGTACCCAGCCAACTTGTTTTCTTTTTCTGTTTTGTTTTTGAGAGAGGCTTTTGCTCTGCTGCCCAGGCTGGAGTGCAGTGGCACAATCATGGCTCGCTGCAGCCTCAACCTCCTGGGCTTAAGCAATCCTTCTACCGCAGCATCCTGCATAGCTGACACTACAGACGCATGCCACCATGCCTGGCTAATTATGGGATCTCACTTTGTTGCCCAGGCTGGTCTTGAACCCCTGGGCTGAAGCGATCCTCCCACCTTAGCCTCCCAAAATGCCAGGATTAAAGGCGTGAGCCACCTCGCCCGGCCAAACTTGTTTTATTTTTGCCTGTTTATCTGTCTATTGTCAGTTAATTTGCGGGCCCCTGATCATTGGACCTAAGTCCTCAGTAGAGAAAAAGATTTTTATCCCATAAACCTTCCATACGGAGTTTTTAACTAAGCCTGGTTAACAAATTTTCTTTTTCTTTCTTTTTTTTTTTTTAATTGATCATTCTTGGGCGTTTCTCGCAGAGGGGGATTTGGCAGGGTCACAGGACAATAGTGGAGGGAAGGTCAGCAGATAAACAAGTGAACAAAGGTCTCTGGTTTTCCTAGGCAGAGGACCCTGCGGCCTTCCGCAGTGTTTGTGTCCCTGGGTATTTGAGATTAGGGAGTGGTGATGACTCTTAACGAGCATGCTGCCTTCAAGCATCTGTTTAACAAAGCACATCTTGCACCGCCCTTAATCCATTCACTGGTTAACAAATTTTCAAGCCAATGGGGAAAACAGCAAATTACAAGGGGAGAAAGAGATGATTTCAGGCAGAAGCCTTCCTTCAACTTCATTGTGACGGATGACAACCTAGCGTTGGAAGGAGAGAAAAAAAAATCCATTTAAAAAAATAAAAAAGCCAGGCATGGTGGCTCACGCCTGTAATCCCAGCACGGAGGCCGAGGCAGGAGGACCCCTTGAAGTCAGGAGTTCAAGACCAGCCTGGCCAACATGGTGAAACCCCGTCTCTACTAAAAATACAAAAATTAGCTGGGCATGGTGGTGCGTGCCTGTAATCCCAGCTACTGAGGAGGCTGATGTGCGAGAATCGCTTGAACCCAGGAGGTAGAGGTTGCAATGAGCTGAGATCATGCACTCCAGCCTGGATGACAGAGTGAGACTCTGTCGCGAAAAACAAGCCAGGAACAGCAGCTTGTGTCTGTAATTCGAGCACTTTGGGTGGCCACGTCAGGAGGATCTCTTGAGCCCAGGAGTTCAAGACCAGCCTGGGCAACATAGTGGGACCCCCATCTCTACAAAAAAATGAAAAATAAAAAAAAATTAGCCAGGTGTGGTGGTGCGTGCCTATAGTCCTCCCAGTTTCTTAGGAGGCTGAGGTGGGAGGATCACTTGACCCCAGGAGTTCAAGTTTGCAGTGAGCTATGTTTGCGCCACTGCACTTCAGCCTAAGCAACAAAGTGAGACCCTGTCTCAAAAATAAAAAAATTAAAAATAAGAACTTCCAAGAAGTCCAGAATCTGCCATTCTGCATGCCTTCTTGGATGTCATGAGAGCATTAGAGTTGCCTCACAATCCAGGTATTTTCTTAATTACAAAAGACTTTAAACCACCCCTCTGTCTTTTGGAGAGCCTTCCCGCTCCTGCAGTTGGCCAGTATTTACAATCAGACTCCGAAGTTTTCCAAGCTGCCATGATCCTTCAAGCTAACAAGAAACAACAAACAGCTGGGGAATATGTCTCTTCAACCTGCTTCTTTGACTTTAACAGAGCCTCACCTGTAGAGAAGTGGGGCCTTGGGATCTGGGAGCTGCTCCAGAACCCCCAACCTCTAGTCCTGCCAGGGAACAGCAACCTATCCAAGCCCTACTACCCAAGAACCCATCTTTCTTGTAAATCCTACACAGAAGATGCAGCCCCACCCTCCAAAACCAAGGGACCACTCAGTCCTGCTGACTCTATCCTCCGAAGCTTCTTGGATCAGCCCCTCCCACCAACCCTTCTGCTATTTCCATGTTTCAGACCTTCAGATGTTCTACCTCCAGCTAGAGCAACATCCTTCTAACTCCAGGCTTCTTCTGGTCCATTGAGATGACATAAGTCACTTCAGTTTACCACCTTCCAAAGACTCCCCATCACCTTCTGGTTAAAGTCCAACACCCTTGAAATGGCATTCATGGCCCTTCATGGAGCTCTCCTGGCCTGCCTGACCTCTCACCACCTCCTGCCTTGCACTTCACTGCGTACAGTCACTACACTGTCTAATATGGTAGCCACCAGCTGCAAGCAGCTCTTTAAATTTCATTATTTGATTTTAGACAGGGTCTCACTCTATCACTGAGGCTGGAGGGTAGTGGCGTGATGACGGCTTACGGCAGCCTCACCCTCCCAGGCTCAAGGGATCCTCTCACCTCGGCCTCCTGAGTAGCTAGGACTACAGGCATGCACCATCACGCCCGGCTAATTTTTTATTTTTTGTAGAGATGGGGTCTCACTATGTTGCCCAGGCTGGTCTTGAATTCCTGTGCTCAAGCAATCCTCACATCTTAGCCTCCCAAAGTGCTAGGATTACAGGCCTGAACCACTGTGCCTGGCCTAAGTTTTAGTTAAAATAAAATTAAAAATTTAGTTTCTCAGTTGCACTATCCACATTTCAAGTGCTTACTAGCTAGAGATTGCATACTGGACAGCATAGAAATAGAACATTCCCATCAACACAGACTTTTACTAGACAGCATTCCTCTAGAAACACCCAAGTGTTTTTATTTTTTTGCACACATCATGCTGTCTTGCCCTGCCAGGTCTTTGCTCATGCCTCTGCCCAAAAGATGCTTTCTTTTATCTTTTCACATGGGTGAGGCTTCGAGACTCAGCTCACAGGTCATCTCTAAGAAGACTTATTCGAATCTCCAGGCTGGGGCAAGTGCTTGGTTCCTGTGTTCTAATAGTTCCTTGTGTTAACTAATCTCTATCTGACCACTTAGCATTTGCTGATACTTCTGTCTCCTCCATAAGACTCTGAGTTCCTCTGGGGCAGGGCCGTGTCTTCGTCAACTCTGTATCCCCAGTGCCTGGCACAAAGCAGGTGTCCTTTGCCGTTGGTCGAACTCATCTGAGTGGAACTGTCAGTGGTGCATGACCATAGAACAGTACAAGTTTAATTGTGTATTAGTAAAGACTCCTATGTAGAGAGAAACAACCTCAACTCAAACCAGTCAAGAGAAAAGAGGAAGTAATGGTTCAATAATTGGGAAGCCCCAGGTTGGTTCTGACTTCATGCATGACTGGATCCAGTGGCTCAACACACGTTACCAGGGCCTGGTTCCCTCCCCAGCTCTTGGCTCTGTTGACTGCCCTGTAACATCCCTCTCAGGCAAGATGACCACGAGTACTGTTGGTCCTTAGTATCTCCAATTTAGCAACCTCAGTGAAGAGAGAAATTCTCTCTCAATTATCTACTTAGTGGTCTCCAGGATGATCCTGTTTGGCCTTGATTTGGTTGTGTGCCCTCCCTCCATGAATCACTGTGGACTGTGAAAAGGAGTAGTTTGTTTGGCTGTGTCATCCTGGCTTACGTGTCTGTTCCTGGGGTGAGAGTGGGGGAGATGAGTATATACGAGCATCATGATTGACAGCTTCACAGGCCACCTGGAAAAAGAAGGCGTTACCCAAAGGAACCAGAAGAATAGATTGCAGGAATAGTGGGAGATAGGGGCTTTACCTCCCACAGGCCCCGCTGCCCATTTGGAGATAGGAGGCAGGGTCAGCTGCTCTCTCAGTGACCTGGACTCCTGCTTGCTTTCTCTTGCCCTTTGTACTTTTCCCATGTAGACCAGAGTCCACTAACCCTCAGATTTCAAGCCACCAATCAGCAGGCTGCAAAGGATCTTGAATTTAGAAGATTTTGCTGGCCCGGAAATACATAGTGATGGAGCTTTGAAAGACAATGGGCCGGGCATAGTGGCTTAGGCCACCCATCACTTTGGGGGGCCAAGGCGGGCAGATCACTTGAGGCCAGGAGTTCGAGACCAGCCTGGCTAGCACAGCAAAACCCCATCTCTACTAAAGATACAAAAATTAAGCAGGTTTGGTGGCGCATGCCTGTAATCCCCAGCTCTTGGCTCTGTTGACTGCCCTGTAACATCCCTCTCAGGCAAGATGAACACGAGTACTGTTGGTCCTTAGTATCTCCAATTTAGCAACCTCAGGAGGCTGAGGCACGAGAATTACTTGAACCCGAGACGGAGGTTGCAGTGAGCTGAGATTGCGCCACTGAACTCCAACCTGAACAACAGAGTGAAACTCTGTCCCAAAAAAAAAGAAGAAGAAAGAAAAAAACTGGCCTCACTCTGGAAAGAACGCTTGTAGAATTTGCCAGCTCTGGTCAAGGACCTACAAGCTGTTGTAACCTTCCTGTTTTTCATGCATTTAAAAAATTAGCTGGGCATAGTGGCTCATGCCTGTAACCCCAGCACTTTGGGAGGCTAAGGCAGAAGGATCGCTTGAGGTCAGGAGTTCAAGACCAGACTGGGCAACATAGGGAAATCCCATCTCTATAATTTTTTTTTTTTTTTATTAACCAGGCATGGTGGAGTGGGCCTGTAATCCTAGCTGCCCAGGAGACTGAGGCGGGAGTATTTCTCAAGCCCAGGGATTCAAGGCTACAGTGAGCTATGATTGCATCACTACACTGCAGCCTGGGCTTCAGAGTAAGACTCTGTCTCTAAAAAAAAAAGAATAGAAAAAATTTTTAAGGTATAATTTACATACAGTAAAATTCACCCTTTTTAGTGTATAGCATTGTGAGTTTTGACTATAGTCATCCACCGCAGTCAAGATGTAAATCAGTTCCCTCAGCCACAGTTCCCTGGGCCCAGTTATAGCCAAACTTTCCCCAGGCCCTGTCCCTGGCAACTACTGATCTGTTTTCTATCCCCATAGTTTTTATTTTTTATTATTAATTTTTTTATTTTAGAGATGGGGTCTCACTCTCTTATCCAGGCTGGAATTCAGTTGTATGATCACAGCTCACAGCAGCCTCAAACTCCTGGGCTCAAGCAATTCTCCTGCTTTGGCCTACTGAGTAGCTGGGACTACAGGCTTGTGCCACCATGCCCAGCTAATTTAAAAAAACAAAAAACAAAACAAAAAAAAAACTTTTTTGTAGATTGGGGGTCTCACCGTTACCATCTTGCCCAGGATGATCTCCAACTCCTGGCCTCAAGTGAGCTTCCCACCTTGGCCTCCCAAAGTGTGGGGATTACAGGCATGAGCCACCTCCCCTGTCCCTGTCCCTATAGTTTTAACTTTTCCAAAATATATAAATGGAAACATAAGGTATGAAGGTTTTGAGTTTAGCTTCTTTCATTTAGCATAAGACAATTGATACATGTCCATGATGCTCTATACATCAATAGTCATTCCTTTTTATTGCTAAATAACACTTCACTGATGGATGTACCACATATTAGTTATGCTCTGATTTAGGTACATCTGGGTTTTTTCCAATTTTTTTCATTTATGAATAAAGCTGCTATAAACATAGATTTTCTCTTTTAAAAAATTGTTTTGGGGACAGGGACTGGTCTCACTATGTTGCTCAGGCTGATCCGAAACTCCTGGACTCAAGCAATTCTCCCACCTCAGCCTCCTGAGTAGTTGGGACTACAGGTACACACCAGCATCCCCAGCTATAAATTTTCATTTCTCTTGGGTAAATACCTAGGAGTGGGATTTCTGGGTTTTATGATAAATGTTGAAATTTATATGAAACTGCCAAATTGTTTCCCAAAGAGACTATATTATTCTGTATGGCTACTACATTATATGAGCATTGCAGTCACTGTGCATTCTTGCCAGAACTTGGGTTTGTTGGTTTTTTTTTTTTTTAAGCTATTCTAATAGATGTGTAGTGGTATTACACTTTGGTTTTAATTTGCATTTCCCTAATGACTAATCATGTTTAACATTTTAGCAGCCGGGTGCAGTGGCTTATGCCTGTAATCCTAGCACTTTAGGAGGTTAAGCCAGATGGATCACTTAAGCCCAAAAATTTAAGACCAGCTTGGGCAACATAGTGAGACCCCATCTCTCAAAAAAAATTAAAAATTAACTGGGCATGGTGGTATGCACCTGTAGTCCCAGCTACTCGGAAGGCTGAGGTGAGAGGATGGCTGAAGCTGGGGAGGTCGAGGCTGCAGTGAGCCGAGATTGCACTGCTACACTCCAGCCTGGAAAACAGAGTGAGACCCTGTCTCAAGAAAAGAAAAAAATATTTTTTGCATGTATTTATTTGCCATCCATATATCATCTTTGTGGAAGTGTCCATTCAAATACATTTTTTTTTTCAGACAGGTTTTCACTCTGTTGCCCAGGCTGAGTGCAGTGGGGGCGATTACCAGGTTGTTACTGGAAAGGGGTCCCAATCCAGGCCCTAAGACGATGTTCTTGGATCTCGCACAATAAAGAATTTGAGGTGAATCCATAAAGTGAAAGCAAGTTTATTCAGAAAGTAAAGGAATAAAAGAATGGCTACTCCAGAGGCAGAGCAGCCCCAAGGGCTGCTGGTTGCCCATTTTTATGGTTATTTCTCGATTACATGCTAAATAAGTGGTGGATTATTCATGCCTCCCCTTTTTGGACCATATAGGGTAGCTTTCTGACGTTGCCATGACATTTGTAAACTGTCATGGCGCTGGTGGGAGTGTAGCAGTGAGAAAGACCAGAGATCACTCTTGTAGCCTTCTTGGTTTTGGTGGGTTTTAGCCAGCTTCTTTACTGCGACCTGTTTTAGCAGCAAGGTCTTTATCACCTGTATCTTGTGCTGATCTCCTATCTTATCCTGTGACTTAGAATGCCTTAACTTCCTGGGAATGCAGCCCAGCAGGTCTCAACCTTATTTTACCCAGCCCCTATTCAAGATGGAGTTGTTCCGGTCCAAACACCTCTGACAAGGTGAGGTCAGAGCCCTGGCATCAGAAAGTGGTTGACTTGCAGGTTGGTAAGAAGAATCTACTGACAGCAGAATAGATTTGAAAAGTCAAGTTTTATTAGATAGAAAGTACACTGCAGAAAAGTGCAGCCAGGCGCATCATTAAGAGAACTGAGCACGCCATGGTGGATTTTCCTTAGGGATATTTATGGACCTTAAAGCGAGAGTTTAAGGGTACTTCAGACCATATTAGTGCACATAGGTCATGATTATTGATTACATTTGCAGACATTTTGGTGTCTTAATGTCAGCAAGGGTTGCACAATGAGTTTCAACATGCATGCATTCTGGAGATGTATAGAAATTCTAGTTATTTATAAATTTTGGGGAAAGAGGCCTGGAACCAGATGCTGACTTTAGGTAACAGGGAAGGCTAATTACTTCTAAATTCCTCAGATAAGGAGTTTTGTCTCTGGATGGCCTGCTTGATGGTAACCAGGTGATCTTTGTTCTTCTGAGTGATCACAGCTCACTGTAGCCTTGACTTCCCTGGCTCAAACGATCCTCCCCACTCAGCCTTCTGAGTAGCTGGAACGACAGGCATGTGCCACCATATTTTTTGTGGAGACGGGATGTCGCCATGTTGCCCAAGCTGGTCTTGAATTCCTGGGCTCAAGCAATCTGCCTGCCTTGGCCTCCCAAAATGTTAATATTATAGGTATGAGCCACTGTGTCTGGCTCATTTCTCATCTTTTAAAGTAGGGTTGACTTTTTATTATTGAGTTTTCTGAGTTCTCTACATATTCTGGATTCAAGTCCTTTATCAGATATAAGTTTTGCAAAAAAAAAAAAAAGCGTCTCTCCATTTGTGGCTTTTCTTTTTGTTCTTTCAACAGTGTCTTTTGAAGAGAAGTTCTTCAAGTTCTTTTGAAGAGAAGTCCAAGTTATTGATTTTTTCTTTTACGAGCTGTACTTTTGGTGTCATATCTAAGAAATCGTGGCCTAACCCAAGCTCACAAATGTTTTATCCTAGAAGTTTTACAGTTTTAGGTTTTACATTTATGTCTATGATCCATTTTGAATTAATTTTTATGGGGTGTGAAGTATAGATTGAGATTCATTTTTTTGCACCTGGATGTCTAATTGTTCCATCTCCATTCCTTAAATACACTGTACTTTTCCCATTGAATTATTTTTGTCTGTTTGTCAAAAATCAGTTGACCATATACGTATGTAACAGGACTGCTAGGTTTGTATGCCTGCTGCCACAGCAACAGGCCAATACACTGACAGCAAGTTTTGCAGCAGAGAAAGAGTTTAATAATTCCAAAGCGCCAAACAAGGAAACAGGAGGAATTCTCAAGCCTCAAATCCATTTTCTCTAGGTTTTCTGGGCAAAGGTTTTTAAGGGGATCATGGAGGGTGAAGGGCTAGAAAACTGGGGTCATTGATTGGTTGGAGTAAAGTGAACGAAATAATCAGAATGTGTTGACCCAGTGCAGTGGCTTACGCCTATAGTCCCAGCACTTTGGGAGGCTGAGGCAGGCAGATCACCTGAGGTCAGGAGTTCAAGACCTGCCTGGACTACATGGTGAAACCCCATCTCTACTAAAAATACAAAAGTTAGCTGGGCATGGTGGCGCATGCCTATAGATCCAGTTACTCAGGAGGCTGAGGCAGGAGAATCACTTGAACCCAGGAGCAGGAGGTTGCAGTGAGCCGAGATTGCGCCGTTGCACTCCAGCCTGGGCAACAGAGTGAGACACTGTCTCAAAATAATAATAATAATAATAATAATAATAATCAGGATGTGGAAACTGCATTCTTCCATGAATCAGCTTTCTGCTGGGCCCCTCAGAACAGCTGGTATGGGTAGTTTTGTTGTATGCAAAACCCAAAGGAGAAACTCCATGGGAAACTTAGCATCTCACAAGGCCTTAGATTTCATCTACAGAATGGAAAGAGAACAGTCTTGTGACAAGGACTACCAACATCCTGGGGTAGTAAGCAAAGAGCAGCCACAAGGGAGTGGGCCAAAGAGCGAGCTGGCTTAATGATCACTGCTAACTGTGCTGCAAGCCTAGTTGAATTTTTTCCTCTCTTAATCGATTTTATAAAGTTTTCCTGGGGACAGTTGCATGCATGGATCTATTTCTGGGCTCTTTATTCTATTCCATTAATCTGTATGTCTCTCCTTTCTCCAATATCACACTGTGTTGACTACTGTATCTTTACGTAAAATGTAGAAAGTAGAGTGGGTTCAACAACATTATTCTTCTTTTTCAAAATTGTTTTAACTATTCTAGTTCTTTTGCCTTTTGCCTTTTTTTTTTTTTTTTTAATTATTATTATTTGAGACAAGGTCTGGCTCTGTCATCCAGGCTGGAGTGGGGTGGCTCAATCTCGGCTCCCTGCAACCTCCTCCTCCCGGGCTCAAGCCATTCTTCCACCTCACCCTCCCAAGTAGCTAATTGTTTTTTTTTTTTTTTTTGGACGGAGTTTTGCTCTTGTTGCCCAGGCTGGAGTGCAATGCCTCGATCTCAGCTCACCACAACCTCCGCCTCCTGGGTTTAAGCGATTCTCCTGCCTCAGCCTACTGTGTAGGTGGGATTACAGGCATGCGCCACCATGCCCAGCTAATTTTGTATTTTAGTAGAGATGGGGTTTCTCCATGTTGGTCAGGCTGGTCTCAAATTCCCGACCTCGGGTGATCCACTCGCCTCGGCCTCCCAAAGTACTGGGGTTACAGGCATGAGCCGCTGTGCCTGGCCTTTTTTTTTTTTTTTTTTTTTTGAGGCAGAGTCTCACTCTGTCACCCAAGCAGGAATGCAGTGGTGTGTTCTTGGGTCACTGCAGCCTCCGCCTCCCAGGTTCAAGTGGTTTTCATGTCTCAGCCTCCCAAGTAGCTGGGATTACAGGGGGTACCACCACTCTTGGCTAATTTTTGTATTTTTAGTAGAGACAGGGTTTCACCATGTTGGCCAGGCTTGGCCAGGCCAGGCTTGAGCTCAAACTCATGAGCTCAAGAAATCCACCCATCTTGGCCTCGCAAAATGCTGGGATTACAGGTGTGAGCCACCATGCCTGACCCAATATATATTTTATTGATTTATGTATGTATTTATTTTTTGTATAAAACATGTAATTTGTTGGTCTTTGTGTGGAATTAGATGCATCACCACTATACTACAACTGAGCCATTAATTTTGTAGCTTCACCAACATTAACTGGTTTGCTTTCATGACACTGCAGAGGAATCAATTCTTTCTGTAGATGTTCAAGAGAAAGGCCTTTTGAGAAATGTGCAAGTTCCTTTTGTACATTTACAAAAGCTTTATTTACTCTGTT
This sequence comes from Homo sapiens, assembly GCF_000001405.40. Taxonomy (NCBI): domain Eukaryota; kingdom Metazoa; phylum Chordata; class Mammalia; order Primates; family Hominidae; genus Homo; species Homo sapiens. The sequence continues at coordinate 47,731,558 of NC_000002.12, forward strand.
AGCTTTTTCATCATTCATAATGTTTATCTTCTTAAGATTAGTGGTGGTCGGGCATGGTGGCTCACGCCTGTAATCCTAGCACTTTGGGAGGCCAAGGCAGGTGGGTCACCTGAGGTCAGGAGTTCAAGACCAGGCTGGCCAACCTGGTGAAATCCCATCTCTACTAAAAATACAAAAATTAGCCAGGCATTATGGCAGGTGCCTATAATCCCAGCTACAAAGAAGGCTGAGGCAGGAGAATCGCTTGAACCCGGGAGGCAGAGGTTGCGGTGAGCCAAGATTGCGCCATTGCACTCCATACACTCCAGCCTGGGTGACAAGAGTGAAACTCTGTCTCAAAAAAAACAAAAAAAAAAAAAAAAAAAAAAAACAAGATTAGTGGTAACTGGTTTTGCTTTGTTTTTAGCCCCAAAGTTTTTTTTCGCTGGCTATGTGAAATACATTCCTGGATTTCTGCCCTCTTAATTTGTTCTTGGCCCTTGTCAGGAATTTAATACTTGCATGCAGCTTCTTCAGCTCCAGTTGACACCATCTGTTTTTTGGGGTTTTGGTATTTTGTTTTGTTTTTTTCTGAGATGGAGTCTTGCTCTGTCACCCAGGCTGGAGTGCAGTGGCGCTATCTTGGCTCACTACAACCTCTGCCTCCCAGGTTCATGCAATTCTCCTGTCTCAGCCTCCCAAGTAGCTGGGATTACCGCCACACGCCACCACGCCTGGCTATTTTTTTGTATTTTTAGTAGAGATGGGGTTTCACCATGTTAGCCAGGATGGTCTCCATCTCCTGACCTTGTGATACGCCTGCGTCAGCCTCCAAAAGTGCTGGGATTACAGGCATGAGCCACCGCTCCCGGCCTGGCCCAATCTATATTTTAGAATCAGCATACCGACTCCATTTTTCTGTAAGGGACCACAGGCTTACAGGGGCTCCCTGATTAGAATCCACACCAGTGTTCACGATTTATCCAGAGGTAGTTCTAGTATAGGGTGAAGGAAATCAAAATATTTTACCCCAAAATATATTTCTTTGACATATTTTGAAATGGTTGCTTCAGGGCCAGCAAACAGACAGGTCCTTGCAAAGCTATTTTTTTCTGGGGAAAATTTGCATCTGTAGAGAATCTCTACTAATGCAGCCAGGCCTTCCTTTTCTACAAATTTTCCATATCTAAGAGAGATTAACTGAGTCTGACACCTTGAAAGGTCTGAAAAAAGACCTTCGCCATATGTTCATTGCGGCACTATTCACAATAGCAAAGACATGGAATCAACCCAAACGCCCATCAGTGACAGACTGGATAAAGAAAATGTGGTACATATACACCATGGAATACTATGCAACCACAAAAAAAACAAGATCATGTCCTTTGCAGGGACATAGATGGAGCTGGAAGCCATTATCCTCAGCAAATTCTTGCAGGAACTGAAAACCAAACACCATATGTTCTCACTTATAAGTGGGAGCTGAACAGTGAGAACACATGGACACAGGGAGGGGAACAACACACTCTGGGGTCTGTCAAGAGGTGGTGTTGGGGTAGGGAGAGCATTAGGAAAAATAGCTAATGCATGCTGAGCTGAGTAGCTATGTGATGGGTTGATCTGTGCAGCAAACCACGATGGCACACATTTACCTATGTAACAAACCTGCACATCCGGCACATGCATCCTGAAACTTAAAATAAAAATAAAAATTTAAATTAAAAAAAAAAAGGCTTTTACCATCTATCTTCTCTGAGGACTGCTACCTATGAGGCCTCATCTATATAACAAAGCCATCTTTGCAAGCCAGGCCTCTTTCTTTCTCCCTTTCACACCATGTCTTGCTACTAAACATGATTTACCAACGTAAACTGTTTGGGGCCATACTCTTAGCCTGCATTCTTTTTGTAACCTCAAGATGGTATATAAGTTTCTATATCTTATTGTTGGGTTGAGTCTTCATTCCAAAGGCTCCCATGTAAATACATTAAATAAATTTATATGTCTTTCCTTCTATTAATAAATTTGCCTCATGTCAGTAGTTTTTCAGTGAACTTTTAGGGGCCAATGGTCATGACCCCCACAAGGGTGATGGGCAAGTGCACGATTCTAGAACCGGACTGCTCAGTCTCAAATCCTAGCTCTAATTCTTACTAAAACTTGGGAAAGTTACCTGACATCCTTGTGCCTCAATTTCCTGTTCTGTAAAATGGAGAAAATGTAATACCTATTTCATAGGATCTTTGTGAGGACTGCAGTAACGCATGAAAAACAGAACAGAGCCTGGCATGTAGTAAGCCCTTGATAAGTGTCAACTATTATTTGCCTTATCTTTACCTATCTCAGTTTTTGTCCTTCTCTTCTTACCCCTGATAAGTCTGCAACTGTTAAATGGCTGATTTTTCTTTTGAAGACACTTCTTAGGCTTTTAAGTCATTTAATAGTCAGCTTACCACATTGCCATGGCCCTCCTGGAAGATCCATATACAGATGGCCTCCAACTTATGAGGGTTCAACTTACAGTTTTTAGACTTTATAATAATGTGAATTTGATATACATTCAGTAGAAACTGTACTTTTCCCAGGCTAGCCATATGTGGTATGATACTCTCTCAAGATCCTGGGTAGCAGCGATCACGAGGGTAAACAACTGGTACCCTACAGTGTACTGTGTTCCCAGTGTTTGGGGATATTGTGTTTTATGCTTTCACGTCTCATTATGTCTGCAAAATGCCCATTTGTGTCTCCTGCCTCTGGTGAGAAGAGGAAGGCAATTACCCTTGAGATGGAACTCAAGATCTTAATTCCTCAGCATGAAGGTGGTAAGGAAGTAATGGCCATCTCAGGCAAGTTAGGACTTTCACATTCCATAATTTCCACCTTCTTAAAGGAAAGAAGTGCATAAGTGATGTAGTGAAATGATCAGCCTTGGTTAAATCCACTGTCATCACAAAGAAAAGAGGTGAGCTGACTGATGATATGGAAAAATTACTTGTCATGTGAATGGAAGACCAGATACAGAAGCACATGCCACTTCGCCTTCTGATGATCCAGGCTAAGGCAAGAAGACTTTTCAATACTTTAAAAGAACGTGCTGATGATCCGTTGGATATGTAAAAGTTTATAGCAAGTCATGGGTAGTTCCAACACTTCAAAAGTTGTCATCATTTTCATAATGCAGAGGTCAGCAGTGAGGCCACAATTGCAGATACTAAATGTGCCAAAGCTTTTAAAGAAGAGCTGTGTAAGATAATTGTAAATAAGAAATACTTGTGAGAGCAAATATTTAATGCCAATGAAACAAGCTTATTCTGGAAGCGTATCCTAGAGCATCCATACATTCATCAAGAGTACAGGAAGATGCCAGGATTCAAGGCATTCAAAGACCTTATAATGCTGTTTTTGGGTGGAAATGTTGCATGGTTCAAATTCTCCACTTGGAGAACCCTAGAGCATTCAAGAATGTGAATAAGCATATACTTAGTTCCTTTTTATTACTGCCATAACAAGAAAGCCTGGATTACAAGCCTTGAAAACAAGTCAGCACTGTTTTCAGACTACTTTTTGAACTGTGTTACGCTATTGACAAGAGGATATTGTAGGCAAAACAGCATCTGATTCAAGATTCTTCTGATCTTAGACAATGTTCCAGGGTACCCACACCATATCATCAACACGCATCCTGATGTAAAGGTTGTGTATTGTCACTGAACACAATTACACTCATTCAGTCAAAGAACCAAGGTGCAATAGCTGCATTCAAAGCATACTATTTATGCCAAACGTTCACATAGGCTGTTGAAGCAGTGGAATCTGGCCAGACTCTCCAAGAGTTTTGGAAAGGTTTTAACATTCTAAATACTATCTGGAACATTGCTTCAGCTTGGGAAGAAGTCACACAGCAATGCATGAACGGCATTTGGAAGAAAGTTTAAAAGACATATGTTGAACACATTCAAAGGCTTTAACAAAAATTCTGCTGTTGATGAAATAGTAAGTAACAAGATATTAGTGCTTGGGAAACAGCTAGAATTAGACATCAATAAAGAGGATATTCATGAGCTTGTTGGCACTGAGGCTGAAGAGCTTTCTAATGAGGAACTGATCAAACTGGGGGAAGAAATAAGTGAAGAAGCTGAGGCAGAAGAAGAAGAAGTTATACCTGAGGCACCAAGAACATTCACAGCAAAGAAACTGGAGGAGGCGTTTGCTACTATCAGCAGTGGGGTATAAACCTTAGAAGAAATGGATATCACTGGATCCATTTTCCACACAATCTTTACTGAAGATTTGTAAGAACTGACAGGGAGTTACAACATGCTCTAGCTTGCTATACAGAAATACGTAATGAAAAGAAGAAACAAACTTTACAGTCAAAACTTAGTATCTTCCTGAAGAACAGGATGCCTGCTAAACCAACAATAAGTGTCCATGCCTCAGTGCCTTCTGCCAGCTATTCTCAACCCTCATCAGAAGAGAGAGAAATTTATCACCTTGTCACTGTAGCATCCCTATCATCCAGCAATTAATTTTAGTTCAATGCTTCAAACATTCTTCAAGCCCAATGTGCTTTCAGTTATGCACATTAATGGTGAGGACCCATACAAGGATTCTGTCTTTCACTTTCAGTACAGTGTTCATAAATTACATGAGCTAGGCCAGGTGCAGTGGCTCACACCTGTAATCTCAGCACTTTGAGAGGCCGTGGCGGGTGATCACTTGAGGCCAGGAGTTCGAGACTAGCCTGGCCAACATGGGGAAAACCTATCTCTACTAAAAATACAAAAATAAGCTGGGCATAATGGTGTGTTCCTGTAATCCCAGCTACTTGGGAGGCTGAGGCAGGAGAATCATTTGAACCTAGGAGGCAGAGGTTGCAGTGAATCGAGATCGCGCCACTGCACTCCAGCCTGGGCAACAGAGTGAGACTCCGTCTTAACAAAAAAATAAAAAATAAAAAATTACAGGAGATATTCACACTTTATTATAAAATAGGCTTTGCATTTCATGATATTGGCCAACTATAGGATAATATCTGAGCACAGTTAAGGCAAGCAGGCTAAGCTATGATGTTTGGTAGTTTAGGTGAATTAAATGCGTTTTTTACTTATGATGGATTTATCAGGACATAACTTCATTGTAAGTCAAGGAGCATCTCTATAGATTTTTTTTTCGCCTTAGTTATTCATTCTCAATAATTACATATTACAGAAAATCTGCTTTGTGAGTTATACAATTTGGCTGGTAGTGAAAGGTGACCAGCTGAGTTCTGATTACCGTGTCCCACACCACCACACTAAAGGCCAGGGTACATGTATGACCCCAGAATTGTCTGACAAGCAAGGCCTGTGCTTCTCCTCTTGGATTCATTCCATTCTTCCTCCATTCGCTTGGGATATCCCCAATGGAGGGGACTTGATCTGTCTGGTTTCATCAGGAAATCCTCAATATTGGAAACTCCTTCTTTCATAGGACCAGGAGTTGTCCAAGAGTAAGGTCTCAGTGCTTCAAATCCATCAGAGATTTCCCAGAGAGGTATTTCTATCTGTCCACTGGAATGGGATCATTGAAGAGTGGGGGCTATGTCTACTCCGAGGCTGAATACTTTTTTTCTAAATACTTTAATATTTTTACCACTGTCAACAGAAAACAATCAAGAGGCTCAGACTCTAATCTAAAGAGAGTTTATTCAAGCACAAAGTGTAAGGACTGCTGCCTGGGAAGCACAGATTCCAAAGAATGAAAGAAAGTCAGTGTTCTGAAGTGTAGAAGGTTGGAATTGTTTACATAGATAAAGTTTAGGGAAACTTAACAGAATTTCAACATCTTTCTGTTTTTGTTTTGTTTTGTTTAGAAACACCCTGTTGCCCAGGCTGGAGTGCAGTGATGCAATCATAGCTCACAATGGCCTCGAACTCCTGGGCTCAAGCCATCCTCCCGTGTCAGACTCCCAAGTAGCTGGGATTACAGGTATGCACCACCATGCTTGGCTTCAACATCTTTCTATATAAGGCTTAATGCGTAGTTACAATGATTCTATTAGCCAAGGGGGACTTTTCCTTTTGGGAAAGGTATTGTTAACATCCCACAGTGAAGATGTAAATCATGGGGTATTTTGCACCATCTGGTCTCAGTGATGTACAGGACAATGAAAGAGGCAGTAACTCTGCAACATTTTGTGATTTGTGATTGGAAGTGGAGAGGTCTAGTCTCTGATCTCTCCTAGTCATTTACAGAATAAGAACAATGAGGAAGAGAGTTAATCTATAATCTAAGAAACAGAATGGTAATCATGCTATGTGACTCAGTCTCCAGGGCTTATGGCAAAATAAATTTAGGTGGCCCTGAAACTTTATTTTCTTTTACACCATCATAGTTCTAAAATGGATTGCTTTTCCCTGACTTCTTTTTTTTTTTTTTTTGAAATGGAGTTTCACTCTTTCACCCAGGCTAGAGTGCAGTCGCGCGATCTTGATTCACTGCAACCTACATCCCCTGGGTTCAAGCAATTCTCCTGCCTCAGCCTCCTGAGTAGCTGGGATTATAGGTGCCCACCAACACACCCAGCTAATTTTTGTATTTTTAGTAGAGATGGGGTTTTGCCATGTTGGCCAGGCTGGTCTCAAACTCCTGACCTCAAGTGATCCACCCACGTCGGCCTCCCAAAGTGCTGGGATTACAGGCATAAGCCACCACGTCCAAACTTTCCTGCCTTCTTGAAAAGAATTCACTGAGTATCATTTAACCTTTCTTTGATAATTGAAAGCTATAGTCATACATACCAATGGCTGTAGGGTGATGTCGTGATTGGGGCCATGTAAAGCATGCAGGTTGTTTATGCTGAAGGCAACCAAAAATATGCCACCCCAAAATATACTTCTTTGGCATATTTTGAGATGGCTATTCTGAGGGGCTGCAAACACGAGAATAGTCCTGAAAAACTGTCTTTTGTGGGGGAGACTTGCATCTGTAGAGGAAATCAACGTTAGTGGAGTGAAGTAAACAGCAGATGCGAACAGGCTTTCTCTGAAGCCCCCTTATCCGAATTTAGGAAAGGCTGACTCACAGGAAAAGGAGAGCAAAGGTCTGGCAGACACCTTACCCCAGGCTGCCACCTATTTTTTCTGAGAGCTGCTACCTTTTGGGGTTTTATCTGCATAAAAAGACAGCCTTTCCCTGCCTTGCTTTCCTCCCTTCATTGTTCCATAACCCATGAGGCTACCTCCATCCCAAGAGTCCCCAAACCCCTATCATTTCTGTAATCTCTGAATGGTATTAAAACTTCAGCCATCTGACCCCTCCTTTGAGTCTCATACTGTGTGTATAGCTCCTATGATCATATGCACATTAAGTTTGTATACCTTTTTCTCCTATTGGTCTATCTTTTGTTATAGAGGTATCCCAGCTAAGAAGTTATTAGGATTGAGAAAATAAATTATATTTTTTCTCCCTTTCAATACCCTGCTGTAAGCTGAAAATAAATTTCTTTTTTCTTTTTTCTTTCTTTTTTTTTTTTTTTTAAGACGGAGTCTCGTTCTGTCACCCAGGCAAGAGCGCAATGGCACAATCTTGGCTCATTGCAACCTCCACATCCCAGGTTCAAGCGATTCTTGTGCCTTAGCTTCCTGAGTAGCTGGGATTACAGACATGCACCACCACGCCTGGCTAATTTTTGTATTTTTAGCAGAGACGAGGTTTCACCATGTTGGCTGGGCTGGTCTCAAACTCCTGACCTCAAGTGATCCACTGCCTTGGCCTCCCAAAATGCTGGGATTACAGGTGTGAACCACTGTGCCCGGCCTGACATATTTTTAAATGGCCTTGCAAAGCTGTCTCCTGTGGAGAAAATCTATATTCTGTAGAGAACCCCCTCTCCTTTGCAAGTTTTTTCCTGATCCAGGAAAGAATTAACTAAGAGTCTGGCACATCTTAAGGCCTCATAAAAGACATTTACTATCTATTCTACAAATAAGAACTTTGGTCTCCACAACCCGTTAGGCCAGGTTGCACTGTGTTAGCGCATTCTTGCATTGCTATAAAGAAATACCTGGCCAGGCACAGTGATTCATGCCTGTAATCCCAGCACTTTGGGAGGCCAAAGCAGGTGGATCACTTGAGGTCAGGAGTTCGAGACCAGCCTGGCCAACATGGTGAGACCCCGTCTCTATTAAAAATACAAAAGTTAGCTGGGCATGGTGGCAGGTGCCTGTAATCCCAGCTACTTGGGAGGCTGAAGCATGAGAATCACTTGAACCCAGGAGGTGGAGGTTGCAGTGAGCCGAGATTGTGCCACTGCACTCCAGCCTGGGCGACATGGCAAGACTCTGTCTCAAAAAATAAATAAATAAATAAATAAATAAATAAATAAATACCTGAGACTGGGTAATTTTTATATATATAAAAAAGAGGTTTAATTTGCTCATGGTTCTGTAGGCTGTACAAGCATGGCACCAACATCTGCTGAGCTTCTAGGGAGGCCTTGGGGAGCTTTTACTCATGACAGAAGGCAAAGCAGGAGCAGGCATGTCACATGGCAAGAGAGGGAGCAAGAGCCGGGGGGAGGGGCGTGATGCCATACACTTTTAAACAACCAGGTCTCATGAGAAGTCACTCACTATCGTGAAGACAGCACCAAGCCATGAGGGATCCACCCCCAAGACCCAAATGCCTCCCACCAGGCCCGACTTCCAACATTGGTGATTATATCTCAACCTGAGATTTTGGGGGACAAATATCCAAACTATTTCAACCCCTTATCTTAACCCAGACACTCCTTTCTATTGATTGCAGGTCTTTAAATAATAACCCTTTCAACCAATTGCCAATCAGAAAATCTCTGAATTTATCTATGACTTGTGAGCCACAGGTTCATGCTCTACCACCTTTCTGAATCAAACCAATGCATAACTTACATGCATTGATTGATATCTTATGTCTCCCTGAAACATATAAAACCAAGTTATAATCCAATCATCATGGGCACATGTTCTCAGAACCTCTTGAGACTGTGCCTTGGGCCTTGGTCACTCATGTTTGGCTCAGAATAAACCTCTTTAAATATTTTACAGAGTTTGACTCTCTTTGTCGACACTGCCCTAATGTCTTGAAGGAAACCAAAATATTCCAGTCCAAAATACACTTCTTTGGCATATTTCCTTTTTTTTTTTTTTTTTTGAGGTGGAGTTTCACTCTTGTTGCCCAGGCTGGAGTGCAATGGTGCCATCCCGGCTCACTGCAACCTCCGCCTCCTGGGTTCAAGCGATTCTCCTGCCTCAGCCTCCTGAGTAGCTGGGATTACAGGTGCCCACCGCCACGCCCAGCTGAATTTTTTCATTTTTAGTAGAGAGGGGGTTTCACCAGGTTGGCCAGGCTGGTCTCGAACTCCTGACCTCAGGTGATCCGCCTGCCTCGGCCTCCCAAAGTACTGGGATTACAGGCGTAAGCACCGCACCTGGCCCTCTTTGGCATATTTCAAGATGGCTATTCAGAAGGGCGGAAATACACAAAGAGCTTAAAAGCCATCTCCTTATGAGAAAGATTTGCATCTGCAGCAAGAATCTGCATTGATGCCACCAGGCTGTTTCTGAAGCCCTCCCCTATCTGGATCTGGGCAAGATTAGAAAGTCTGACACCTTAAAAGTCTGAAAGAAACATCTACCTTCTATTCTTTCTGAGGGCTGCTACCTGTAAGGTTTCATCTGCATAACATGTTCTCCCTATCCCAGAACGTGTTTTGCCACAATCCAAGGTGGCATTCCTTCTGTAACCTCAAGATGGTACACAAGCTTCTGAACCCCATGAAAGGGTGGGAGTAATCACTCTGTGGTTCTCCTTGTGCACATTAATAAATCTGTACGTCATTTCTTCTGAGAAAAGAAAAACAGCTGACAGAAGTCTGAGCTGTGTGAGATATGCAGGTCCAGAGAGACACGAGTATGGGACTTCAGTCACACCTCACCACATGCATCCATGTCTGAGGGCAATTGCTTAAAGTCATTTTGTTCCTGATTAGCTGCCTCATCCATTATCTTCATGTCCCTGGACAAAGAACAATGGATAGCCAATCAATAGCTTATGTTATTTAAATGTAAATTCTTGGTAAAGAATTTAGGAACTGCCTCTTCTTTTCCTTTAAAAATCAACTCGTATCTGTTGCTAATCAGAGGGCAACTTGAATCTATGCTCCCAGGTTGGAGTCCTCAAGCTTGGCCCAAATAAACTCTACTTACATTATGTTGGCCTCAGCTTCTTCCTTTTAGGTTGACTAATCTGGTGAAATTGGCAGGATTCAAAGTAACTCCCCTCAACCACCCTGTGTTTCTCTCTGAAAGTGATACTGGGTACCAGCATGAACATTCCCTCCAGTGTCCCATCTGATGTTTTGGGTGAGTTCTCCTGAATTAGAACCTCCCACTCTTTGATTGAAGGTCCAAACGTTGTTTGAACTATTTTTCAAACCCTCTCTGTCCTGGGGAGAGCTTCGGGCTTTGCCTTTGAACAGGACCTTTGAGTAAAAAGCTCTTCAGGGAACTACCTTTTTTCTCCCTCTGCCTTGGGATCAGGGGTTCTGGTCAAAGTTTTTCTACCCCTGTGACACAGCAGAATTTTTGATCAAAAGATTGACAGTTAGGTACTGGTGGTTTCATTTTGTTGGGGCTCAGAAACCAATACCCCAAAAGATAGCATTTTGACAGATTGAAATTGAGAAGCCTCAAGGTCTCTCTGACCTCTCCCTCCCACCACTGTCTCCCCTGTAGAGGCTGAAGTTCCTTTATCTGCTTAAGATCCAGACCCACCAAGGAGAACGATTGTTTTTTGCTTCCCCTCCCTGTTTTCTCATTATCTATTGCAGAAAATAAGACCAAGGCGTAAACACACCTGAACAGACCCGTTTTAATGACAGTTTCCAAGGATCATTTAAATTTCAAAGCGAACTATTTACAAGTTCATCTCTGTTGCCAGATCCATTCATTCTCCCTAATAATCCCCTCAACAGAATTCTTCTTCTCCCCACCTCCATAACCTGTTTTGCCAGGATCGAAGTCCCCATTCTTTCTGTAACCTCAAGATGGCATATAACCTTCCATTTGTGGAGAGTTCTTAGCATGAGAGAGAGAGAGAAAAATAAGATGGTATCTGAGCTTCTGTACTCATTAGGAGGTTGGGTCTTCATGCTGAAGGCTCCTGTGTATACACGTCAAACAAATCTGTATGGCTTTTCTCCTATTAATCAATCTGCCTTATGTCAGTGATTTTTCAGCAAACCTTTAGGGGACCAAGGGCTTTGGCCCCCATAGTTTCATAGAGCATGCTTTTAAGATTGCAGCTCAGCCAGGCACGGTGCCTCACATCTGAAATCCCAGCACTTTGGGAGGCCAAAGTGGGAGGATTGCTTAATCCCAGGAGTTCGGGGCTGCAGTGAGCTGTGATCACGCCACTATGCTCCAACCTGGCCAACAGAGCACGACCTTGTCTCAAAAAAAAGAAAAAAAAAAAAGGTGGCTGCTGTTTTCCATCACTTGAAAATGTGGACTTAGCCTTTCATTTGTGACCAGTTCCTGTTAGTTCCTAACTGAAACGTGTACCCCCTTTTTGCTCTTCTGGACACGTATAACACGTCTGGTTTCCCATGCCTTGATCACTGTGCTGCCACATGGTAGTTAGAGACAGTGTGAGACATGTCACACTTTGACCTTAAACACATTCCCCCATTGGCCACTTTTGAAAAGTTCTTAAATTATGGGAAATCAGCTTCAAAATCTAAGCACTCTTTTTAGAAATACCAGCTGGATTTACGTATAACCCTTACAGGTGTCTTCTTGTAAATATCTAGGAAAAGTGGGCTCGCTTAACCTGGGACACTCAAAAGCAGCAGAAGCCAAAGTAGGGATCTTCTGAAATGTCTGAAATAATTCAGCTGGGTGCCATGGCTCACACTTGTAATATCGGCATTTTGGGAGGCCGAGGTGAGAGGACCACTTGAGCCCAGGAATTTGAGACCATCCTGGGCAACATAGTGAGACCTTTTCTCTACAAAAAATAAAAAAATAAGTGGGAGGATCACTTGAGCCCCACAGGTCGAGGCTGCAATAAGCCGTGATCACACCACTGCACTCCCGCCTGGGTTGACAGAGTGAGACCTTTCCTCAAAAAATAATAATAATAACAATAATTCATTTGCATTCACAACTAGAAAAAAAGCTGGTTTTAAAACCAGACACACTGAATGGGAGACCTAATTTATGTTTTTCCTGGCTGAAATCTGATAATAAGAGATTCAAAAAGATTCTTTTTGAGAGTTCTATGGGAAGAAGTCATCTTCACTAAAAGTTGATATTTAGTACTGGGAGCAGTGGTTCACTGCTACAATCCCAACACTTGGCGAAGAATTGATAGCGGCAGGAGGCAGGCCAATGTCTAGGCAGATGGAGGTGGGGTCCCCTGTGAAACCCCATCTTCAATCCAAAGAGTTTAAAGCCTGAAAGCCAAGCTACAAGTCAAGTCTACAGACTGGGTTGGGAATCTCTCTTCCCATTTGGTGCACTTTCCTCTGTTTGATCCTCACCGTTCACCTATTTTACATATCCTACCCTTCCCTAATTGTTTTTTTTACACTGTCTTCCCCACCTTTGAGTGGTGTCTTTCTTTTGGGTCTTTTGCATACTCACAAACCAGTCACCACACACAAACCACACACCACACACAAACCACACACCACACACAAGAACCTGGGACCCACCAAACAGTAGGGGATGAAAGGAGCTGTAAGCTGTAGCCCTCCCATCCTTTGCCAGTGCCAGGCAGCTGCCCCACATGATGGGAAGCGGCTTGCAGAGCCAAGCCAGCTGGGAGCCATGGGCTGGAGTGGGGTGGTGGGAAGAAATAAGCAGAGGCCCTGACAGCCACAGAAGTTTCCAGCTGGCAAAGTGAGGCTGAGAAAAATCCTGCATCAGAAAGAATGAGGCAGGAGGATTACTTGAGGCCAGGAGTTCAAGACCAGCCTAGGCAACATAGCAAACCCCGTCTCTACAAAAAATGTTAAAAAAAAAAAAAATATATATATATATATATATATATATATATATATATATATATATATATATATATATATATATATAGTCAGGCATGGTGGCACAGACCTGTAGTCCTAGCTACCCAGGGGGCTGTGTTAGGAGGATCGTTGAGCCCAGGAGTTCAAGGTTTCAATGAGCTGGAGATCGTTGAGCCCAGGAGTTCAAGGTTTCAATGAGCTGGATTATGCCACTGCTTTCAGTCTGGGTGACAGAGCAAGACCTTGTCTCAAAAAAAAAAAAAAAAAAAAAAAAAAAGCTGATATTTAGGCTATAATTTTTTTGAGAATAAAATATTTCTTCTTTTTCCTTTTTTGGATTCTGTTTCTGGGATTTTTCTCAGTCAGCTAAAGCCCCTTTTTAAATGTGTTTGATCCCACTGTTTGCTTCCTATCTTATTGGCATGATTTTTGCTGAGAAAAATGTAAAACTTCATTGGCCTTTTTGAAAGCGGAAAATCTTCCCAAATTGGCTCCTCTAAGACTTGTTCTTCTATTTTCTTCCACATCTGCTTCTCCTTCCTTTTGTCATTTTCAATACCACATGAAGCTTAGAAGAGACTTCTAATGACCCTGAGACCCCTTGAAGAACACAGAACACAGCACCACTCACCTGCTTTTTGGAGTTTCTGTTTTCCTTATGGAGTCTGAAGTGTTGTGGGCAATTTCTTTCAGGTCTAAAGCTCTATTCCTTTTTGCATTGTATCGCCTAATCTCTTTGGTTTTAGTGGGTTCCATGAGTTGCTTTGTGCTGTGAGCGGGAACCTGACGTTTGTGTGTGCACTGGTTGACAAGTCACTGGTGAAGGCTGCAGTTTTGGAAATGGCTGACAGGGGATACAATGAATGGTTGCTACTGCAGGCAGGGCACACTTTTCTTTGTGCATTTAGATGAGAAAGGCATCATTTGAACACTTCAAAGGTGTAAGACTGCTCATCATTGAGGGATAAGACTCCCATGGGGGATAGGCTAGAATGGGTTTATTGGGTCACCCACCGCATGGCTGGTCTCATGGCATTTCCAACTTTTGGGGACCCAGGATGCAGTAAAAATGGGACCCTTGATTTTTAAAAATTTCGATGCCCTGCCTTCCAGTTGTGCCTGCTTTTCACATTTAAATATTTGACCCTGAAGACTACAAATGCTTCCCTTGCCCTATTCACTAAAGGGTTCCACCCTAAAGTCAGTAATCTAATTAAGCAGAAACAAGCTAAATTGAAAAGACCACCTATCTAACTAGATTGGTATTTAAAATAAGACCTGTGGCATTTAGCTGGCTATTTTGTAACACTTTGTAAAATAAATATCTGTAAAGGAAATCTCAATTTTTAAGAGCATCGTCCTACACTCAAGCCACAAGAAAACTTTTATAATGGGAAAGATATTGCTTAAAGTTTACACAACAGGCTGGGCATGGTGGCTCACGCCTGTAATTCCAGCATTTTGGGAGGCCAAAGTGGCCAGATCACTAGAGGTCAGGAGTTTGGGACCAACCTGGCCAACATGGTGAAACCTCATCTCCACTAAAAATTAGCCAGGTGTGGTAGCCTGTAATTGCAGCTCCTCTGCAGGCTGACGCAGGAAAATCATGTGAACCCAGGAGACGGAGGTTGCAGTGAGCGGAGATTGTGCCACTGCATTCCAGCCTGGGTGACAGAGCAAAACTCCATCTCAAAAAAAAAAAAAAAAAAAAAAAAAAAGAAGACTTTTCCAAAAGGAACACCTGTAAGTCCAAGAGAGCCATGTTAGGCTTATCTGGTATGTTAAAAGTGTACAGGAAACACTGTCAAGTAAGAAATATTTGTATAACTATGTTATTGATATGTTAATATACTTTGGATCAGTGTCCCCAACAAATCTCATGTTAAATTGTAATCCCCAGTATTGGAGATGGAGCCTGGTGGGAGGTGATTTGATCATGGGGGCGGAGTTCTCATGAATGGGTTAGCACCATCCCGTTGGAACTATTCCTGTGATAGTGAGTGAGTTATCATCAGATCTGGTTGTTAAAAGTTTGTAGCAACCCCCACCCTTCCTACTCCAGCCATGCAAGATGTGCCTGCTTCCCCTTCACCTTCCACCATGATTGTAAGTTTCCTGAGGCCTCTGAAGAAGCAGAAGTTGCTATGCTTCCTGCACAGCCTGCAGAACCATGAGCCAATTAAACCTCTTTTCTTTATAAATTACCTAGTCTCAGGTATTTCTTTATAGCCCATAATGGACTAATTGGTACTGAGGAGTAGGTCATTGCTATAAAGACACCTGAAAATGCAGAAGCAGCTTTGGAACTGGGTAACAAACAGGGGTTGGAACAGTTTTGAGGGCTCAGAAGAAGACAGGAAGATGAGGGAAAATTTGGAACTTCCTAGAGACTTGTTAAATTGTTGTGACCAAAATGCTTATAGTGATATGGACAATGAAGTCCAGGCTTAGGAGGTCTCAGATGGAAATGAGGAACTTTTTGGTAACTGGAGCAAAGGTCACTTTTGTTATGCCTTAGCAAAGAACTTGGAGGCATTGTGCCCCTGCCCTAGGGATCTATGGAACTTTGAACTTGAGAATGATGACTTAGGGTATCTGGTGAAAAAAATTTATAAGCAGCAAAGTGTTCAAGAGGTAGCCTGGCTGCTTCTAACCACTGATTCCCATATGCATGAGTAAAGAAATGATGTAAACCTGAAACTTATATTGAAAAGGGAAGCAGGATGGGCACAGTGGCTCATGCGTGTAATCCTAGAATTTTGGGAGGCCAAGGCAGACAGATCACTTGAGCCCAGGAGTTCAAGACTAGCCTGGGCAACATGGACAAACCCTGTCTCTATAAAATAAATAAATAAATAAGTAGCCAGGTGTGGTGGCACACGCCTATAGTCTCTGCCACTCAGAAGGCTGAGCCCAGGAGGTCAAGGCTGTGCAAGGCAATGATTGTGCCACTGCACTCTAGCCTGAGTGACAGAGACCCTGTCTCAAAACTAAATAAATAAAAAGTAAAAGGGAAGCAAAGCATAAAAGCTTGAAAAATTTGGAGCCTGGCCATGTGGTAGAAAAGAAAAGCCCACTGGCCAGGTGTGGTGGCTCACGCCTGTAATCCCAGCACTTTGGGAGGCCAAGGCAGGGAGATCATGAGGTCAGGAGTTCGAGACCAGCCTGGCCAACATGATGAAACCCCGTCTCTACTAAAAATACAAAAATTAGCTGGGTGTGGTGGCACATGCCTATAATCCCAGCTCCTCAAGAGGCTGAGGCAGGAGAATCATTTGAACCGAGGAGGTGAAGATTGCAGTGAGCCAAGGTCGTGCCATTGCACTCCAGCCTGGGTGACAGTGAGAGACTCCAACTCAAAAAAAAAGAAAAGAAAAGAAAAGGAAAGAAAAGCCCACCTTCGGGGAGCAATTAAAGCCAGCTGCATAAATTTTGCGTAACTAAAAAGAAGGTAAATGCTAATAGTGAAGACAATGGGGAAAGGGCCTTGAAGACATTTCACAGACATTCACCACAGCCCTTTTCATCAGAGGTCTGGAGACTTAGAAGGGAAGAATGGTTTCCTGGGCCAGGCCCAGGGCCCCATCACTCTGCACAGCCTCAGGACACAGCTCCCTGCATCCCAACCACTCCAGTTCCAGCCTTGGCTCAAAAGGTCCCAGGTACAGCGTGGGTTACTACTTCAGAGAGTGCAAGCCAGAAGCCTTGGTGGTTTCCACAGAGTGTTAAGCATCCAGGTGTGCAGAGTGCAAGAGCTGAGGCTTGGGAGCCTCTGCCTAGATTTCAGAGGATGTATGGAAAAGACTGGATGTCCACTCAGAAGCCTGCCACAGGGGTGGAGCCCTCATGGAGAACCACTTCTGGGGCAGTGCGGTGGGGAAATATGGGGGTTAGAGCTCCCTCACAGAGCCCCCATTGGGCACTTCCCTGTAGAGCTGTGAGAAGAGGACCAATATCCTCCAGACCCCAGAATGGTAGATCCACTGACAGCTTGCACCCTGCACTTGGAAAAGCTGCAGGCACTCAACATCAGCCCTTGAGAGCAGCCCTGGAAAGCCACAGAAGCAGGACTGCCCAAGGCTTTGGAATACCACCCCTTGCAACAGTATGCCCTGAATGTGCGACATGGAGTCAACAGAGATTATTTTGGAGCTTTAAGATTTAATGACCACCCTGCTGGATTTCAAACTTGCATGAGGCCTGTAGCCCCTTTCTTTTGACCCATTTCTCCCTTTTGGAATGGGAGCATTTATCCAATGCCTGTACCCTCATGGTATCTTGGAAGTAACTAACTTGTTTTTGATTTTATAGGCTCATAGGCAGAAGGGACTTGTCTTGTCTCAGATGAGATTTTAGACTTTGGTCTTTTGACCTAATGCTGGAATAAGTTAAGACTTTGGGGGACTGTTGGGATTACAGGTGCACACCACCACTCCCAGCTAATTTTTTTTTTTTTTTGTATTTTTAGTAGAGATGAAGTTTCACCATGTTGGCCAGGCTGGTCTTTAACTCCTGACCTCAAGTGATCCACCCGCCTCTGCCTCCCAAAGTGCTGGGATTACAGGCGTGAGCCACCATGCCCAGCCATGAACACAAGTTTCTGATAACTTTGGAGATCATATCATTGGATTAAGTTAAAACTTTCAGAATTCTAATAAACTGATGCATCATTCATGAATATTGCTAACCCAACATCAAGCAGAACAGGAATCAATTATATGGAACTGATCTGATAAAGGGATAAAATGGCTTTTATGACTTTTTATTTGAAACACTGCTGATTGCTTTTATATTTTGTTCTGCAGAATCAATAAAACTTTTGTCTTTTGAGTAATTTATAGCTTATAGACATAGAGTAAAAGATACATTTATTAGCAAAATGGAAACATTTACCTGTCTCTCTCTACCTGATTTCTCCAAAGTTTAAAAATTATTCATGAGTATTCTTATTTTATGGCAATCTAGTTATTAGCATAAGTTTAATAAGAATCTATTCTTCTTGTAAAAAAAAAAAAGAATCTGTTCTTCTTGTAACAAAGCACAGTTGGAGACACTGGTTGTTTTATTAAGGGTTTGACTGAAATATCACATTTTCAGATATGACCAGACAGCTTTAAGGAACTAGGATTGACATTAGGAAGCCAATAAACACCCTTGGAAAAACTGGCCCCATACTTTAAATTTACAGTTCACATGGTTGCCTTGAAGTAAATAAAGAATGTCACTTTCTTTTTCTGATTATTATTTTTTTGAAACAGGATCTCATTCTATCACCCAGGCTGGAGTGCAGTGGCACTCCATCATAGCTCACTGCAGCTTTGAACTCCTAGGCTCAAGCGATCCTCCCATCTTAACCTCCCAAGTACCTGGGACTACAGGCATGCACCACCATGCCCAACTAATTAAAAAAAAAATTTTTTTTTGTAGAGAAGAGGTCTCACTATGTTGCTCAGGCTGGTCTTGAACTCCTAGGCTGAAGCAATCCACGCACATTGGCCTCCCAAAATCTTGGGATTACAGGCATGAGCCACCACACCTGGCCAAGAATGTCACTTTCTGAGAGGCTCAGGAACCTCAGGATATTATGGACACCTGGAGAAAAGAGGAAATCACCCAATTTGTACATATATTACAGGTTCAGTCTAATGGTGAATCCTTGGCTTGGCTTCAAAGTCTTGAAGCTTTTAAAAGTCTAATTTGAAATTCCTTATGAAAGTTCTAGCAGGCTGGGTGCAATGGCTCATGCTTGTAATTGCAGCATTTTGGGAGGTCAAGGCAGGAGGAATGCTTGAGCTCAGAAGTTCAAGATCAGCCTGGGAAACATGGTAAAACCCTGTCTCTACAAAAAATACAAAAATTAGCTGGGCATGTTGGTGCATGCCTGTAATCTCAGCTACTCAGAAGGTTGAGGTGATAGGATCGCCTGAGCTCGGGAGGTTGAGGCTAGAGTGAGCTGAGATCATGCCACTGCACTCCAGCCTTGGCAACACGGTGAGACCCTATCGTAAGGTAAAAAAAGGTAAGGTAAGGTAAGGTAAGGTAAGTTAGTTCCAGCAAAGCCAACTTAAAAGAGCCTGTATGGCCATTACTATTCTTGTTGTACCTTATCAGGCAACATATAATACTAAAACTTGCTTTTGAGGCAGAGTCTTGCTCTGTCACCCAGGCTGCAGTGCAGTGGCACGATCTCGGCTCACTGCAACCTCTGCCTCCTGGGTTCAAGTGATTCTCGTGCTTCAACCTCCCAAGGAGCTGGGACTACAGGTGCACGTCACCACATCCAGCTAATTTTCGTATCTTTAGCAGAGACAGGGTTTTGCCATGTTGGCCAGGCTGGTTTTGAACTCCTGACCTCAGATGATCTGCCCACCTTGGCCTCCCAAAATGCTGAAATTACAGGCATGAGCCACAGAACCTGGTCTGAGACAACTGTTTAAAGTCATTTTGTTCCTGACTAGCTGCCCTATCCATTATCTTCATGTTCCTGGACAAAGAACAATGGATAGCCAAACAATAGCTTATGTTATTTTAATGTAAATTCTTGGTAAAGAATTTAGGACCTGCCTCTTCTTTTCCTTTAGAAACATACTTGTAACTGTTGCTAATCAGAGTGTATATTCAAGGCAACTTGAATATATGTTCCCAGGTTTCAATCCTTAAGCTTGGCTCAATTAAACTCTCTATTTATATTAATTTTGCCTTGGAGCCTGGCAGGGTGGCTCATGCCTGTAATCCCAGCACTTTGGGAGGCCACGATGTGGGGCATCACCTGAGATCAGGAGTTTGAGACCAGCCTGGCCAACATGGTGAAACCCCATCTCTACTAAAAATACAAAAATTAGCTGGGCGTGGTGGCAGCTGCCTGTAATCCCAGCTACTCTGGAAGCTGAGGCAGGAGAATCACTTGATCCTGGGAGGTGGAGGTTACAGTGAGCCAAGATCTTGCCATTGCACTCCAGCCTGGGTGACAGAGTGAGAATTTGCCTCAAAATAAACAAACAGTGAACTCCGCCTCAAAATAAACAAACAAAAATAATAATTTTGCCTCAGGTTCCTCTTTTTAGGTTGACATATCTGTTAATCTACCTTTTGTGAGTTGACTTGTCAGAAGGGGACGGGGAAGTTTTTTTTGGCCCACATGTGGCGAATGTGTTACTGGTGGGTCAGCAGCAACCTCAATTCCTGCCTCCTCAGAAGAAAGAATTTGAGTGAGGGGCGTAAGGCAGGTTTATGAGCAGGAGTGAAGGCAAGTTTTAGAGCAGGAGTGAAAGTTTGTTTAAAAAGCTTTAGAGGAGGAATGAAAGGAAGTCAAGTCCACTTAGAAGAGGCCCAAGCGGGTGACTTGAGAGATCAGTGTGCAGTTTGACCTTATGGCTAGGGGTTTTATACATTGGCACACTTCCAGGGTCTCGTTAATTCTCCCTGTTTCTCGTTGGGGTGGGCCGTCTGCATGTACATGCCTGAGGCCACTTGCCCAACTCCTGAGATCTTATCAGGAAGCTGCCGATCACCTGTTTCGGTGTTTTCTATCTATTAGGAGACTGTGCTTCCCTGGCGCTGGCTGTGACCAATTATTATTTTAGAGAGACAGGTTGACAACTGCCTGACCATCACGATGGTCACCTGATATTTTTGGTGTGTGGGCTCTGCTTAGGCCCGACCAGCTCCCTGCTGTAACACACATAGTCTAATGGACTTTCCTGCAGATTAAGTGCATGTGCTTCCTCCTTGGGCCCTGCTGATGCTACCAGTTTCAGGGCCCATCTCTTTGGTTCTCTAAGGTAAAAAATGAACCTGGAAATTAGCAATGTTTCACTATTAACAGCGCTAACAATGAGAAAGAAAAGAGACAGGAGCCAGCCTGGCACCCAGAGCCAGGCTGTAGTGTTCTGCTGTTGAACACTGATGCTCAGGGAACATCAACAGAAGACAAGGCCCCTTTGAGAGTGACAAAGAACAAAACTGTTCATTCCGTCATCATTTCACAACACAGACCAAACAAGAACATTGCCCAAACCACAAAAATGAACAAAAGTCCCTGTTTCTGTCTCATAGGAGTGAGTGGTGCTTCTTTTTCAATTACAGCTTTAGCCTCAGTTTGTTCTTCTAGATAAGAAATATTAAGATTCCAGCTGAGCCGGGCACGGTGACTCACGCCTGTAATCCCAGCACTTTGGGAGGCCGAGGTGGGTGGATCACCTGAGGCTGGGAGTTCCAGACCAGCCTGACCAACATGGAGAAATCCCATCTCTACTAAAAATACAAAATTAGCCGGGTGTGGTGGCTCATGCCTGTAATCCCAGCTACTCGGGAGCCTGAGGCAGGAGAATCGGTTGAACCCGGGAGGCGGAGTTTGCAGTGAGCCGAGATTGCGCCATTGCACTCCAGCCTGGGCAACAAAAGTGAAACTCCAACTCAAAAAAAAAAAAAAAAAAAAAAAGAAAAAAGAAAAAGATTCCAGCTGAGCACAGTGACTCATGCCTGTAGTCTCAGCTACTTGGGAGGCCGTGGTGGGAGGATCACTTGAGCCTGGCAGGTAGAGGCTGCAGTGAGCTGTGACAGCCTGAGTGACAGAGTAAGACTCTGTCTCTTAAAAATAAAAAAAAATTATTAAAAAATAAATAAATATTAATTCTCAATAGAGCCAGGTAATGGTTTACACCTGTAATCCCAGCTACTGGGAAGACTGGGGTGGGAGGATTGCTAGAGACCAGGAGTTCAAGACCAGCCTGGGTAACATAGTGAGACCCTGTCTCTATAAAAACAAAAAACATAAGATCACGCCACTGCACTCCAGCCTGGGTGACAGAGCGAGACTTGTCTCAAACAAACAAACAAACAAAACCCTGTAGTCTCAGCTACTTGGGAGAAGAAGGGAGGAGAATTGCTTGAGCCCAGGAGTTCAAGGCTGTAGTGAGCTGTGATTGCACCACTGCATTATAGCCTGATCTCACTCTGTCACCCAGGCTGGAGTGCAGTAGCACAATCTAGGCTCACTGCAACCTCTGCCTCCCAGGCTCAAGGGATCCTCCCACCTCAGCCTCCCAAGCAGCTGGGAACACAGGCGTGTGCCATCACACCCAGCTAATATTTTTTTTTTTTTTTTTTTTTAAGTAGAGATAGGGTTTCGTCATGTTGCCCAGGCCGGTCTTGAACTCCTGAGCTCAAGTGATCTACCTGCCTCAGCCTCCCAAAGTGCTGGGATTACAGGCATGAGCCATTGAGCCCTGCCAAAAAGATTCTTAATAGAATTACACCCACTTTCTGACAGTATCTAATCCAGAGCAAAGCCTGTTTCTTTGATCACTCCTCAAAATCACATAACAGAAGCCCAAATTCTTAATAAATTCATAGTATGCAGTTCTGCAAGTTTTGAGATACAATGTTTAATGCAAAGGGGAGGATCCCACTGGAATTACAGGAACCACAGCAGGGCTATTGGGAAGCTTTCTGTGTCTCTCAGATCTCAAACCTTTGTAGAAACCTGTTTGTGCTTAAAATGTGGGTGAGGAGTACTCATGAACTAGACTTATATATTTTGGATCAACACAAACTCCAATTAGGAATATGATATTTTCTGCCCCCCTCCCACTCCCACACTCCAGATTATCCTGAGAGAGTAATATGTTTAGTTGTATTGCACTAAGGAGAAAAAAAAAATGAAACTGCTCCAAGAATTATTAGTAGAGCAATGTCTGCCAATAATGATTGCTTCAATAATGGAGCCCAAAATAGAATGGACAAAAAATAAAGCTGTTGAGACGTCTACAGGTTTGGTTTCAGCAAGTGTCTGCCACTATTTAGAAGACATAAAAATAAACTTCGCAATGAGCAAGTAGTGTTTTATTTCTGTAGGGGAAGTATTTATCATTTAACCCATTTCCTTTCCTTTATTAAACACAAAGGCTGGACCCAGTGGCTCATATCTGTAATCCCAGCACTCTGGGAGGCTGAGGCAGAAGGATTGCCTGAGCCCAGGAGTTTGAGACCAGCCTAGGCAACATGGCAAGACCTCATCTCAAAAAATATATAAAATAAAATAAATTTTTAAAAAAGCAACAGGAAGCGTCTTACTCTTTTGGAAGATAACAGCGTAGAGTATAAAAATACATCTGAGCTTTGTGTACATGTGAAGCTATTTGGTCCATTGTAGCTAAAAGTTTGAATTTTGGGCTAATGTTTTGTTTATTTATAGGGTCGTGCACTATCGCCCAGACTAGAGTGCAGTGGCATGATCATAGCTCACTGCAGCCTCCAACTTCTGGGCTCAAACAATCCTCCTGGTTCAGCCTCCTGAGTAGCTAAGACTACAGGTGTGGGTGACCATGCCCAGCTAATTTTTTTTTTTTTTTTTTTTTGAGACACGGTTTCCCTCGGTTGCCCAGGTTGGAGTGTAGTGGTGCCATCACAGTTCACTGCAGCCTCAACCTCCCAGGCTCAAGCAATCTTCCCATTTCAGCCTCCCAAATAGCTAGGACTACAGGTGTGTACTACCATGCATGGCTAATGTTTTCATTTTTTTGTAGAGACCAGGTCTCCCTATGTTGCCCAGTCTGGTCTCAAACTCCTGGGCTCAAGAAATCCTTCTGCCTGGGATTCCCATAGTGCTGGGATTACAGGCATGAACCACCAAGCCCAACCTGATTTTTTAATTTTAATTTTTCTTTTCTTTTGCAGAGGTGGGGGGGGTGGGGGGGCGGTTCTCACTGTGCTGCTCAGGCTGGTCTCGAACTCCTGGCCTCAAGTGATCCTCCCAGCTTGGCCTCCTAATGTGCTGGGATTACAGACATGCGCCACCATTCCTGGCCAGGCTAATGTTTTAAATGTAAAATAAGAGTATTGATAGTCCAGACGTTGTGTTGCATTTTATTCTTCTGTGCCCATGGTCATTTCAGAAGGAACTTACGGTTCCTTGAAGCAGAAAGTAAATTTGCATTTCATAGTGAGTTGGAGATGAGAGCAAGCTGGGAACCCACAGCAGGGAGCGCTGTCTCCTTCTTCCCATCTTATTTTCTCAGGAACTTGGTGGATCAGGAAGAAGCCTCAGACTGGAGCCCATGGTAATTTTCCATTCTCCTGGAGACAGTATTCCTTGTTGCTATGCCTCTATAATGCCCCATATCTGCCTACGAGCAGAAGGAAATAATTATTTTCTTCTCTATGGCAGTGTTTTGGTTTTCATTCCTTACTGAGCTATTGTTAAGTCATGGAATTGTCAGGGGAAATCATTTTAATCTCTTTAGGGGTGTTTTACAAGCCCCTGAAGGTGATTCAAGTACATCCAGGTAATATTTCACTACTAAATTAGAGGATGAATGAGCTGTTAGAAAAACTCATTTGCTGTGTAACTTGACTGTCTCTATCTCTAGAGGTGGCCCCCAGCTGAATGCCTGGCTGACAGGCACGGCCTCCTCCCGGCTGGCTCCCCTCCTGCTGCCTTGGAAACAGCTGCAGCCCCCATTTTTGCTCTCCCCTGGCTCACTCCTAATCCCTGCTGCTGTCTTAACTGCTAACTGACTAGAGCTCTGGAAAACCACAGTGGGAGGGTTTGCAATTAAAGATATCAGAAAAACTTGTGAGAATCAAAGAGCTGCAGTATTGTGGTGGGATTATAGGCAGGGAGGCTGATGTTCTGCGGCAGGAGTAGGTAGCAAGGTAGATTGCTCCAAGGATCTTCACTTTGCTTTACCTGCTTCCAACCTGAAGAGCTTTCAGATTTTTTTTTAACTTTTATTTTTTGTCTATTCATTTTTTTTTTTTTTTTGGACACAGTGTCTCACTCTGTTGCCCAGGCTGGGGTGTAGTGGTGTGATCATGGCTCACTACAGCCTCGACTTCCCCAAGCCCAGATGATCCTCCCACCTCAGCCTCCCGATTAGGTAGGACTACTACAGGCATGCTCCACCATGCTTGGCTAATTACTTTATATATATATATATATATATATATATATATATATATATATATATATATTTTTTTTTTTTTTTTTCCAGAGACGGAGTCTTGCTCTGTCACCCAGGCTGGAGTGCAGTGGTGCGATCGCAGCTCTCTGTAACCTCTGTCTCCCTGGTTCAAGTGATTCTTCTGCCTCAGCCTCCCAAGTAGCTGGGATTACAGGTGCGTACCACCATGCCCGGCTGATTTTTTTTGTGTTTTTAATACAGACGGGGTTTCACCATGTTGGCCAAGCTGGTCTTAAACTGCTGACTTCAGGTGATCCACCCACCTCGGCCTCCTAAAGTGCTGGGATTACAGGCGTGAGCCATCATGCCCAGCCTGCCTGGCTACTTATTTTATTCTTTTTTTTTTTTTTTTTTTTTTTTTGAGACAGAGTCTCACTCTGTCATCTAGGCTGGAGCGCAGTGGCACAATCTCAGCTCACTGCAACCTCTGCCTCCCGAGTTCAAGCGATTCTCCTGCCTCAGCCTCCTGAGTAGCTGGGATTACAGGCACATGCCACCACACTCGGCTAATTTTTGTATTTTTAGTAGAGACAGGGTTTCACCATGTTGACCAGGCTGGTCTCGAACTCCTGACCTCAAGTGATCCACCTGCTTTGGCCTTCCAAAGTGCTGGGATTACAGGAATGACCTACCACACCCAGCCTGGCTAATTTTAATATACTTTTTTTTTTTTTTGAGATGGAGTCTCGCTCTGTCACCCAGGCTGGAGTGCAGGGGAACGATCTCGGCTCACTGCAACCTCCGCCTCCCAGATTCAAGCTATTCTCCTGCCTCAGCCTCCCAAGTAGCTGGAACTACAGGCGCCCACCACCACACCCAGCTAGTTTTTGTATTTTTAGTAGAGATGGAGTTTCACCATATTGGCCAGGCTTGTCTCGATCTCCTGATCTCGTGATCTGCCTGCCTTGGCCTCCCAAAGTGCTGGGATTATAGGCGTGAGCCACCGCACCTGGCCTAATACACATTTTTTAATAGAGACAGGATCTCCTATGTTTCCCAGGCTGTTCTTAAACTCCTGGGCTCAAGTAATCCTCCTACCTTCACCCCACAAAGTGGTGGGATTACAGGTGTGAGCCACTGCACCTGGCCTTCTGAAGCGCTTTTAAACTTGCAGGTTTTCTACTTTCCTACCTTCCAGAAACTCCTCCTACCCATGGAATCTGCCAGCAGTTGGATTCTTGACTATCTTTAGGACTTTTCCTAATCTCACCTTCTCCATCTGTGAAATGGAAATAATCAAAGGGTAAGCTGACTTGCAGTCCTGGTCGGGCCACTAATTGGAAAGGGTGAAGGGAGCCAAGATATTTCCAAAAGGTGGAAAAAGCCTTTTTTTTGGTAAGACAGAGTCACCCAGGCTAGAGTGCAGTGGCGCAATCTCGGCTCATTGTAACCCTCTGCCTCCTGGGTTCAAGTGATTCTAATGCCTCAGCATCCCAAGCAGTTGGAATTACAGGCGTACACCACCATGCCCAGCTAATTTTTGTATTTTAGTAGAGATGGGGTTTCACCATGTTGGCCAGGCTGGTCTCAAATTCCTGACCTCAAGCAATCCGCCCACCAAGGCCTCCCAAAGTGCTGGCATTACAGGTGTGAGCCACTGCGCCCAGCCAAAAAAGACTCGTTATAAAACTTTTTCCTTGAGAACCCAGAATTGAACAGTATGCTCTTGGAAATAATTATTAATGTATTCTGTTTTCTCAGAGCAATATGACAGAATCCCTGCTTTATTACCCTGACCCAATCAAAGCTCACAGATCAGAAGAACTGGGAAGAAACTCAAAGACCATTTAATTAGGGGCTCTCAATTCGGTTGCTCATTATAATCACTTACTGAGGTTTTTAAAAAACACCTTGCCCGAGCCTCAACCTAAGACCAGTTATTAATACATCAGAGTCTCTGGAGGGGGCCGGAGGCTACTTTTGCTAAAGCTCTCTAGGTGACTTCCGTGTCCACCCAGGGCCAAGCGCCATGGTTCTGGTCCAACAATCTCTAAACAAGGATAAAATAACCTGGGAAGGTTACATGAGTCAAACCAAAGTCTCATAGCAAGCCAGGTACCATGGCTCGCGTCTGTAATCCCAGCACTTTGGGAGGCTGAGGAGGGAGGATTGCTTGAGCCCAAGAGTTCAAGACCAGCCTGGGCAACATAGTGAGACCCTGTCTCTATAAAAAGTTTAAAAAAAAAGAAAGTAAGAAAATTAGCTGAGCATGGTGGTGTGCACTTTGGGAGGCTGAGGAGGGAGGATTGCTTGAGCCCAAGAGTTCAAGACCAGCCTGGGCAACATAGTGGGACCCTGTCTCTACAAAAAGTGAAAAAAAAAGAAAGAAAGAAAGCAAAATTAGCTGAGTGTGGTGGTGCACACCTGTAGTCCCAGCTACTCACAAGGCTCAGGTGGGAGAACTGCTCTAGAGACTGAAAGTCTTTTCCCCTTGTCTTGTTGCTTCTCTAAAAATTTATCGTTCTTTGTTGAAGATGTTATATAAGCTGGAATTGAAAGCCACCTCTCGGCATGGTGGCTCAAACCTATAATCCCAGCACTTTTGGAGGCCAAGGCAGGCAGATCACCTGAGGTCAGGAGTTTGAGACCAGCCTAGCCAACATGGTGAACTGGACTCCTGCCTGGGTGACAGAAGGAGACCCCATCTCAAAACGACAACAATAAAAGTCTTGTAGCAATAGGAGAGTATGGCTTGTGGCAGCTGTAGGGGAGGAAAATTATTTTTTTCCTCAACTCCCATAGGTTCTTGGTTGGAATGGACCCCTGTAATGAAAGACAGATTAACAAGAGAAAAACGAACAGAAGTTTATTAGCATGTATATTTCATATATACATGGGAAACACTCAGAGAATGAGCAGTTCTCAAAGAGGTGGCTTTCAATTCCAGCTTATATAACATCTTCAACAAAGAATGGTAAATTTTGGGCCAGGCATGCTGGCTCACCCCTGTAATCCCAGCACTTTGAGAGGCCAAGGTGGGCGGATCACTTGAGGATAGGAGTTCGAGACCAGCCTGGCCAACATGGTGAAACGCTGTCTCTACTAAAAATACAACAACTAGCTGAGCATTGTAGTGGCACCTGTAGTCCCAGCTACTTGGGAGGCTGAAGCAAGGAGAATCACTTGAACCTGTAAGGCAGAGTTGCAGTGAGCTGAGACTGTGCCACTGCACTCCAGGCTGGGCAACAAGAGCAAGACTCCATCTCAAAAAAAAAAAAAAAAACAAATTAGCCGTGCTTGGTTGTGGGTGCCTGTAATCCCAGCTACTTGGGAGACTGAGGCAGGAGAATAGCTTGAACCTGGGAGGCAGAGGTTGCAGTGAGCCAAGATTGTGCCACTGCCCTCCAGCCTGGGCGACAGAGAGAGACTCTGTCTCAAAAAAAAAAAAAAAAAGGATTGGTAAATTTATTTTTAGAGAGACAACAAGATAAGGGGAAAAGACTTTGAGTCTCCAGGGGTTACAACTTAGGGGAAGGCAAATAAATGGCAGATAAAGATAAGTTAGGAAAGCTTGTTAATTAGATTCTTCTGGAGCCATCTCTAGGCCCTTAAGGGTGTTAAGTTGTCTTCAGTGGTTAGTTAACCTTTGTCCTCCCTGATAGAAAGGTGGGTGCGGGATACGTTTTGTCTCTGTCTATGTACATCCTGCTTTTCAGTAAACACAAGGAGGGCAGAGAGTTCTCCTGCATCTGCTACTTTCTTGCCTTCAGCTCAACAATCCTTCTGTGAAAGAGGCATATTTTGTGGTGCTATGTGCTGATCTTCCACACAGCCAAATGGAGGCAGAGGTCACAGAGGAACTAGAAGGATGGAAAACTGCAGGAGAGTCTCGTTGCCATCACTCAGTCAATCAACCAGTTTTGGATACCTGCCATGTGCCAAGCCCTGACTGCAGTAAAAAGGATACCAAAATAAATTACTTACTGCTCTCAAAAAGCAAACCGTTTGCTGGCAGACTTGATCATATACCAATGACTGGAGGAAGGGGAAAGTGAGCTTTATGGTCAAAGACGTTCAATGGCAATATTTTATTTACTTATTTATTTATTTTTGAGACAGAATTTTGCTCTTGTTGCCCAGGCTGGAGTGCAATGGCGCGATCTCAGCTCACAGCAACCTCCGCCTCTCGGGTTCAAGCGATTCTCCTGCGTCAGCCTCCCGAGTAGCTGGGATTACAGGCATGTGCCACCACACCCTACTAATTTTGTATTTTTAGTAGAGACGGGGTTTCTCCATGTTGGTCAGGCTGGCCTCAAACTCCTGACCTCAGGTGATCCACCTGCCTCGGCCTCCCAAAGTGCTGGGATTACAGGCGTGAGCCACCGCGCCCAGTCTGGCAATATTTATAATAGTGGAAAACAGAAAACAATTGTTCAGTAGTGTAAAAGTTTTTTTTTTTTTTGAGATGGAGTCTCGCTCTGTTGCCCAGGCTGGAGCGCAGTGGTGCAATCTCGGCTCACTGCAACCTCTACCTCCTGGGTTCAAGCGATTCTCCTGTCTCAGCCTCCCGAGTAGCTGGGATTACACGTGCCTGTCACAATGCCCAGTCAATTTTTTTTTTGTATTTTTAGTAGAGACAGGGTTTCGCTGTGTTGGCCAGGCTGGTCTGGAACTCCGACCTGAGATGATCCACCTGCCTCGACCTCCCAAAGTGCTAGGATTACAGGCATGAGCCATCACGCCCAGACCAGAAATTTCTTAAATAAACACTAGCTTATATTTGTTACTGGAAAGGGGTCACAATTCAGACCCCAAGAGAGGGTTCTTGGATCTCACTCAGGAAAGAATTTGGGGCTGGACATGGTGGCTCACACCTGTAATCCCAGCACTTTGGGGAGGCCGAGGGAGGCAGATGACTTGAGGTTAGGAGTTTGAGACCAGTCTGGCCAACACAGTGAAACCCCATCTCTACTAAAAATACAAAAATTAGACAGGCGTGGTACTGAGCGCCTGTAATCCCAGCTACTTGAGAGGCTGAGGCAAGAGAATCGCTTGAACCCAGGAGGCAGAGGTTCCAGTGAGTCGAGACTGTACCATTGTACTCCAGCCTGGGCAACAAGAGCGAGACTCTATCTCAAAAAAAATAAATAAAAATAAAAGAAAGAAAGAAAGAATTCGGGGCGAGTCCACAGAGTAAAATGAAAGCAAGTTTATTAGAGAAGTAAAGAAACAAAAGAATGGCTACTCCATAGGCAGAACAGCTCCAAAGCCTGCTGGTTGACTTTTTTTTTGAGACAGTCACACTCTGTCACCCAGGCTGGAGTGCAGTACAGCTCACTGCAACCTCTGCCTCCTAGGTTCAAGTGATTCTCATGCCTCAGCCTCCCCAGTAGCTGGGATTACAGGTGTGCGCCGCCACACCAGGGCTAATTTTTGTATTTTTAGTAGAGGCAGGGTTTCACATTGTTGGCCAGGCTGGCCTCAAACTCCTGACCTCAGGTGATCCACCCACCTCGGCCTCCCAAAGTGCTGGGATTACAGGTGTGAGCCACCAATCCTGGCCTGGTTGACTATTTTTAATGGTTATTTCTTGATTATATGCTAAGCAAGGGGTAGATTATTTATGAGTTTTCCAGGAAAGGGGTGGGGAATTTCCAGAACAGAGGGTTTCTCTTCCTTTTAGACCATGTAGAGTAACTTCGAGTCATTGCCATAGCATGTATAAACTGTCATGGTGCTGGTGGGAGTGTTGTTTAGTATGCTAATGCATTATAATTAGCATATAATGTACAGCGAGGGTGACCAGAGGTCACTCCCATTGTCATCTTGGATTCGGAGAGATTGCGCCAGCTTCTTTACCGCATCCTATTTTATCAGCAGGGTCTTGGTGACCTGTATCTTATGACCTCCTGTCTTATCCTATGACTAAGAATGCCTGACCTCCTTCCAATGCAGCCTGGCAGGTCTCAGCCTCATTTTACCCAGCGCTTCTTCAAGATGGAGTCACTCTGGTTCGAATGCCTCTGACATGTTTACTTGATGCAATATTTTGGAGCCATTAAGCTCAGTTGTCCAAAGAGATTTTAATATCACAAGGAAATGCCCTCACTGTAAGTAGAGAAATCAGATATGAAATTGTACATAAGCTATGATCCTAAGTTAGATGCACAGACAAAAAGGCTAAAACACACCAAAATGTTAACAGGTACTGGGAACAGGGTACTTGAGTTGTTGAGAATGGGATGCTTCATTTTCACTTCTTCCTTCCTTTTCTGTTTTTCAATTGTTATTATTGTATTAGTCAGCGTTCTCTAGAGGGACAGAACTAATAGGACATATATATACATATATGTATAGGAGTTTATTAAGTATTAACTTACATGATCACAAGATCCCATAATAGGCTGTCTGCAAGTTGAGGAGCAAGGATAGCTACGCCAAGCCCCGAAACTGAAGCCCCACATTGGAGTCCAATGTTCAAGGACAGGAAGCATCCAGCAGGGGAGAAAGATGTAGGCTGGGAGGCTAGGCCAGTTTCTCCTCTTCATGTTTTTCTGCCTGTTTTATATTCACTGGCAACTGATTAGATTGTGCCCACCAGATTAAGGGTGAGTCTGCCTTCCCCAGCCTACTGACTCAAATGTTAATCTCTTTTGGCAACACCCTCACAGACACACCCAGGATCAATACTTTGTATCCTTCAATCCAATCAAGTTGACACTCAGTATTAACCATCACAATTATTATTACCTTTTTTTCTTGTGTTAGGGTCTCATTCTGTAGCTTAGGCTGGAGTGCAGTGGTGAGAACATGGCTCACTGCAGCCTCGGACTGCTGTGCTCAAGTGATTCTCCCACCTAAGTTTTCAAGTATCTGGGACCACAGGTGCATGCCACCACACTTGGCTAATTTTTAAAAATTTTTTTTGTAGAGACAGGGTCTCTCTCTGTTGCCTAGGCTGGTCTTGAACTCCTGGGCTCCAGCAACCCACCTACCTCAGCCTCCCAGAGTGCTGGGATTACAGGCGTGAGCCACTGCATCCAGCCAGTTTAATTTTTTTTAGAGATGGGGACACGGGTTTTGTGAAGGGTCTGCTAATGGGCTATCTGGAAAGTCAGAACACAGGTCTCTTGTTTTTGAGTCTTGATCTGGGTAGGTCTGCAGTCTGCATGCCTGGGCCGGCCTGAGGAATAGAGGGGAGGCTGTGGTGAGTGGGGAGGTGCCTATTCTGGGAGGGCTGGGCTTCACTGGAGACCTGGGGTTCGCTCCCCATCCTTCCCACCCTCCCAGGCAGGAATGGAGACTGGTGAGCTGCACACCTTCCAACGAAGTGATGCAGGGACGTGCCTGTAGGGGATGGGCTCCTTGAAATTATCACCAAAACAGGCTGGGCGCAGTGGCTCTTGCCTGTGATCCCAGCACTTTGGGAGGCTGAGGCGGGCAGAGTACAAGGTCAGGAGTTCAAGACCAGCCTGGCCAATATGGTGAAACCCCGTCTCTATTAAAAATACAAAAACAATTAGCCAGATATGGTGGTGGGCGCCTGTAGTCCCAGCTACTCGAGAAGCTGATGTAGGAGAATTGCTTGAACCCTGGAGGCAGAGGTTGCAGTTAGCCGAGATCACACCACTGCACTCCAGGCTGGGTGACAGAGCAAGACTCCGTCTCAAAAAAAAAAAAAAAAAAAAAGAAATTATCACTAAAACAATCTTTGAAACAAACCTAGGTTTGTTTTGCCTGAGGTGAGGCAAAACACTACCTGAACAAAATTTTAGGAGGTTCTGGCAGAGAGAGGGCAGTCTGGTTTAAGGTGGGCATTTCAACGCACAGACTTCATTAAAATTGGGTGAGAAGCATCTTACAATAGTTTAGATTAATGGATACAGCAAAGCAAGGGTTTAGAGGCAAGGATATTGAAGAGTCTTGGGGAGTGAACTGTCCTTTGATATTTCCTATTAAATAACTGAACACTGGCCGGGTGTGATGGTTCATGCCTGAAATACCAGCACTTTGAGAGGCCGAGACGGGCAGATCACTTGAGGTCAGGAGTTTGAGACCAGCCTGGTCAACATGGTGAAACCCCGTCTCTACTAAAAATACAAAAATTAGCTGGGCTTGGTGGCGCATGCCTGTAATCCCAGCTACTTGGGACCCTGAGGCAGGAGAATCTCTTGAATCCGGGAGATGGAGCTTGTAGTGAGCTGAGATCGCGCCACTGCACTACAGCCTGGGCAATAGAGCGAGACTCCGTCTCAAAAACAAAAACAAAACCAAAAACACAAATAATCGAACACTTTGATGTTCATGTAAATCAGGATTTTTCCATCTCAGCCCTTTTGATATTTGGGGCTAAATAATTCTTTGTGGGGGTGGGGGGTGCTCTCCTGTGCATTGCAGAATCTTTAACAGCATCCCTGGACTCTACTCAGTAGATGTGGGTAGCACCACCAGCACCATCCCAGTCTGACAACCTCAGATGTCTCCAAATGTCCCGGGAGAGGGGGGTGCATTTAGATTTTAATGTCTTTCAGGAAGTTCCTGGAATGAATAAAGTCATTTGCAACTTTTATCGTTCTTGCCAAGAGTTTCCTATAATAGTAAAATCACATTGATAAAAACAGTGGAAGAGTAAAGTAATGTTGATACAGACTACAAGCCTGGTTGGGGAAGATGGTTTAGGCTCGCACTCACACCCTCGGCTCAGCCTGCTGCCTTGCGTCTCCCAGTCCTGTGGGGTTTGGACTTCTGTCTCCTAGTCTCCTATTCATGGTCAGCTTTGTCCTAGAAGAGATTACATCTCTAAAGTCCACAACCAGGCTGGGCACCGGTGGCTCACGTCTGTAATCCCAGCATTTTGGGAGGCCGAGGCTGGCGGATCACTCGAGGTCAGGAGTTTGAGACCAGCCTGGCCAACATGGCAAAACCCTGCCTCTGTTAAAATACAAAAATTAGCCAGACACAGTGGTGTGTGCCTGTGTGTGCCCCAGCTACTTGGGAGGATGAGGCAGGAGAGTCGCCCGAACTTCTGAACTGCAAAGGCAGTTTCAGAAGTTATCCTAACCCATTTCTGTGCTGAAGCTCAGAAAAAAGGAGGACCACTCCTGCCACTCAGTGAATGTATTAAAGAAAAAAATGCTTCATGACACTCGTTGAAGATAGTTAGGCAAACTTTATTAAAGGAGGGACTAGGAAGATAGCTATAGAAACCACTGCAATGGGCTGCTGAAGTTGGGGAGAGATTGGGAGACTGAGCTCAACTCCAAACACAGCACTGCAAGTAGGAATGTATAGCCAAGGAGCAGTGGGGGGCAGAGGTGGGTGATGCATGGAAATTATTAAGAGGAAACATTGGGGGAAGGGGATATCCTGGCTAAACTGATCTGACAGGATTCTTGTTGAAGGCAAGCAGGGTGATCAGACATTACCCAGAGTGCGGCGGAGGATGAGGAACCTCATTAGATATTGTCAACCTAAAAGGAAGAGGCTGAGGCACAAAATATAAAGAGTTTACTTGAGCCAAACTGAGGACAGCTGCCTGGAAGACTCAGACCCAAGTAACCCTTGGATATGGGCTTTGTTTGATCTTTGTCACAAGCAAGTTTTTAAAGGCAAAAACGGA